>NC_000016.10:70017045-70320075 GCF_000001405.40 Homo sapiens | reverse complement strand
ATGATCAATCAGTATGAAACCATGTAATAAATACTCCATTTATTTACCCTAAGCATGCTCAAAGTGCCAAGCTTAAAAAAAGACACTATCCATCTGGAGAAAATGTCACTGTTATGACACAGAACAAAAAACTTTGAGAAAGTACAGACCTAAAATATCTATTTTTATTTTTATTTATGATTTTTTGAGACAGGGTCTCACTCTTGCTCAGGCTGGAGGGCAGTGGCACAATCTTTGCTCACTGTAGCCTCAATCTTCTGGGCTCAGGTTATCCTCCTACTTCAGCCTCCCTAGTAGCTAGGACTACAGGCACATGCCACCATACTTGGCTACTTTTTTATATTTATAGTAGAGACAGGGTCTCACCATGTTGCCCAGGCTGGTCTCGAACTCCTGGGCTCAAGCGATCTGCCTGCCTCGGCCTCTCAAAGTATTGGGATTACAGGCATGAGCCACCACACTTGCCCTAAAATATCTATTTTTAGACAAAAAAAAAAAAGAGATTCAGAATTTAGCATTATATGCAGAATTGTATATAATCATATAAAATATAGGATCAATCTGTATTAAAATTCCATCATGCTCTAGAATCTTGTACTCAGAATGTGATCTGAAACCAGCAGCATCAGCATCACCTGCAAGCTTATTAGAAATGTTGACACTCAGTCCCCACTTAGACCTACTAAATTCAGACCCTGCATTTTAATAAATGTCTATGAGATTTGTATGCCTATGAAAGTGGGAGATGCCCTGCACCAGGAAACCACCTTAGTAACTGTATTATTCAGGTCTCCTAGAGCTGTTTGGCTTCTATTATATTTGACACAATAGCTTTTATATATCAATACAATGAAATCATGGTGCATATACGATATAAACTTATATTTACCAACATAGGAAGATGATCATATAATTAAAAAACACAGCATGTAAAACATTATTTATATGTCACCTTTTTTTGTTTGTTTGTTTGAGATGGAGTCTCGCTCTGTTGCCCAGGCTGGAGTGCAGTGGCGTGATCTCGGCTCACTGCAAGCTCCGCCTCCCAGGTTCATGCCATTCTCCTGCCTCAGCCTCCCATGTAGCTGGGACCACAGGCGCCCACCACCACGCCCAGCTAATTTTTTGTATTTTTAGTAGAGATGGGGTTTCACCGTGTTAGCCAGGATGGTCTCGATCTCCGGAGCTTGTGATCCACCTGGCTAGGCCTCCCAAAGTGCTGGGATTACAGGCATGAGCCACTGCTCCCGGCCATATGTCAACTTTTTTTTTTTTTTTTGAGATGGAGTTTTGCTTTTGTTGCCCAGGCTGGAGTGCAATGGCATGATCTCAGCTCACTGTAACCCCTGCCTCCCAGGTTCAACCGATTCTCCTGCCTCAGCCTCCCAAGTAGCTGGGTTTACAGGCGCCTGCCACCACACCAGCTAATTTTTTTTTTGTATTTTTAGTAGAGACAGGGTTTAGCCATGTTGGTCAGCCTGGTCTCAAACTCCTGACGTCAGGTGATCCACCTGCCTCGGCCTCCCAAAGTGCTGGGATTATAGGCATGAGCCACCACCCCGGTCATATATGTCAACTTTTTTAAAAGTTATATGTTTACATAGAGAAAAGTCTAGAAGTCTCCACTCCAAAATGTTAATAATGTGGGGAGAGGGAGATTACAGATGATTTTTTTTCTTTTCTTTTTTTTTTTTGCATTTTTGAGATGGAGTCTCACTCTGTTGCCCAGGCTGGAGTGCACTGGTGTGATCTCAGCTCCCTGTAGCCTCCACCTCCGGGGTTCAAGCGATTCTCGTGCCTCAGCTTCCCGAGTAGCTGGGACTACAGGAGCACACCATGACACCTGGCTAACTTTTGTATTTTTTTAGTAGAGTCGGGTTTCATCATGTTGGCCAGGCTGGTCTCGAACACTTGACCTCAAGAGATCCTCCTGCCTTGGCCTCCCAAAGTGTTGGGATTACAGGCATGAGCCACTGCACCTGGCCCCCTTGACTTTTTTTTTTTTTTTTTTGAGACAAAGTCTCGCTCTGTCACCCAGGCTGGAGTGCAGTGACATGATCTCGGCTCACTGCAACCTCTGCCTCCCGGGTTCAAGCAAATCTTGTGCCTCAGCCTCCTCTTTTTCTCTTTCGAGACAGGGTCTTTCTTTGTTGCCCAGAATGGAGTACAATGGTATGATCATGGTTCACTGCAACCTCAAACTCCTGGGCTCAAGTGATCCTCCTGCCTCAGCCTCCTGAGTAGCTGGGACTACAGCTGCATGCCACCATGCCTGGCCAAGTTTATAACGTTTTTTTTTTTGTTGAGACAGGGTCTTGCTACATCGCCCAGGCTGGTCTTGAACTCCTGGCCTGAAACGATCCTCCTGCCTTGCCTCTCAGGTTGCTGGGATTATAGGCATAAGCCACCTTGCTGGCCTGTGAAAATAATAATAGTTTTCAAAAATAGAAAATCTAAAATGAAATGGAGTTGTAATAGGACACATACGGCTCAGCAAGCATCAGTGGCAATGCGTTCTCTTGTATCTTGGATGGACGATTGAAACCCATGGCATAGACTCCTTGGAGAAGCTGTGGTTTCCTAGAAAAACAGTTAAAGATGAAAGTCACAGTCTCTTTGGTTGAGGAAAGCAGCAAAATATCTGGAGGATTTTTCTCTTTTACTGTTTACACATAGTTTTTTGTTTGTTTGTTTTTGAGCAGAGTCTCGATCTATTGCCCAGGCTGCAGTGCAAAGGTGCAGTCTCGGCTCACTGCAACATCCACCTTCCGGGTTCAAGCAATTCTCGTGCCTCAGCCTCGCGAATAGCTGGGATTACAGGTACATGGCACCATGCCCCGCTAATTTTTTTTTTTTTTTTTTTTTTTTGAGACAGAGTCTCGCTCTGTCACCCAGGCTGGAGTGCAGTGGCGCGATCTCGGCTCACTGCAACCTCCGTCTCCCAGGTTCACGCCATTCTCCTACCTCAACCTCCTGAGTACCTGGTACTACAGGCACCCGCCAACATGCCCTGCTAATTTTTTTTGTATTTTTAGTAGAGATGGGGTTTCACCATGTTAGCCAGGATGATCTCAATCTCTGGACCTCGTGATCTACCTGCCTCAGCCTCCCAAAGTCCTGGGATTACAGGCGTGAGCCACCGTGCCTGGACTAATTTTTGTATTTTCAGTAGAGACAGGGTTTCACCATGTTGGCCACGCTGGTCTTGAACTCCTGACCTCAAGTGGTCTGCCGGCCTTAGCCTCTCAAAGTGCTGGGATTACAGGCATGAGCCACTATGCCTGGCCTACACATAGTTTGTAATCAACAATAATTGAGCTGTGGTGAACTGAATACATGTTAGTACAGCTAAAGCTTTTATCCATCATCTGGAAATTTTACTAAATATCCCAAAGCATCTACAGTATTTATGTATATTTTTTAGATGGAGTCTGGTCTCGCTATGTTGCCCAGGCTGGTCTGCAACTCCTGGCCTCAAGTGATCCTCTCACCTTGGCCTCCAAAAGTGCTGGGATTACAGGTGTGCACTACGGCACCCAGCTAAATTCTTTTATAAAACTTGGTTAGCAGCTGGGTGCGGTGGCTCATGCCTGTAATCTCAGCGCTTTGGGAGGCCGAGGCAAGTGGATCATGAGTTCAGGAGATCAAGATCAGCCTGGCCAACATAGTGAAACCCCATCTCTACTACAAATACAAAAAGTAGCCAGGCGTGGTGGTGTGCACCTGTAATCTCAGCTACTTGGGAGGCTGAGGCAGGAGAATCACTCGAACCCAGGAGGCGGAGGTTGCAGTGAGCCGAGATCGCGCTACTGCACTCCAGCCTGGGCAACAGAGTGAGACTCTGTCTCGAAAAAAAAAAAAAAACTTGGTTAGCTAAAACTGCTCTGTTGTGGTCAAAAGATATCTATAACAGACCTAGGATCTCTATTTCAGTGCAAAGGGGAAGAGTCAGAAGGTGAATAAATACTCACAGCCGAAGCTCTTCAAAAGACTTCACCGAGTACAGAGGGGAGTTTGGATCCCGCTGCAGGACTTCCACTTGGTTTGTGTTATCAACAAGGTTGCTTCTGATCAGCTTGTTGAGTAAGGACTGGGCAGCTCTGTCCTCTGTCAGGAAAAAGAAAGCAAAGAATTTTAAAAAGTCCTTGAAACCTACCAGGCGTTTACTCTAATTCAACTGCCATTTGTATTTTAAATAATAATGTACTGAACATTCAAATTCAAGGTACGTCATAGTTTTGACTTATAAATTAAAATAGTTTTATTAAAGAAAAAAGTTATGATACATCACCCATTTAGGCCTCATATTCTTTTCCAGACTCTATTCTAACAGCCCTCTTTTCCTGCAGTTATCTATTCCTCCTATCCAGACCCACATATTTACTCCCCAATTTGTACTATATATAAACCTAAAGTAATTAATGTAGCAATCACAACAATAAAAAAAAAAACAGGAATTAACAAAGTCTGTACCTTAATATTGGACAAGTTGGTCTCGTCATCCATGTCAAATGTGTCAAAATAACATTAAGCTTAATTTTACTGGACAATAGAGATGCAACTGAAAATTTTTTATAATGCCCTATTCAACTGTTCAGTTGTTAAATGTAAAATTTCTCTAAACGTAAACCATTAGAACTCCTTCACCTACTGACTATTTATATTGAACTTTTTTTTTTTTTTTTTTTTGAGACAGAGTCTCGCTCTTTCGCCCAGGCTAGAGTGCAGTGGCTCGATCTCGGCTCATGGCAAGCTCTGCTTCCCGGGTTCATGCCATTCTTCTGCCTCAGCATCCCAAGTAGCTGGGACTACAGGCGTCTGCCACCATGCCCGGCTAATTTTTTTTTTTTTTTTTGTATTTTTAGTGGAGACGGGTTTTCACCGTGTTAGCCAGGATGGTCTCGATCTCCTGACCTCGTGATCTGCCCACCTCGGCCTCCCAAAGTGCTGGGATTACAGGTGTAAGCCACCGTGCCCGGCCCCTATATTGAACCTTTATGCTAGCACTGTATCGCCTATTAAAGTCAAGCCAAACTGGGTATAAAAATGAAGCCTCATAACAATCCACTTTCTTAGAATGTAGAAGCTTGTTATTATATAAAGCTCCACGGCTGTGTTACCTTTCTCTTCTTCATCTGTCTTCTCTGCATTGGCATTGGTCTTGACAACAGCACCTTTATAGACACAAAGTGGCCATCATTCAAAATCGCATCCCATACCCAACAGTTGAGACAATTCAAATTCTATGACACTAGAAGTTTTTGTAAAGGCCTGGGGAGCAAAAAATAAATGAGGAAACCGAGCCGCTGATAAAAACATTTTATTGTCCCTAAATAAACAAAGGTGTAAAACACTGTTGCTCACATATATATATATATAGATAGATATTTATTTTATTATTTATTTATTTTTGAGATGGAGTCTCGCTCTGTCGCCCAGGCTGGAGTGCAGTGGTGCGATCTCAACTCACTACAAGCTCTGCCTCCCAGGTTCACGCCATTCTCTTGCCTCAGCCTCCCGAGTAGCTGGGATTACAGGCACCCGCCACCACGCCCAGCTAATTTTTTTTGTATTTTTAGTAGAGACAGGGTTTCACCATGTTAGCCAGGCTGGTCTTGATCTCTTGACCTCGTGATCCGCCTGCCTTGGCCTCCCAAAGTGCTGGGATTACAGGCGTGAGCTACCGCGCCCGGCCTCTGTTGCTCATATTCTTTCCTATTCTAGGTCTCCTCTCCGTACCTCAAAACCTGTTATTTCCCTCATTGAATCAATACTTCTTAAATATTATAGAAAGATTAGAGCAATTAGTGATCAGAAACCACCTTGATGCTCAACAGAGGAATATCTATGCAAATCGTATTTTATCAATAGGTGAACACAATAATGCCATTAAAATTCATGTATATAACAAATGAGCAGTAAGACCAACAAAAAAAATTCATGCATATAAATTTTTTTTTTCTTTTTTTGAGATGCAGTCTCACTCTTACCCAGCCTGGAGTGCAGTGGTGCGATCTCAGCTCACTGCAACCTCTGCCTCCCAGGTTCAAGAGATTCCACTGTTTCAGTATCCTGAGTAGCTGGGATTACAGGGGTGCACCACCACACCTGGCAAATGTTTGTATTTTTAGTAGAGATGGGGTTTCACCATGTTAGTCAGGCTGGTTTCAAACTCCTGACCTCAGGTTATCCGCCAGCCTTGGCTTCCCAAAGTGCTGGGATTACAGGTGTGAGCCACCACACCCGGCCTATAAATTGATTAATATAAATTTATAGTCGAATGATACTGTGGTTATATAAAATCATACAAAAAAGATTTAAGTGAATTTTGAGAAAGGCAAATGTTACATTTCCTTCCTGTAATATTAAGTACATCAACAATAATTTAATGGAAATCTTAACTTTGGATAAATATGATTTCAGAATAATTAGGATAGGTAAACTGTCAGATTGCTCATACTTTGTCTATCTCATCCCAAATTGAGAACATTAAGAAAAAAATTAGTCTTTGTCAATGTAGTCCGATGGTTAGTAATTAGTCCCACTTAAGTAGCCTCATTCTTTGTTCCCCCCACACCCTTGCTATCAGTGTGCAATCCTCATTCTTGTATTAAAAACACTTTGAAACCAGGTGTAATATCTCACTCCTGTAATCCCAGCACTTTGGGAGGCTGAGGCGGGAGGACTGCTTGAGCCTAGGAGTTAGAAACCAACCTGGGCAACACAGGGAGTCCTCATCTCTATAAAAAAACAAAAATACCTGGGCACAGTGGCTCACACCTATAATCCCAGCACTTTGGGAGGCCAAGGCCGGTGGATCATGAGGTCAGGAGATTGAGACCATCCTGGCTAACACAGTGAAACCCCATCTCTACTAAAAATACAAAACATTAGCCAGGCGTGGTGGCAGGTGCCTGTAGTCCCAGCTACCCGGGAGGCTGAGGCAGGAGAATGGTGTGAAGCCGGGAGGTGGAGCTTACAGTGAGCCGAGATCGAGCCACTGCACTCCAGCCTGGGCAACAGAGCGAGACTCTGTCTCAAAAAAATAAAAAATAAAAAATAAAAATTAGTTGGGCGTAGTGGGTTGTGCCTGTAGTCCCAGCTACTCAGGAGGCTGAGGTGGAGGATCACTTGAGTCTGGGAGGTTGAGGCTCCAGTGAACCATGATTGAACCACTGCACTCCAGCCTGGGCAACAGAGCAAGACCCTGTCTCTTAAAAAGTAAACAGAAACAAAAAAATAAATAAAAACACTTTGGTCATACAATCCAGTTTGTTGATTTACAAATCAAATGGTACCAGTATCTGCCAATGCCCTGCCTGGTACAAATACAAATTTTTTTCCAGACAGTTGTTATGCCAAAACAAAAATACTGAAGGAAATCACATTTGTTTTCAAACTAGCTATTAGTTACTTACCATTGGTATCTGGTTTGATTTTCTCTTCCTTAAGATGCAAGTTGCTCAACTAAATGGAGAATATGGGGGAGGGGGAAAGTGTCAGGAAAAGCACTTAAAAAGATTTGGAATCAACAGAGCCTCCCTAATGAAGCTGGGGATAAAATAGCCATTCTCAAGGTATATTCATTAGGACCAATTCATTGGGTTGTTCCGTTTACTAAATGTCTGATGAGAATAAACAAAATTTCCCGTAAATACATCGGTGGAAAAAAATGCTCCAAATCTGTACCTTCTACTTAAAATTCTGTGAGAGAATTGTAATTTGTGAGTTTGCTTAATGCCCTGATTATAAACTTTCTCTCTTTGTAGAATATCATTAGAGTTGTCATTCTCTCATATTTCTTTTGTGTGTGGGGGGGAATCGCTGCATTCCAAATCATATTTCAAACAAGAGGAAATTTAAAGAGATTTTGAAAAATGCAGTCATACTTTGGAGAACACTGGGAAGGGAGGACTGTGATGAAAAGCATCTGTAAAGCCAGGTGCGGTGGCTCGCGCCTGTAATCCCAACACTTTGGGAGGCTCAGGCAGGCAGATCACGAGGTCAAGAGATCGAGACCATCCTGGCCAACATGGTGAAACCCCGTCTCTACCAAAAATACAAAAATTAGCTGGGCGTGGCGGTGCATGCCTGTAGTGCCAGCTACTTGGGAGGCTGAGGCAGGAGAATCGCTTGAACCCAGGAGGCGGAGGTTGCAGTGAGCCAAGATCACGCCACTACACCCCAGCCTGGCAACAGAGTGAAACTCCGTCTCACAAAAAAAAAAAGAAAAGAAAAGAAAAGAAAAGCATCTGTGGGTAGGAATCAGTCATACTGCAGGATACGTTAGAGCCGTAAGACCACAGTATGCTGATGTGCAGCCTCACATTCAAGTCACCTTTTGCTGGTGTCTGATACTGTAGTTGGGAACAGCCTGAAGCATTGTGGCACACTGTGTAATTAAAATACCCACTGGGCTGAAGTGGAAATAGAAAGGAAAGAGACATTTCAAAGAATAATTACTAAGACTTTGATCAAATACTGTATATTAGGGATATCCTAGCAGGTCTTATCTCCTCTATTAGAATGCAAATACCTTCCTGACAGGGCCTATTTCGTTTTCTACTGCTCCTTGAGGAGCAGGGCTACCCCACAGGAAATGTGCCCAGAGTAGCATATTTCTATTTTTGGCCTTTGGATGTAGTACAGAGCAAAGTAAGTGCTCTAGTCGTAAATTTTTTGTTTGTTTGTTTTTTGAGACAGAGTCTTGCTCTGTCACCTGGACTGGAGTGTAGGGGCGCGATCTCAGCTCACTGCAAGCTCTGCCTTCCGGGTTCACGCCATTCTACTGCCTCAGCCTCCCGAGCAGCTGAGACTACAGGCGCCCGCCACCACGCCCGGCTAATTTTTTGTATTTTCTTTTTTTTTAAGAGATGGGGTTTCACGGTGTTAGCCAGGATGGTCTTGATCTCCTGACCTCGTGATCCGCCTGCCTCAGCCTCCCAAAGTGCTGGGATTACAGATATGAGCTGCCACGCCCGGCCTTTCTAGTCGTACATTTTTATTAAAAACAAAACAAAACAAAAAAGCCTTTTTTTTTTTTTTGAGACAGAGTCTCGCTCTGTTGCCCAGGCTGGAGTGCAGTGGCCTGATCTCAGCTCACTGTAAGCTCCGCCTCCCGGGTTCATGCCATTCTCCTGCCTCAGCCTCCGGAGTAGCTGGGACTACAGGCGTCCGCTACCACCCCCAGCTAATTTTTTTGTATTTTTAGTAGAGGCAGGGTTTCATCATGTTAGCCAGGATGTTCTCAATCTCCTGACCTCGTGATCTCCCTGCCTCGGCCTCCCAAAGTGCTGGGATTACAGGCATGAGCCACCGCACCTGGCCAAAAAAGACTTTTTTAAAGGTCAGAAAGCATCTGTAAGTCTTGGACCCCAGCACAGGGATTAGATAGATGGAAAGTCTGGCGTGAGTAAGTAACCTTTCAAGCTAAAGCCAACCCTAATCATAAAATATCAAGCAGGGCCTAAGACATCATCTAGTAAAAAGAAAATGAAAATCACAACCTAATGGTTCTTTCTTTTTTTTCTGCAGACGAGGTCTCACTCTGTTGGCCAGGCTGGAGTGGTGCAGTGGCATGATCATGGCTCATTGAAGCCTCAACCTCCTAAGGCTCAGGCAATCCTCCTGCCTTAGCCTCCCAAGTAGCTGAGACTACAGGCACTCACCACCATGTCCAGCTAATTTTTTTTTTTTGAGGCGGAGTCTTGCTCTGTTGCCAGGATGGAGTGCAGTGGTGTTATCTCAGATCACTGCAACCTCCGCCTCCTGGGTTCAAACGATTCTCCTGCTTCAGCCTCCCAAGTAGCTGAGACTACAGGCATGCACCACCATGCCCAGCTAATTTTTGTATTTTTAATAGAGACAGGGTTTCACCACATTGGCCAGGATGGTCTCAATCTCTTGACCTCATGATCCGCCCACCTTGGCCTCCTAAAGTGCTGGGATTACAGGCATGAGCCACTGCGCCCAGCCTGCCCAGCTAATCTTTTATTGTAGAGTTGGGATCTTACTGTGTTGCTCAGGCTGGTCTTGAGCTCCTGGGCTCAAGCGATCCTCCTGCCTCAGCCTCCCAAAGTGCTAGAATTATAAGTGTGAACTACGCATTAGGCCGCATTTCTGTTGTCCCTCTAAGTCCAAGAACAGGCGAAAGGGGAAGGAGGGTAGAGAGGAGAGAACAAAAAAATGTTTTAATTGGTGGTTTGTTGAGAATGGAGGAGCCCCATTTCTATTTCTCTTTTTTTTTTTTTTTTTTTTTGAGACGGAGTCTTGCCCTGTCGCCCAGGCTAGAATGCAGTGGTACGATCTTGGCTCACTGCAACCTCCGCCTCCTGGGTTCAAGCAATTCTCCTACCCCAGCCTCCCAAGTAGCTGGGATTACAGGCGTGTGCAACTACGCACAGCTAATTTTTGAATTTTTAGTAGAGACGGGGTTTCACTATGTTGGTCAGGCTGGTCTCGAACTCTCGACCTCGTGATCCACCCGCCTCGGCCTCCCAAAGTGCTGGGATTACAGGCGTAAGCCACTGCACCCAGCCAGGAGCCCCATTTCTTTTTGTTTGTTTGTTTGTTTTGTTTTTTGAGATGGAGTCTCGCTCTGTCGCCCAGGCTGAAGTGCAGTGGCGTGATCTTGGCTCACTGCAAGCTCTGCCTCCCAGGTTCACGCCATTCTCCTGCCTCAGCCTCCGGAGTAGCTGGGACTACAGGCGCCTGCCACCATGCCCGACTAACTTTTTATATTTTTAGTAGAGACGGGGTTTCACCGTGTTAGCCAGGATGGTCTCGATCTCCTGACCTCGTGATCTGCCCGCCTCGGCCTCCCGAAGTGCTGGGATTACAGGCATAAGCCACCGCGCCCAGCCTCCCATTTCTATTCATGGAAATGGACAAGAAGTTTCTGGTCCCTTTCTGCTTTGGTGTTGGGAAAGAGGAAAAAGAAAGGGAACACATTAAAGAGATTAGAAAAAAGCAACTTAACAAAAAGGAAACCATTCAACTGGAGAAAGCCGACTGAAAAACAAACAAAAAAAAAAAGAAATCATTATAAAGCAGTAAAAATCCTTCACTAATTCTGAAGGATAAAGAATACACTAATGGGGGAGGGCAGTGGGGGACAGCATTAGGAAAAAGAGCTAATACATGTGGGGCTTAATACTTAGGTGATGGGTTGATAGGTGCAGCAAACCACCATGGTACATGTTTACCTATGTAACAAACATGCACATCCTGCACATGCACCCTAGAACTTTAAAAAAAAAAAAACAGCTGGGCACAGTGGCTCACACCTGTAATCCCAGCACTTTGGGAGGCTGAAATGGGAGGCTCCCTTGAGGCCAGGAGTTTGAGACAAGCCTGGGCAACATAGTGAGACTCCACCTCTATAAAGATTAAAAATAAAAATATTGACAGGGCATGGTGGCTTGTGACTTGAATCCCAGCACTTTTGGAGGCCGAGGAGGGAGGATCCTTGGAACTCATGGAGTTCGAGACAAGCCTGGGTAACATAGTGAGACCCCATCTCCTAAAAAATAAATAAATAGGCTGGGCATGGTGGCTCATTCCTGTAATCCCAGAGCTTTGGGAGGCTGAGGCAGGCTGATCACCTGAGGTCAGGAGTTCGAGACCAGCCTGACCAACATGGTAAAACCCTGTCTCTACTAAAAAAATATAAAAAAAATTAGCCAGGTGTGGTGGCGCAGGAGGCTGAGGCAGGAGAATCACTTGAACCTGGGAGTTGGAGGTTGCAGTGAGCCAAGATCACACCATTGCACTCCAGCTTGGGCAACAGAGTGAGACTCTGTCTTAAAAATAAATAAATAAATAGACCGGGTGTGGTGGCTCACGCCTGTAATCCCAGCACTTTGGGAGGCCGAGGCAGGTGGATCACCTGAGGTCAGGAGTTCGAGACCAGACTGGCCAACATGGTGAAAACCTGTCTCTACTAAAAATATAAAAACTAGCTGGGCATGGTGGTGGGTGCCTGTAATCCCAGCTACTCAGGAGGCTGAGGCAGGAGAATTACTTGAACCCAGGAGACAGAGGTTGCAGTGAGCCGACATGGTGCCACTGCACTCCAGCCTTGGCAGCAGAGTGAGACTCCGTCTCAAAATAAATAAATAAATAAAAATAAATACATAAATAAATAATAAATTTAAATAAATTTTAAAATAAAATAAATAAATATATTAGCTGGGCATGGTGGTATGTGCCCATAGTCCCAGCTACCAGGGAGGCTGAGGTGGGAGGATTGCTTGAGCCCAGGAGTTCCAGGTTACAGTGTGCTATGATCTTGCCACTGCATTCCAGCCTGGGTGACAGAATGAGACCCCATCTCTATTAAAAAAAATACACACATATATACACACACACACATATATACATACACACACACACACACACATATATATACATATGGCCAGATGTGATGGCTCACGCCTGTAATCCTAGTACTTTGGGAGGCCGAGATGGATGGATTGCCTGAGCTCAGGAGTTCGAGAGCACTGTGGGCAACATGATGAAACCCCATCTCTACTGAAATATGAAAAATTGGCTGGGCATGGTGGCACGTGCTTGTAATCCCACCTACTTAGGAAGCTGAGGCATGAGAATCGCTTAAACCCGGGAGGCAGAGGTTGCAGTGAGCCGAGATGGTGCCACTGCACTCCAGCCTGGGAGACAGTGCGAGACTCTTGTCTCCAAAAAATAAAAAATAAAAAAAGACATATTATTTCATAGACAATATTAATCTTAAAGATTAATGATGCAGCTGCTTTGGAAAACATCCTGGCACTTTCTCAAAAGTTAAATACAGAATTACTATATAATCCAGCAGTCCCACTTCTAGATATATACCCGAGTATTGAAACTATATGTCCACACAAAAACTTGTACATTAATCAAAAGCAGTATTATTCATAGTAGCTAAAAAGTAGAAATAATCCAAATGTCCAGAAATTGATAAGTGGATAAATAAAATGTGGTATATCCACACAATGGAATATTATTTGGCAACAATAAGGAATAAAGTACTGATACATGCTACAACTAATGAACCTTAGTTCATTATACTAAATAAAAGGAGCCAGTCACAAAGGATCACATACCGTATGTTCCCATTTATATGAAATGTTTAAAAGAGGCAAATCTAAAGAGACAGAAAGTAGATTAGTGATTGCCTAGAGCTGGGGAGTTTGTAGGGAAACAGGGAGTAACTGCTAATGTGTACAGAGTTTCCTTTTGGGGTGATGAAAATGTTCTAAAATTGACTGTGATATAAGCTACACACTTCTGAATACACCAACCATCAGTGAACTGTACACTTTAATCTCACCATAATGTCATAATAATAGGGTCTCAAGATTCTGTTTCATAAAATGCAGGAATTTGTTGTTGTAAGGTTAATAAAATGGCTAGTTTGGGCCTGCTAAAAACAGCAAGAGTTAATCATTTCATACCTGAGTTTTTATTATCACTGGATTCATTATTATGAGTTTCTGTTCTATCCAAAAGATAACTCTATGATGCAAACTCAAGCCAAAAAGAAAATGTCAAAGCTACCTACTCCTAACAAACCCTCTTAGGCACATTAATAGGTTAAAACAATGACAATTTAACCTGACCTGAATGGCCGGGTGCAGTGGCTCATGCCTATAATCCCAGCACTTTGGAAGGCCAAGGCAGGTGATAGCTTGAGCTCAGGAACTTGAGACTGCCCTGAGCAACATGGTGAAACCCTATGTCTACAAAACATACAAAAATTTGCCAGGTGTGGTGGTGCACACCTGTAGTCCCAGCTACTTGCAAGGCTGAGGTGGGAGGACTGCATGAGCCTGGGAGGTCAAGGGTGCAGTGAGCCATGTACACACCACTGCATTCCAGCCTGGGTGACAAAGTAAGACTCTATTTCAAAAACAACAACAACAACAAACAACAACAACAACAACAACAAAACTGACCTAACAAGAAGTTAGTTAAAATAGTCAAAACTCTCAGAACTAAAAAATAAAAAAAACAGGCCGGGTGCTGTGGGTCATGCCTGTAATCCCAGCACTTTGGGAGGCCGAGGCGGGCGGATCACGAGGTCAGAAGATCGAGACCATCCTGGCTAACACGGTGAAACCTCATCTCTACCAAAAAAATACAAAAAAATTAGCTGGGCATGGTGGTGGGCGCCTGTAGTCCCAGCTACTCGGGAAGCTGAGGCAGGAGAATGGCGTGAACCCAGGAGGTGGAGCTTGCAGTGAGCCGAGATTGCGCCACTGCACTCCAGCCTGGGCGACAGAGTGAGACTCTGTCTCAAAAAATAAATACATAAAAATTTAAAAAATAATAATTAAAAAAACAAAAAACCTCTCAGAACTACTTGAAACACATATTTATCTCTACGTTGACTAATGATGTGTTTTTTTTCTAAGTGTATATTGTGCCTTGAGATATTGGCTAATAAAAATATGAAGCCAGCACACACAAGCACAGGAAAGCATTATTTCATTTTTATCTCAGCCTTTATTACTTTTTTATTTGCTTTACAATGTACATAATATATTTAATAAAACAGTAAAGTATGCAATTTCTAAATAGATATTTACATATTGAGAGTGAATGATCAAAAGTTTCTTTGCAACAAATAACAAACTACACAGTTCATTTACTCAGTTAACAATGCCTGCCAGGTTAGGCATGAGAAATGCTCAAATGGATAAGGACCACAGTTAAGGGAGGGGATGCCATAATGAAAACAGAAGCATTAAGTGGAAGCAGGTATTCTGGGTCCTGAGACCTCCCTCACCCTTTCCTCCACCTAGATTCCAGAACACTGAGTCAGACCTCCACCATCTAGGCAGGAGTTTAGAGGATCCCTCTCTGCAAAATCTGGCCAGACCGGGAGGAAAGTTCTCAGGATGCTGACATAGACCACTAAAGATATATAGTTAAGGTCAGAATAGACAAGCCCCACTCATGTGTTTACAGCTTCCACTCAACTTTTTAGTCACTCACTCTTAAATATGAGTGGCCAAGCAAGGATTACAGACATCTGAGAAACAGTCATCACAAAAAAGTAGACACTGAAATATATGGATAAAACACGCCTCACATGAAACAGAGACTGAGCAGAGAGAAGAAGAAAAATATCCTCCAAATGATGAGGATATTATGACCATGAAAGCCGTACAGGGTATTGTCTGTAAAAAAGGAACAGTAAAGGAAGAAGAAAAAAGTTCCTGAAATTAAAAATAAGAAAGTAGAAGTGAAAATGAAATATACCAGACAGTACTTGAGAAAATCTCCCAGGAAATATAGAAAGAAAGAAAGAAAAAAAAAAGAGACAAAGATGAAAAACAGAAGAAAAAAGAAAACCAAAGGACTTTTAAACGAATGGTGCTGGAACAATTAAGACAGCTCTGGCCAGGAGTGGTGGTTCACGCCTGTAATCCCAGCACTTTGGGAGGCCAAGGCGGATGGATCACCTGAGGTCAGGGGTTTGAGACCAGCCTGGCCAACATGGTGAAACCCTGTCTCTACTAAAAATACCAAAAGTAGCCAGGCTTGGTGGCAGGCGCCTGTAATCCCAGCTACTCGGGGGACTAAGGCAGGAGAATCGCTTGAACCTGGGAGGTGGAGGTTGCAGTGAGCTGAGATCACGCCACTGCACTCCAACCTGGGGGACAAGAGCAAGACTTTGTCTCAAAAAAAAAAAAAAAAAGACATCTCTGTGAAAAAGATGAACAGATGAACCTCGGCCAGGCACGGTGGCTCACGCCTGTAATCAAGCACTTTGGGAGGCCGAGGCGGGCAGATCATGAGGTCAGCAGTTTGAGACCAGCCTGGCCAATATGGTGAAACCCTGTCTCTACTAAAAATACAAAAATTAGCTGGGCATAGTGGTGGGTGCCTGTAATCCCAGCTACTAGGGAAGCTGAGGCAGGAGAATTGCTTGAACCCCGGAGGCGAGGGGTTGCAGTGAGCTGAGATTGCGCCACTGCACTCCAGCCTGGGAGACAGAGCCAGACTCCGCCTCAAAAAAAAAAAGATGAACCTCAATGCATACCCCTTATTAGAAAAAATTTAACTCAAAATGGAAAATGGATTACAGACATAAATGTAAAATTTAAAACTATAAGACTTCTAGAGAACACAGGAGAAAATCTTTGTGGCCTTGGATAAGGTGTATATCTTGGAACACAAAAAGAACTAATCATCTAAAAATTGATAAATTAGGCCGGGCGCGGTGGCTCACGCCTGTAATCCCAGCACTTTGGGAGGCCGAGGTGGGCGGATCCCAAGATCGGGAGGTCGAGACCATCCTGGCTAACATGGTGAAACCCCATCTCTACTAAAAATACAAAAAAAAATTAGCCTGGCGTGGTGGTGGGCGCCTGTAGTCCCAGCTACTCGGGAGGCTGAGGCAGGAGAATGGCGTGAGCCTGAGAGGTGGAGCTTGCAGTGAGCCGAGATGGCACCACTGCACTCCAGCCCAGGCGACAGAGCAAGCCTCCGTCTCAAAAACAAACAAACAAACAAAAATTGATAAATTAGGTTAATCAAAGTTGAAAATGTCTATTATTTGAAAAGTACTGTTGAAAAAAGACAAGTTGTAGTTTGAGAGAATATATGCAAAACATATCCGATAAAGGACTTATCATGCCTGTAATCCATCTCAGCACTCTGGGAGGCCCAGGTGGGCGGATTGCTTGAACCCAGGTGTTCCAAGACCAGCCTGGGCAACATGGCAAAACCCTGTCTCTACAAAAAATACATACATTAGCCAGATGTGGTGGCGCATGCCTGTGGTCCCAGCTACTCTGGAGACAGGGTGGGAGAATCCCTTGAGCCCAGGAGGTGGAGGTTTCAGTGAGCCAAGATCATGCCACTGCACTCTAGCCTGACTCTAGTCTGGGTGACAGAGTGAGACCCTGTCTCAAAAAAAACAAAAACAAAAACAAAA
Organism: Homo sapiens; assembly: GCF_000001405.40. Taxonomy (NCBI): domain Eukaryota; kingdom Metazoa; phylum Chordata; class Mammalia; order Primates; family Hominidae; genus Homo; species Homo sapiens. The sequence continues at coordinate 70,303,130 of NC_000016.10, read as the reverse complement.
AACAGAACTTCTATCCAGAATATATAAAGAAACTTCCCAACTAAAAACAAAAACAATCCTACTTTAAAAATGGGCAAAAGGTTTGAAAAGCCACTTCAAAGAAGTTACATACATGGCAAATAAGCACATGAAAAGATTGTCAACATCATTAGTCATTAGGGAGATATATAAGTTAAAACCACAATGAGACACCAGCATGTACCTATTAGAATGAAGGAAACTGACAATACTGTGCAGGGAAGGGTGTGGGGCAGTTGAAGCTCTCATCCATTGCTGTTGGAAAAGCAGAATGATACACTTTGGAAAATAGTTTGGCACATAACTTACAAAGTTAAACACATACGACATAACACAGTAAATCCTACTCTTTGATATTGACTTTACCCAAGAGAAATGCAAACATATGTCCATACAAAAATCTGTACCTTAATGTATAGAGTAGCTTTCTTCATATTGTCTCAGACTGAAAATTACTCAAGTGTCCATCAATAGAAGAATAAGCAAACTGTGTATATATATCCACAGTGGAATTCTACTCAGCAATAAAAAGGAATGAACTACTGATACATGCAACTTGGTTGAATTCTAAATGCATAATACTAAGTGGAAGAAGCCAGACTTTTCAAAAGGTTATATATTATATATATGATTCCATTTTATGACATGTTGGAAAAGGCAAAACTATAATGACAGAAAACATATCAGCAGCTGCCAGAGAAGGGTGAGGAGAGGGAGTGAACTACAAGAAGTTGTAGTTCTTTGTAGAGAGGGTTTATGTGTTGCCTGTGGTGGTAGTTACACAACTGTATGCTTTTGTCAAAATTCATAGAACTGTACACTAACAAAGTTTAATTTTACTCTGTGTAAATTATACCTCCATAAACCTGACTTTTAAAAAAATTAAAGGGCTGGCCAGGTGTGGTGGCTCACGCCTGTAATTCTAGGACTTTGGGAGGCTGAGGCATGCGGATCACTTGAGGTCAGGAGTTCAAGACCAGCCTGGCCAACATGGTGAAACCCCACCTCTACTAAAAATACAAAAAGTAGCCAGGCATGGTGGCACATGCCTGTAATCCCAGCTACTCGGGAGGCTGAGGCAGGAGAATCGCTTGAACTCAAGAAGCAGAGGTTGCAGTGAGCCAAGATCGTGCCATTGCACTCCAGCCTGGCGGACAAGAGCGAAACTTCATTTCAAAAAAAAAAAAAAAATTAAAGGGCCAGTCCAACAGATCCAACATTCATCTAATAAGAGTTCTGGGAAAAGCTATGCAGTGGTGCGCACCTGTAGTCCCAGCTACGAGGGAGGCTGAGGCAGGAGGATCACTTGAGCCCAGGAGTTCAAGGTTGTAGTACACTATGATTCTGCCTGTGAATAGCTACTGCACTCCAAATTGGGCAACATAGACAGACACTGTCTTAAAAAAAAAAAAAAAAGAGAGAGAGAGAAAGAAAGAGAGAAAGTGAGTTCTGGAAAAGAGGGAATTAAGAAAAAACAAAGAAGAAGAAATCAGCAATGAAATTATTCAGGAAAAGTTCTCATAACTGAAGAACAAGAGTTTTTCAGATTGAAAGTACCCACACCCAGGGGCCAGTAATATGGATGAAAATACACCCATACCAAGACATATTACCATAAATTTTCTGAATATTAAAGACAAACAGAAGATTCTCCAAGCTTAGAAAGGGGAAAACAAGTCACATCAAGAATCAGGATGGTCTCAAACATTTCAACAACAAATACAGAAATCTAGAAGGCAATGGAACAATACATTTAAAATTTGGCAGGAAAATAATTTTCAACCTACAATTCTATACCCAGCCAAACTATTATCCAAATTACAGGGCAAAGTTAGATTTTTTAAGACATGGAATATTCTTAAAGTAATTTACTTCCCGTACACCTCCAGAAAGCTGACAGATGGCTGCACTAAAATAAGGAATAAATCAAGAAAGATGGAAAAGTAGGGGTACAGAAAGGAAGGGATCCAAGAGATCCAAAAGACAAGAGAAAGGAGGAAGGAATCTGCAGAATGAGGCTGAAGGGAAATTTGCCCTGTTCCCTCTATTCCCCAATATGAACTGTGCTCTAAAGACAGGAGTAACTAGTCCAATTTGAAGCAGACTTAAAGGCCTAGGAGAAATGGAATTGATAGAATACTTGATGAGTCTAAGCATCCTGAGATAAACTTAGACAACTGGAAGACAGTTTGGGGTTGAATTGATAATTAAGAAAAAAAAATGAAGCATAAACATAAGGCAATTAAGAATTCCAAGTAAAATAAATTTTATAGAAAAGTAAAGGGCCAGGCAAAGTGGCTCAGGCCTATAATCCCAACACTTTGGGAGGCCGAGGTGGGAGGATGGCTTGAGCCCAGCAGGTCAAGACCAACCTGGGTAATATAGTGAGACCTCGTCTTCACAAAAAATTAAAAAGTTAGCTGCATATGTTGGCACATGCTTGTAGTCCCGGTTACTCAGGAAGCTGAGGTGGGAGGATCACTTGAGCCTGGGAAGGGGAGGTTGTAGTTGGCAAGAGATGGTGTCAATGCACTCCAGCCTGGGTGACAGGGCAAGACCCTCTCTCAAAAAATATATGTAAAGAAAGAAAGAAACAGAAAAAAGAGGCTGGATGCAGTGGCTCACACCTGTAATCCCAGCACTTTGGGAGGCTGAGGCAGGTGGATCACTTGCACGCTGGAGTTCGAGACCAGCCTGGGCAACATGGCAAGTCCCCATCTCTACAAAAAAAATACAAAAAGTAGTTGGGCATAGTGGCACATGACTACAGTCCCAGTTACTCAGGAGGCTGAGGTGGGAGGATGGCTTGAGCCTGGGAGGCAGAGACTGCAGTGAGCCAAGATCACTCCACTGCACCCTAGCCTGGGCAACAGAGTGTGACCCTGTCTCCAAAAAAAAAAAAGGAGTTGCCTCTGGGGAGGAAAAAAATTGGCGGGAACCGTTGTTTTTAAAATAACTTCACTCTTTAAACAATGTGTATATACAACTTATTTTTTATGAGCTATAAAAAATAAAAGACAAGGTTCTTATTCTTGAGGAAGTCATAGCAATAAGTACTAACAGAAGTAGGTTCAAAGCCTACTAGGATTTAAAGTGTTTCGGTGGGAGAAATTAATTCTACGCAGTAGTGTTTAACACATCTCTTGCTTACCATGTGTCAGGTCCAGAAAAAAAGAACAAAGTGAAGCCGATGAGGAAAGGATTTGCTGACTGCCACACCTACTGGGTCCATCATTTATCACTGAGGAAGCACACAAATATGAGCAAAGACATGGTCCCTGAGCCAAAGAAGCTCTGAATGTAGAGGTGGAGAATGACACCTAAAATAACTATTACAAACCGGGGCGGCCAGGAACAATGGCTCAGCCTGTAATCCTGGTGCTTTGAAAGGCCGAGGCAGGAAGATAGCTTGAGACCAGGAGTTCCAGACTAGCCTGGGCAACCTAGCAAGACCATGTCTCTATTTCAATTAAAAACAAACAAAACACAATCTAGGGTGATGGGTGCAATCTATGATTCTTCCTGGTTCCAGGAAGACAGACAGGCAGCTGAGCGCTTTACCGATAGGAGCACTCACCTGCGCTTACGTAACGCGGAGGCGGCTGCGTAAACAAAGCCAGCTCAGGGTCCAGGCTCCATCCCTATCCTCCCCGCCACCCCATCCAGCCTCTAATCAACCTGGGAAACATTCTTTCCCAGGGACCAAGTCTCCGACCAGAACTAGTCCCCTGACCCTTTTAGGGCTGAAGCCAACTCACCGACTCAGCCGCAGCTTCCTGCTCGTCCACCGCCAGGGCCCATGAGTCAGTGGCCATGGTCCCAGGCGCGGGTGGGACGCTCGTGCTGGTGGATTCGAGGGATGGCACGAGGGATCGTGGGCTCCGGGGGTTCGCGGCAGGCTCTGCTCCAGCCCCACTACAAGGCTGCAGACCGGAAGCGGCGCGCCACAGTGACGTCGGAGGCCACTCCTGTTTGGCCACCCTTTGCCCACTTGAGGCTGTCGATTCTGTTGCCCTCAGACCCGTACCCCTCAACCCCGGGCAGAGCAAGCTTTCCTATCAAGCTGAGGTAGTTATCTTAAAATGCCTAAGCTCTGGTTAACTTGGATCTCCAACCAAAGAACAAAATCAGATTCCCGCCCAACACAGTGGCAGAGTAGGCACTAATACAGATTGAACAGATTGAATATATCAAAACAGAAAACCATTACCAATAGTCACCAAAATGCAAAACAAGCACAGAGCTGTTTCCCTTTTCAGATTGGTAATTTAAAATGTCCAGATGTTGGCAATCAGCCCTGACAACCCATTTGGTTAAAAGTCCACTTGACCACTATGCAATCTTGTTAGGCATGTAACAAAACTGCACCTGCACTCATAAATTTGTACCCCAAGAGGAGGAATTGCAGCTCTCCTATGTAAGCGTTGTAGAATCAGGAGAATGTTAAAAAGGAAGAAAACAGACGGTGCGGTGGCTCATGCATGTAATCCCAGCACTTCTGGAGGCCGAGGCGGAAGGATCACTTGAGCCCAGGAGGTCTAGGCTGCAGTGAGCCATGACAGGGCCACTGCACTCCAGCCTGGGTGACAGAGCAAAACTCTGTCTAGGAAAAAAATAAATAAAATTAAAATAGTAAAATAATTAAATAGAGCTAGGTGTGGTGGCTCATGCCTGTAATCTCAGCACTTGGGTTTTTGTTTGTTTTTTGAGATTGAGTCTGGCTCTGTCGCCCAGGCTGGAGTGCAGTGGCACGATTTCGGCTCACTGCAACCTCCACCTCCTGGGTTCAAGAAATTCTCTTGCCTCAGCCTCCCAAGTAGCTGGGATTACAAGCATGCGCCACCATGCCCAGCTAGTTTTTCTATTTTTAATAGAGATGGTGTTTCACCATGTTGGCCAGGATGGTCTCAATCTCCTGACCTCGTGATCCGCCTGCCTTGGCCTCCCAAAGTGCTGGGATTACAGGCGTGAGCCACTGCACCCGGCCTTTTGTTTTTTTAAGATAGAGACAGATCTTGCTGTGTTGTCCTGGCTGGTCTCAAACTCCTGAGCTCAAGTGATCCTCCCACCTCCACCTCCCAAAGTGCCAGGATTGGCCAGGCACAGTAGCTCACATGTGTAATCCTAGCATTTTGGGAGGTGGAGGTGGGAGGATCGCTTGAATCCAGGAGTTTGAAAACAACAACATAGCGAGGCCTTATCCTTACACAAGAAAAATTTAAAAATTAGCCAGGTGTCGTCGCACATGCCTGCAGTTCCAGCTACTTGGGAGGCTGAGGTGGGAGGATCACTTGAGCCCAGGAGGTTGAGGCTGCAGTTAGCAGTGTTTGTGTCACTGCACTCTAGTCTGCGCAACAGAGTAAGACTCTGCCTCATAAACAAATAAATAAATAGGAAGAAATATCTTGGGCTTTTAGTAGTTGTAAAATAAGGATTAAATGAAAGAACTGCTTTCTCCTAACTAGAATCAAAGAAGCTTCTCTTCCCTTGTTACTTCCCTAGAAAGAAACTAGGCATTTTCCTACAATCTGAAAAAAATGAATCCCAACCTCTTTCATTTTGCCAATATTATACAACAATAAGTTAATTTCAAGCCATGAGGCCGGGCACAATGGCTCACACCTGTAATCCCAGCACTTTGGGAGGCCAAGGTGGGTGGATCACCTGAGGTCAGGATATCAAGACCAGCTTGGCCAACATGGTGAAACCCTATCTCTACTAAAAATACAAAAATTAGCCAAGCATGGTGGTGCACACCTGTAATCCCAGCTACTTGTAAGCCTGAGGCAGGAGAATCACTAGAACCCGGAAGGCAAAGGTTGCAGTGAGCCGAGATCATGCCATCACACTGCAGCCTGGGCGACGAGTGAAACTCTGTCTCAAAAAAAATAAATAAATAGACTGGGCACGGTGGCTTGCACCTGTAATCCCAGCACTTTGGGAGGCCAAAGCAGGTGGATCACGAGGTCAGGAGATTGAGACCATCCTGACCAACATGGTGAAACCCTGTCTCTACTAAAAATACAAAAATTAGCTGGGTGTGGTGGCATGCACCTGTAGTCCCAGCTACTTGGGAGGCTGAGGCAGGAGAATCGCTTGAACCCGGGAGGTGGAGGTTGCAGTGAGCCAAGATCATGCCACTGCACTCCAGCCTGGACGACAGAGCAAGACTCTGTCTCAAATAAATACATAAATAAAAACAAACAAACAAAAATCAAGCCATGGTGGGTTCTCTGTGGAATTTTACCAGTACTGTAAGAGTAAAAACGTTTTGAGAAAGGGTAAAGCAGTTCCAGAGAACATTCTACTTGCTATGATTATTTTTTCCTGCACTCTCACAGGGTTAACTGGAGAAGACGTTTTTGTTTTTTGTTTTTGACCTTACACATGAGGATGTGCTAAAAAGAAAAAGGCAAACACCACCTTGGTAGCCATGACCTACATCTCATCAATTCAGAAGCAACCCTGGGGATATTTTCCCAGATAAATTATATTGTTTCACAGGGCTAGAGGTTAATGAAATTTGCAAAACATTTTAATGAGGTTAAAAATTACATCGCCCAAGTTGCAGGACCGTATATAGTAGGTTCACTTGTACAAAACAAACAGGAACCCCCACCCCAAAAGCCCCCAAGCTCCCATATATGCTTTTATACACTATGGAAAATGCCTAAGAAGACCGGAGCAGTGGCCTGTGTCTGCAGTCCCAGCTACTCCTGAAGCTGAGGTTGGAGGATCGCCTGAGCTCAGAAGTTCGAAGCCAGCCTGGACAACATAGTGAAACCATCGCCTCTTAAAAAAAAAAAAAATGTGGCCAGGTGCGGTGGCTCACGCCTGTAATCCCAGCAGTTTGGGAGGCCAAGGTGGTGGATCACGAGGTCAGGAGTTCAAGATCAGCCTGGTCAAGATGGTGAAACTCTGTCTCTACTAAAAATACAAAAATCAGCTGAGCATGGTGGTGGGTGCCTGTAATCCCAGCTACTTGGGAGGCTGAGGCAGAGAATTGCTTGAACCCAGGAGGCAGAGGTTGCAGTGAGCTGAGATCATGCCACTGCACTCCAGCCTGGGCAACAGAGCGAGCCTCTGTCTCAAAAAAAAAAAAAAAAATGCTTAAGATACACACAAAACTGATAACCATGGCTGCCCCTGGTGAGGGCCTCTAGAAGGGTGGGGGTGGATTGAGTATGCTTTATCCTCTGAAATTATTTTCCATATGCATGGTTTTTTTTAAATTAGAGACAGGGTCTTGCTATGTTGCCCAGGCTGGAGTGCAGTGGCTATTCACAGGCACCATTACAGCACATACTATATCCTTGAACTCCTGAGTTCAAGAGGTTCACCTGCCTCTGCTTCCCAAGTAGCTGGGACTACAGGTGTGTGCAGCTGTGCTTGGCTCCATGTTTCCCTTTTAAAAATGTATTTCAGACAAACAAGAAAGGGTATAACAAATACTTAGATTCCCACCTCAAAACTTAATAAATAAAATTACTAAGGTCCAATTGATAATCTCCGTATACTCATCCCAGGAAGACAGCAGCTATGCCAAATTTGGTGTTTATCCTTCCCGTACACGATTTTAGCATGTGTTTTTTCTTCTACTAAATAAATATGCAAGCCTGGGCAACATAGGGAGACCCCGTCTCTACCAAAAAAAAAAAAAAATTTTTTTTAAGTAGCTGGGCGTGGTGGCGTGAGCCTGTAGTCCCAGCTACTCCTGAGGCTGAGGTGGGAGGATCACTTGATCCCAGGAGTTCAAGGCTGCAGTGAGTCGTGATCATGCCACTGCACTCCAGCCTGTCTCAAAACAAAACAAAAAACAAAAAAACTTAAAAATAGCATCGGGGTTTCAGACTCTCCTAAGTTCACCCCCAATACACCTGCGCTTTGTGAGACTCCGGCTAAGAAGGAACCTGGTTTCCAAAGCGGGCGTGGAAAGAAGAGTGTTCGGGGAATAAGAGCATCTGGATTGGAATTCAGCCTCCTGCATTTATTCCCACGTGAGCCTAGCCAGTCTCAGTTTCCCCTGAAATCACAGGAAGTACCCACCTCACAGATGGCGGATTCTAGATCACAAGGCTAAGACCTTGGGCCGAAGCCTCGAGAAATATTGTTATTCCTCTACCCAGGAGTAGGGGCGAGGAAGGCACCTAAACGTGGGAGGAAAGGGTCTGGCTTCTACCCTCGCAGATACTCACGTCGCCCACAGGCAGGGTGATGGGAAACCGCCGCAGGGCGCGATCTTGGACGCGCCCGGCAGCCCCAGCCATCGCGGCTGAGCATGGCAGTTACACTCCAACAACCGCTGCTCTTGGCACTGGCCAAGCCGGAGCCTCATTGGCTGAGGCCTGGAAATCCTGTCAGCCAATCAGCTGAGGGGACGGTACAGCGCTCGGGCACGCGCCCCAGGAACTCTGGGGGCCAAAGACAAGCGCAAGCCTCCCGCAGAGGGCTTTGTTTCCTGCTAAATGTCTGGCTTCCTGGTGAGACTGGGAACTCCATGAGGGCAGGGCAAGATCTTTAATCTTGATCCTCAGTGACTAACACATAGTGGTCACTCATTTGGTGAATCATGAGCCATTAGCATCTCCCCCCGTGGGTCAAACTTTTTAAAAATTTTGCATCTGAACAAATAGGTGCAGACGCACATCCTCTAATCTAGACCCTTGGTATTCCAAGTATAATCTCTCAGCAGCATAGATATCGCCTGAAGCCTGTTAAAAATGCAGGCTCTCGGCCGGGCACGGTGGCTCACGCCTGTAATCCCAGCACTTTGGGAGGCCGAGGCGGGTGGATCACGAGGTCAGGAGATCGAGGCCATTCTGGCTAACACTGTGAAACCCCGTCTCTACTAAAAATACAAAAAATTAGCTGGGCGTGGTAGCGGGCGCCTGTAGTCCCAGCTACTCGCAAGGCTGAGGCAGGAGAATGGCGTGAACCCGGGAGGCGGAGCTTGCAGTGTGCAGAGATCGCGCCACTGCACTCCAGCCTGGGCGACAGAGTGAGACTCCGTCTCAAAAAAAAAAAAAAAAAAAAAAAAAAATTCAGGCTCTCAGGCCCTACCCCAGACCTATTCAATTTAGCAATATTTTAAGATCCTAGGTGATTCCTTTAGCGTTTTATGGTCTGAAAAGTACATTAGACAAAAAAATTATAATATGCTCAATTGAAATATTCCTTTAGAGGTTCTTAAAAATTCAGCCTTGGCCGGGCGCGGTGGCTCACGCCTGTAATCCCAGCACTTTGGGAGGCCGAGGCGGGTGGATCATGAGGTCAGGAGATCGAGACCATCCTGGCTAACAAGGTGAAACCCCGTCTCTACTAAAAATACAAAAAATTAGCCGGGCACGGTGGCGGGCGCCTGTAGTCCCAGCTACTCGGGAGGCTGAGGCAGGAGAATGGCGTGAACCCAGGAAGCGGAGCTTGCAGTGAGCCGAGATTGCGCCACTGCAGTCCGCAGTCCGGCCTGGGCGACAGAGCGAGACTCCGTCTCAAAAAAAAAAAAAAAAAAAAAAAAATTCAGCCATCCCCATTTGACTTAGTACCAAATAAGCCAGCATTGTAAACCCATTTTATAGATGCTAAAAGTAGCTAAGATGCCATGGGAGAGTTAAGAGTCTAGCGCTACATCCTTCCAAAGCTATGTTAGTTTTTTTTTTTTTCCACTTGTTTCCATTTCTTTCTTTTTTTTTTCAATTGAGACACTGTCTCATTCTGCCACCCAGGCTGGAGTGCAGTGGCACGATCATGGCTTACTGCATCCTTTACTTCCCTGTCTCAAGCTATCCTCCCACCTCAGCCTCCTGAATAGCTGGGACTACAGATGCATGCCACCATGCCCAGCTAATTTTTGTATTTTTTTGTAGAGGTTGAGTTTTGTCATGTTGCTCAGGCTAGTCTCAAACTCCTGGGCTCAAGCCATCCACCCACCTCAGAATCCCAAAGTATGGTGATTAAAGGTATACGCCATCACGCCGGCCTGTTTCTGTTTGTTGTTTTTATTATTTTTTAAATTTAATTTAATTTAATTTTTTTGAGACAGAGTTTCCCTCTTGTCTCCCAGGCTGGAGTGCAGTGGCACAATCTTGAGTCACTGCAGCCTCTGCCTCAGCCTTCTGAGTAGCTGGGATTACAGGTGGCCGCCACCACACCCAGATAATTTTAGTATTTTTAGTAGAGATGGGGTTTCACCAGGTTGACCAGGCTGATTTTGAACTCCCAACCTCAGGTGATCTGCCCGCCTCGGCCTCCCAAAGTGTTGGGATTACAGGCATGAGCCACTGTGCCTGGCCTGTTGTTTCACTCTGCGGCCCAGGCTGGAGGGTAGTGGGGCAATCACAGCTGTTGTACTATTTCAGTTCTTTGGTTATCTTTCTCATGCCCCAAGATGGAGTTCAACAAATGTTCTACTGGAGAGCAAGCCATGTGCATATCGCTCACTCCCACCTACAGGCCTATTTGCTTAGCCTAGAGTAAATCAAGAACTTGCCAGTAGTTTCCTAAAATACATAATTTGCACATTGCATTAAGATAGCATTCTTTCTAGCATGTAGTTGACATCTACAAGAGAAAAATATCACAGAAAAATATCATTAGATAATTATATTAGAATGAGACTTTTGGGCCTCAATTACAATTTCTTTCTTTTTTTTGTTTTAAGAGACAAGGGGGCCGGACGCGATGGCTCACGCCTGAAATCCCAACACTTTGGGAGGCCAAGGCAGGCGAATCACCTGAGGTCGGGAGTTCAAGACCAGCCTGGCCAACATGGCGAAACCCTCATCTCTACTAGAAATAGAAGAAAAAAAAATAACTGGGCGTGGTGGTGGCGCCTGTAATCTCAGCTACTCGGGAGGCTGAGCCAGGAGGCAGATGTTGACATGAGCCGAGATCATGCCATTGCACTCCAGCCTGGGCAACAAGAGTGAAACTCTGCCTCAAAAAAAGGAAAAAAAAAGAGAGAGAGACAAGGGTCTTGCTTTGTTGCCCAGGCTGGAGTGCAGTCGCGAGATCTCAGCTCACTGAAGCCTTCAGCTTCTGGGCTCCAAGTGATTCTCCTTCCTCAGCCTCTTGAGCAGCTGGGACTACAGGCGAATGCCACCACGCCTAGCTAATTAAAAAGAATTTTTTTTTTTTAACAGAGTCTCACTATGTTGCCTAGGCTGGTTTCAAACACTTGGGCTCCATTGATCCTCCTGCCTTGGCCTCCCAAAGTGTTGGGATTACAGGTGTGAGTCTCTGTGCTGGCCTACAATCTCTCTTAATGGGTGAATAAAAAATTCTTATTTATTTATTTATTTATTTTGAGACAAAGTCTCGCTCTGCGGCCCAGGCTGGAGTGCAGTGGCCTGATCTCGGCTCACTGCTAGCTCCGCCTCCCGGGTTCACGCCATTCTCCTGCCTCAGCCTCCAGAGTAGCTGGGACTACAGGCGCCCGCCACCACGCCCGGCTACTTTTTTTGTATTTTTTAGTAGAGACGGGGTTTCGTCGTGTTAGCCAGGATGGTCTCAATCTCCTGACCTCATGATCTGCCTGCCTAGGCCTCCCAAAAGTGCTGGGATTACAGGCATGAGTCACCACGCTAGGCCAAAAAATTATTTTAATCTGTTTATAATTATTTTATTAATGAAGGTACTATCCTAGTAACAACTCTGGCAGCAGAACTAAATTATTGAGATTACAACCTGTATTATTTTATTCTGAAAGTACAATTCATACATACCTTTTGGCTTTCTATTTTAAGTGTGGTGGCTTAGAAGTCTGACTCATTTCCCAGATTGTTTAAGCTAAATATATGTTATTTAGGGCACTGTGGATCAGAATAAACACTTGTGTCTCCTGGTTTTGCCCTCAGCTGTGTTACTTAACCTCTCTCTCTGCCTTATTTTACTCTGTTAAAAGCAGATAGTAGTAGTAACTCATGATAAGGTTGTGAGGATTAAAAGCTTAGATTGGTGCCTGCTGTATACTAAGTGCTCAATAAATGGTAGGTTTGATGATTACTATTTGTGAGCAGCTATGAAGTGGGAAAGTAAATCAAATGATTTATGTTTTTACTGGCTTTTGGGCTTGACCTTCTTTTTGTGTAGGATGCTCTTTTTGCATAAAAAGTAGTATTTTTCTGTATTGTCTGTAACTTGAGTTATGACCAGCAGCACAATTTATTACCCGTGTATTTGGATATATCAGATGATGGAGGTAATAGTGCAGTGGTTAAGAGCATGGGCTTTGGAGTTAAATAGACACAGGTTTGGATCCTGTCTCCACAACTTACTATTGGGTGTGAACTTGTGCAAGGTAATTTCCTCATTTGTAAAAAGGGGACTCCAGCTGACCTCATACACAGTTTAAAAATCAAATGAAATAAGCATGTGAAATGTTTGATGCAATGCCTCACGTATAAATACATACATATTTTTCAGACAGGGCCTCGCTCTGTCGCCCAAGGAATGCAGTGTCACGATCAGGGCTCACTGCAGCCTCAACTTCCTAGGCTCAAGTGATCCTCCCACTTCAACCTCCCAAGTAGCTGGGACTACAAGCATGCGCCACTATGCCTGGCTAATTTTTATTTTTTATTTTTTTTTTTGAGACGGAGTCTTGCTCCGTAGCCAGGCTGGAGTGCAGTGGCGCCATCTCGGCTCACCGCAACTTCCGCCTCCCGAGGTCAAGGGATTCCCTTGCCTCAGCCTCCCGAGTGGCTGGGACTACAGATGCGCGCCCGGCTAATTTTGTGTTTTTAGTAGAGACGGGGTTTCACCATGTTGGCCAGGATGCTCTCGGTCTCCTGACCTCGTCATCCGTTGGCCTCAGCCTCCCAAAGTGCTAGGATTACAGGTGTGGGCCACCGCGCCCGGCCTTTTAAAAAATTTTTCGTAGAGACAGGGTCTAGTTATGTTGACCAGGCTGGTCTCCAACTCCTGGGTTCAGGTGATCTTCCCACCTTGGCCTCCCAAAGTGTTGCAATTATAGGCGTGAGCCACCGCACCTGGCATGTATATATGTATATGTATATATATATATTCACCCTCCTCCCCCAGGCCTATAAATATTAACTTTTTTTTTTCCAAAGGCAAATCGAGGACCAGATGCTGATCCAATCGTACCTGAACTACTGATGTTATTTCTTCCACACCAAATTCAAGGTCTCCCCCGGACAAGTGTAACCATGGGCACAATGTCAGACTCTTTGAGGGCTGTGTATCACTCAGCAACTAAAATAAACAACTATAGCAAGATATGTAACCTCTACCAAACACGTTACCGTCTCCCCTTTTTAACTATGTCAATTGTGGTGTTAGGACTTTGCCTATGGAAACCAAAATGTCGACCTCCGGGAGCCGGGGGCGGGGGGGGGCGGGGGGGGCGGGGGGGGGTCTAACTCGATCATGTGACGCACCCCATCCCACCTTTTCTCGCAGTTGCATCAGCCAAGTTAGAGCCGCCTTCCCAGGAATCCACTAATGAACGGATTCGTCCTCAGTTTGACTGGCATGTTGGTTGACCAATAATATCTCATGAGGTAAGGCGCGGCGGGGCACTTTCCGTCGGCGCGCTCTGATTGGACGGAGCGTGGCGGGTTGTGGTAGGTCGTGGTCTGAGGCCGGTACAGCTGCGCGTCTGCGGGAATAGGTGCAGCGGGCCCTTGGCGGGGGACTCTGAGGGAGGAGCTGGGGACGGCGACCCTAGGAGAGGTAGGCCGCCCTCGGAGAGCTCTGCGGTGCTAGGAGAGCGGCTGGGCCCGCAGACTGGGGGGAAAGCTCCGCAGCCGCAGTGGGCCCCAGGATCAGGCCCCGCGTGGCCTGGAGAAGCCCAGTCTGGGCTGGAGCGGGAGCTGGACAGTGTGGCCTTGCGTTCGCCCCCGGGAGCGCTGCGAGTGTCGCGGCCTCGGGTGGATTTGCTGAGCACCAATACCTCACGGTTGCCAACCTGGGGTTTTAGCTCCCTTGGTTTTAATCCCCTAGGGGCGGGTGGGGGCACGGGAGGAAGGATGGGCCAGCTGGGTGCAATCCTGCTGTAAGCCAGCCATTCCTTGATTTCTTAAAATTAACTAAACAGCTGATGCCGGTCCAGGCGCACCGAGACCGTCATCTTAAGCTGTTCTGTAAAACAGTTTGTATTTCTCGGTGTGCTTTGAAGCATGTGAGTTAATTCCGAACTTGGTGTTAAAGGATTAGTATACCTGATCACGAAATACGTATTTAGCAGCCACTGTACTAGATGCTGAGGATGTGCTGTAATAGCCCAGGGCCAGGCGCGGAGGCTCACGCCTGTAATCCCAGCGCTTTGGGAGGTCGAGGCGGGCGGATCACCTGAGGTCAGGGGTTCGAGACTAGCCTGGCCAACATGGTGAAACCCCGTCTTTACTAAAAATACAAAAATTAGCCGAGCGTGGCGGCGCGCGCCTGTACTCTCAGCCACTCCGGAGGCTGAGGCATGAGAATCGCTTGAACCCGGCAGGCGGAGGTTGCAGTGAGCTGAGATCACACCATTGCACTCCAGCCTGGGTGACAGAGGGAGACTCCGTTTCAAAAAAAAAAAAAAAAAAAGAGCCCAGAACAGTCGTTGCTGCTGGGATGGAACTGACAGCCTGATGGGGGAGGCGCACATTAAACAATCCATGAAGCGCGTATGGAAATTATGAAGGGAAACACTTGAGGCTGTGAGACAGTAAAAGAGGGGGAGCCTTATCAAGAAGGGGAAGGCGGCCGGGCGCGGTGGCTCACGCCTGTAATCCCAGCACTTGGGGAGGCCGAGGTGGGCAGATCACGAGGTCAGGAGATTGAGACCATCCTGGCTAACACGGTGAAACCCCATCTCTACCAAATATACAAAAATAGCCGGGCGTGGTGACTGGCGCCCGTAGTCCCAGTAGTCCCAGCTACTCGGGAGGCTGAGGCAGGAGAATGGCGTGAACCCGGGAGGCGGAGCTTGCAGTGAGCTGAGATCGCGCCACTGCACTCCAGCCTGCGCAACAGAGCGAGACTCCGTCTCAAAAAAAAAAAAAAAAAAAAAAGAAGAAGGGGAAGGCTGTCTTAAATAAGTGTCTTGGCCGGGCGCGGTAGCTCACCCCTGTAATCCCAGCACTTTGGGAGGCCGAGGCGGGCAGATCGCCTGAGGTCAGGAGGTCGAGACCAGCCTGACCAACATGGAGAAACCCCGTCTCTACTAAAAATACAAAATTAGCTAGGTGTGGTGGCACATGCCTGTATTCCCAGCTACTCAGGAGGCTGAGGCAGGAGAATCGCTTGAAGCCGGGAGGTGGAGATTGCGGTGAGCCGAGGTTGCGCACCATTGCACTCCAGCCTGGGCTACAAGAGCGAAACACCGTCTCAAAAAAAAGAAAAAGTGTCTTTACGTTTGTTGTTGTTTGAGTCAGGGTCTCACCCTGTTACCTAGGCTGGAATGTTTTGGTGTGACCATAGCTCACTGCAGCCTCAAACTTATGTGCTCAAGCGACCCTTTGGACTCAGCCTCCCGAGTAGCTGGGTCTGCAGGTGCACACCACCACACCTGGCCAATTAAAAAAAAAATTGACCTCCCAGGCTCAGGTGTTCCCATGTTGCCCAGGCTGGTCTTGAATTCCTGGCCTCAAGCAATCCTCCTGTTTCAGCCTCCCAAAGTGACAGAGCGAGACCTGTGTGTAAAGCCTGGGTGACAGAGCGAGACCTGCCTCAAAAAAAAAGTTGAAACAGGTCTCGCTTTGTCACCCAGGCTGGAGTGCAATGGCATGATCTCGGCTCGCTGCAGCCACCGCCTCCCAGGTTCAAGCAATTCTCCTGACTCAGCCTCCCAAGTAGCTGGGATTACAGGCGCCCGCTACCATGCCCAGCTAATTTTTTTTTTTTTTTTTTTTTTTTGAGACGGAGTCTCGCTCTGTCGCCCAGGCTGGAGTGCAGTGGCGCGATCTCGGCTCACTGCAAGCTCCGCCTCCCGGGTTCACGCCATTCTCCTGCCTCAGCCTCCCGAGTAGCTAGCTGGGACTACAGGCGCCCGCTACCACGCCCGGCTAATTTTTTGTATTTTTAGTAGAGACGGGGTTTCACCGTGTTAGCCAGGATGGTCTCGATCTCCTGACCTCGTGATCCGCCCGCCTCGGCCTCCCAAAGTGCTGGGATTACAGGCGTGAGCCACCGCGCCCGGCCTAATTTTTGTATTTTTAGTAGAGATGGGGTTTCACCATGTTGGCCAGGCTGTTCTCGAACTCCTGACCTCAGGTGATCCACCCGCCTCGGCCCCCCAAAGTGCTGGGATTACAGGCGTGAGCCACTGTACCCGGCTGAAAATTTTCTGTTGCCCAGGCTGGAGTGCAGTTGATCTTGGCTCATTGCAACCTCTGCCTCCCAGGTTCAAGCGATTCTCCTGCCTCAGCCTCCCAAGTAGCTGGGATTATAGGTGCGTGCCACCACACCCCGCTAATTTTTTGTTGTGTTGTATTTTTAGTAGAGACAGGGTTTCACCGTGTTAGCCAGGATGGTCTTGATCTCCTGACCTTGTGATCCACCCGCCTCGACCTCCCAAAGTACTGGGATTATAGGCGTGAGCCACCCTACCCGGCCTCAAAAATTTTTTTTAAATACAAAAAAATTAGTCGGGTTTGGTGGCACATGCCTGTAGTCCTAGCTACTCCGGAGGCTGAGGTGGGAGGAACACCTGAGCCTGGAAGGCCAAGTGATTGCACCATTGCCTGCGCTCCAGCCTGGGTGACAGAGAGGGAGACCCTGTCTCAAAAAAAAAAAAAAAAAAAAAAAATTCCTGTG
Source organism: Homo sapiens (assembly GCF_000001405.40). Lineage (NCBI taxonomy): Eukaryota > Metazoa > Chordata > Mammalia > Primates > Hominidae > Homo > Homo sapiens. The sequence goes on along the minus strand of NC_000016.10, from coordinate 70,286,354 downwards.
GAGTGGCTGGAGCCACAGCGTGATTTAAGGCACCCAAGACCTTTACAGCTCCTGTTAGTAAGTGAAACCTGAGGTTCTGCCTTTGTGCTACCTCTGTATCCCATATAGCCCTCCAGTGAATAAATCAATGAGTTTATGTTGAATAAATATATTGAATTTATATCGAATAAATATAAATTTAGATTGAATAAATAAATGGGGGTAAACAAATGAATGTGGGGATACAGCTTTTAATAGTTTCAGCCTTCATAGACTCATAGTTAATATATTCAGTCCTTTTACACAATACTGCAGTTAATTCTGCATATGATAGTCTCCTCAGGAAGGACATAGGCTGTCATTCATTTTGATTCTTGGCACATAGTATGCATTCATTATGGTGAATTAGTAAGCAAAAATGGGAAATTCATGTGTCTTTTGGAAAGTAGCTGGAGTCAGGATCTCCTGTTCACTTTGTACATCTCTATTGTATTTTCCTCATAAGGAGAAAACTTTGGCTGGGCATGGTGGCTCATGCCATCCCAACACCTTGGGAGATTGAGGCCAGGAGTTCGAGACCAGCGTGGGCAGCATGGCAATACTCCATTTATAACAAAAACAGAAATTAGCTGGGCGCGGTGGCTCATGCCTGTAATCCTAGCACTTTGGGAGGCTGAGGCTGGCAGATCACCTGAGGTCAGGAGTTCGAGACCAGGCTGAGGAACATGGTGAAACCCTGTCTCTATTAAAAATACAAACATTAGCTGGGTGTGGTGGCACTTACCTGTAATCCAGGTTACCCAGGAGGCTGAGGCAGGAGAATTGCAGGAACTTGGGAGGTGGAAGCTGCAGTGAGCTGAGATTGCGCCACAGCGCTCCAGCCTGGGCGACAGAGTGAGACTCTGTCTCAAAAAAGAAAAAAAAAGAAATTAACTGGGCATGCTGGTGTGCAACTGTAGTCCCAGTTACTTGGGAGGCTGAGGCAGGAGGATTACTTGAGCCTCGGAGTTTAAGGCTGCTTAAGTGATTGTCCCACTGCACTCCAGTCTGGACAGAACCAGAAAAAAAGAAGAAAACTTTCAGCTAAACAACTTAAAAGTAATATTATCCATTCTGTTCCTTCAAGGTTTTCCTTTTTTTTTTTTTTTAGACGGAGTCTCCCTCAGCCACCCAGGCTGGAGTGCAGTGGCGCAATTTCGGCTTACTGCAACCACTATTTCCCAGGTTCAAGCGATTCTCCCATCTCAGCCTTCTGAGTAGCTGGGATTACAGGCACTCGCCATCATTCCCGGCTAATTTTTGTATTTTAGTAGAGATGGGGTTTCACCATATTGGCCAGGCTGGTCTTCAACTCCTGACCTCAGGTGATCCACCCACCTTGGCCTCCCAAAGTGCTGGGATTACAGGTGTGAGCCACCGCACGTGGCGTAACGTTTTCCATTTTATAGATTGCTTCCAAATACAGTATAGCTTTTGATCCTCACAACACCTCAGTTGAGTAGGCAGGGTAGATACTGCTTTTTTACAGAAAAGGAACTGAACTCAGGCAAAAGTGAATTAAGGTTACGGTTGGGTCTGGAATTCCAGAGACTTTTTGATAATAATGATAATATTGTGAATAAGATGGTTCTCATTTTTCTAGACACAGCAGTTTGTGGCACTACAGCACCATGCCAGTGATCAGCACTCTCACCAAAGCCTGTCACTTCTCCCCAGCCTACCTCTCAGGGAAATCGTAATATCTGTGAAAGAGCTGTTTTTGTTTTTGTTTGTTTGTTGACACAAGGTCTCTGTCGCCCAGGCTGGAGTGCAGTGGCATGATCTTGGCTCACTGCAAGCTCCGCCTCCTGGGTTCACGCCATTCTCCTGCCTCAGCTTTCCGAGTAACTGGGACTACAGGCGCCTGCCACCATGCCCGGATTATTTTTTGTATTTTTAGTAGAGACGGGGTTTCACCATGTTAGCCAAGATAGTCTTGATCTCCTGACCTCGTGATCCGCCTGCCTCGGCCTCTCAAAGTGCTGGGATTACAGGCGTGAGCCACCGCGCCCGGCCATTTTTGTTTTTTTTGAGACGGAGTCTTGCTCTGTCACCCAGGCTGGAGTGCAGTGGCGCGATCTCGGCTGACTGCAACCTCCACCTCCTGGGTTCGTGCCATTCTCCTGCCTCAGCCTTGTGAGTAGCTGGGACTACAGGCGCCTGCCACCACGCCCGGCTAATTTTTTGTATTTTTTTTCTAGTAGAGACAGAGTTTCACCATGTTAGCCAGGATGTTCTGGATCTCCTGACCTCGTGATCCACCCACCTGGCTAATTTTTTTACTATTTGTACTGACAAGATCTTGCTATGTTGCCCAGGGTGGTCTCAAACTCCAGGGCTCAAGCAATTCTGCCACCTCGGTCTCCCAAAGTGCTGGGATTACAGGCGTGAGCCACCGCGCCCAACTTGTGAAAGAGCTTTGAAGTCATAAAGTTTTTTCTCTCTCCACCAGTTCCCTTGTACTTTCACTTTCAGTAAGCTGTGCCTCCAAAGTGGGGCTACAGCATCCCCACTCCCTGGTAATCTAATGGCTGGAAGGCAGCCGTTTGCTGTTAGGGTTCTTGGGGGATGTAGGCTACATAGAGGTAGGTACATTCCTGCTACATACAGGTGGTCCCTTGTACAGATAGGCCCATCCCCAGGACTATTGCTGCTGACAGCCGCCTCACCATGACATCAGGCCAAACCTAGAGACCCTGACTTTGGGGCTAGTGGAACTTTGCAGTTCTAGGCGTGTACATTAACACAGAGCTGAAGGGATCTTTAGAGATAATCTCATATGGACCCCTCCTTTTTTTGGTGAAGTGACTCCCTCAGGACTTGAAGCTAGAACTCAAACCCCGGTCTCCTGAGCCTCTCTCCCTCTTCCCCAGTTGGACTAAACTGAGGGTTTTTCTCCCCCTTTTTTTCTTTTTTTTTTTCCTTCTTTTTTTGTTTTTTTGAGACGGAGTCTCTCTCTGTCGCCAGGCTGGAGTGCAGTGGTGTGGTCTTGGCTCACTGCAACCTCCACCTCCTGGGTTCAAGCGATTCTCCTGCCTCAGTCTCGCAAGTAGCTGGGATTACAGGCACGCACCACCATGCCCAGTTACTTTTTGTATTTTTAGTAGAGATGGGATTTCACCATGTTGGCCAGGCTGGTCTTGAACTCCTGACCTTGTGATCTGCCCACCTTGCCCTCCCAAAGTGTTGGGATTACAGGCGTGAGCCATCGTGCCTGGCTGTCCCTCTTTTTTTCTAATTCCTAGTCTCGGGCCTGACACAGAGCAGATGCTCGATACATATTTGTTTAATGAACAAACATCCAGCAGCAGTGTGCTTGGTGTGCTGGGGTGTTGAACCTCTTGAGGTTGGCATGGGAAGGAAGAACAGATGGGGCTGCTGTCTGCTGGTGATGATGATTTTAGCCTTGGACATTACAACATAGAGGTTTTAGGATCAAACAGCTCACCTGAGTCGTGCTTTGACTTGGCTTGAGAAGCCAGAAGTCTTGTGTAATGTGTACTTTGACTTTCAATTCCCTTAATTTTCCTTCATTTTTTTTTCTTTGATTAGTTCTTTGGGGTGACTTTCAAGATGGACTCTACTCTAACAGCAAGTGAAATCCGGCAGCGATTTATAGATTTCTTCAAGAGGAACGAGCATACGTATGTTCACTCGTCTGCCACCATCCCATTGGATGACCCCACTTTGCTCTTTGCCAATGCAGGCATGAACCAGGTAAGGGTTTTTCCTTTTTTCTTGGCTTTTGGTTCACATAAGAGGCAGCAGAGCCCAGATAAAAGCACAGCCCTGGGGTCAGACCGATTCTGGTTCTGTCACTCCCTGTGTGATCTTGTGAAACTTTATGTGATGGGCCTCAGTTTCTTTGCAAAATGAGGAATAATATTGCGGGCCTGTAGGTATTAGTGAGAAGCGAATAAGATAACACATACAAAATGTTTAGCACGGTATTTCGCACATAGTACGTAGGTACTCAAACATTAGCTTTTTTTTTTTTTTTTTTTTCCTGAGACGGAGTCTCGCTCTGTCATCCAGGCTGGAGTGCAGTGGTGCAATCTCGGCTCACTGCAAGTTCTGCCTTCTGGATTCACGCCATTCTCCTGCCCCAGCCTCCCGAGTAGCTGGGACTACAGGTGCCCGCCACCATGCCTGGCAAATTTTTTTGTATTATCATTATTTTTTTTTGAGACGGAGTCTTGCTCTGTCGCCCAGGCTGGAGTGCAGTGGCGTGATCTGTGCTCACTGCAAGCTCCGCCCCCCAGGTTCATGCCATTCTCCTGCCTCAGCCTCCCAAGTAGCTGGGACTACAGGTGCCCACCACCAAGTACAGCTAATTTTTTTGTATTTTTAGTAGAGATGGGGTTTCACCGTGTTAGCCAGGATGGTCTCAATCTCCTGACCTTGTGATCCATCCGCCTCGGCCTCTCAAAGCGCTGGGATTACAGGCATGAGCCACCACGCCCGGCCAGCTATTATTATTTTTTAGAGAGAGGGTCTCACTCTGTCACCCTTGCTGGAGTGCAGTGGCATGATCCTAGCATGCTGTAGCCTCAGACTCCTGGGCTTAAGTGATCCTCTTATGTCAGCCTTCCAAGTAGCTAGGACTACAGGCATGCTCTACCATGTCAGCTTTTAAAATTATTTTATTTATTTTTTAATTTATTTATTGTTTTGAGACAGAGTCTCGCTGTCGTCCAGACTGGAGTGCAGTGGCACGATCTTGGCTCACTGCAATCTCTGCCTCCCGAGTTCAAGCGATTCTCCTGCCTTGGCCTCCGAAGTAGCTGGAACTACAAGCGTGCGCCACCACACCTGGCTAATTGTTGTATTTTTAGTAGAGACGGGGTTTCACCATGTTGGCCAGGTTGTTCTCGAACTCCTGACCTCAGGTGATCCACCCACCTCAGCCTCCCAAAGTGCTGGGATTATAGACGTGAGCCACCTTGCCTGGCCTAAATTTATTTATTTATATGCAGAGATGGGGGTCTCACCAAGTTGTTCAGGCTGGTCTCGAGCTCATGGCCTCAAGTAATCCTCCTGCCTTAGCTGCCCAAAGTGGTGTGATTACAGGTGTGAGCTACCACGCCCAGCCCACCTAATGCCTTTCTTGAAATTATTGCCACCAGTGCCATTTTGGATCCATTGCTGAAGAAAATTTATTAGTTAGTACGGTTTATTTGGGGAAGTTGAATTAAAAATATATTTGAGGCTGGGCGCAGTGGCTCACACTTGTAATCCCAACACTCTGGGAGGCCGAGGCAGATAGGTCACTTGAATCCAGAAGTTCGAGACCAGCCTAGGCAACATGGTGAAACCCTGTCTCTTATTAAAAATACAAAAAATTAGCCAGGTGTGGTGGTGCATGCCTGTAGTCCCAGCTTCTGGGGAGGCTGAGGCGGGACGATTGCTTGAGCCTGGGAGGTCAAGGCTATGGTGATCCCTGATCATACCACTGCACTTCAGCCTGCACAACAGAGTGAGACCCTGTCTCAAAAAAGGAAAGAAAAGAAAAAGACATTTGAAAGGTTTATCGTGAGAGAAAAGGGTTAACTCTTAAAATGATGAAAGCATGACAAGTTTATAAAGGAGTTTAAGAGGAGTTTGTCAGCATGTCTGTGACACTAAACAGTACTTCCCAGGCTGGTCGTGGCTGAAGGGGGTTCAGGTTAGATGGTGCTCTCAGCGCTTTCCTGTGATGGTTCTCTTGGAGCCCTGCTCCCCCGGGGCATCTGCAGCCCTTAGGATGCTTCTCACTCTGGGATGAGTTGACATTTTCTTTTCTCTTAGGTGTCTTTTCTGGCATGGAAAGTTAGAAACAATGGGGACATATTCTGCCTCTTATAATATTAACTATAAAATTATGAAACATGGGGCACAGTGCGCCTGTAATTACATCTACTCAGGAGGCTGAGACGGGAGGATCACTTGATCCTGGAATTACAAACCAGCTTGGGCAACACAGTGAGACTGGTCTCCCAAAAAAATTATGCTACTTGGGAGGCTGAGGCAGGAGAATCGCTGGAACCTGGGAGGCAGAGGTTGCAGTGAGCCGAGATCACGCCACTGCACTCCAGCCTGGGCAACAGAGTGAGACTCCGTCTCAAAAAAGAGAAAATTATGGGCCAGGCACAGTGGTTCATGCCTGTAATTCCAGCATTTTGGGAGGCCAAAGTAAGAGGATTGCTTGAGCCCAAGAGTTGGAGAGGAGCCTGGGCAACATAGGAAGACCCTGTCTGAAAGGAAAAGAGAAAAATTAAAGAAAAATTAAAGCAAAAGAAAAATTGAAAAATTAGCTGGTGGTGGCTCACACCTGTAGTTCCAGCCTCTTGGGAGGCTGAGGTGGGAGTATTGCTTGAGCCCAGGAGTTGAGGTGAGCCGTGATCGTGCCACTGGACTCCAGGCAGGGTGACAGAGCAAGACCCTGTCTCAAAATGGAAAAAAAAGAAAAATATTTTCAGTTATGTGTGAGTCCTATGCATATACCTAGAATTGGAGGCATTAATTTTAGGTGGTCTCATTCAACGGGATAGGCTTTTGGAACACTGGAAAGCTACTGTTTCTATTCAGACATACCTGGGTGCAAGCTTTGTCACCTTCCACATGAGCCGCCTGAACAAGAACCAGGGAGTACAGTGTTTGTAAACTTTTCTTTTTTTTTTTTTTTTTGTTTTTTTTTGAGACAGAGTTTTGCTCTTGTTGCCCAGGCTGGAGTGCAATGGTGAAATCTCGGCTCACTGCAGCCTACGCCTCCTGGATTCAAGCGATTCTCCTGCTTCACCCTCCCGAGTGGCTAGGATTATAGGTGTCTGCCACCACACCTGGCTAATTTTTATATTTTTAGTAGAGACAGGGTTTCGCCACGTTGGCCAGGCTGGTCTGGAACTCCTGGCCTCAGGTGATCCGCACATCTCGGCCTCCCAAAGTGCTGGGATTACAGGTGTGAGCCACCGCACCTGGCCCTTTTTTTTTTTTTTTTTTTTTTTTTTGAGATGAAGTTTTGCCCTGTCACCCCAGCTGGAATTCAGTGACGCAATCTCAGCTCACTGCAACCTCTGCCTCCCAGGTTCAAGCAGTTCTCCTGCCTCAGCCTCCCAAGTAGCTGGGACTACAGGCACCCCCCCACCATGCCTGTCTAATTTTTATATTTTTAGTAGAGATGGGGTTTCACCATCTTAGCCAGGCTGGTCTCGAACTCCTGACCTTGTGATCTGCCTGGTTCGGCCCCACAAAGTGCTGGGATTACAGGCGTGAGCCACCACGCCCGGCCTTGTAAACATTTTCTTATTGACAGTAGCTGTCAGCCTGCATGCAGCACTTACTGTGTGCCAGGCGCTGCTCTGTGTCCTTCGCGTACAATAACTCATTTACGCCGAACTCTGTTGCCATCCCTACTGAGGCACTGAGATCTCAAGTCAGTTGTCCATGCTCACATAGTCGGTAAGTGCCAGTGTGGACTTGAACCCAGATAGTCACTTCCTTAACCTTTGTGCCATATTGCCTCTTGATCAGCAAATACCTTGCCTTTTTTTTTTCCCCCAATTTGAAATGATATTAGGCACCCAGCTAGGTGCCGAAGATACAGAGATGAGTGAGAGAGTGTTTGCTTTTAAGGAGTTTGTGATCTAATACGGGACTGTCCAGTAGAATTTTCTGCAGTGACAGAAATGTTCTCCTCAACATGGCAGCCGTCAGTCGTGTGATTATTGAGCTAGTGTGACTGAGGAACAGAATTTCTAATTTTTTTCTTTCTCTCTTGCTTTTTTTTTTTTTTGGAGACAGAGTCTCACTCTGTAGCCCAGGCTGGAGTAGAGTGGCACGATCTTGGCTCACTGCAACCTCTGCCTCCCGGGTTCAAGTGATTCTCTTGCCTCAGCCTCCTGAGTAGCTGGAATTACAGGCGTGCACCACCATGGCTGGCTAATTTTGCATTTTTAGTGGAGACAGGGTTTCTCCATGTTGGTCAGGCTGGTCTCGAACTCCCGACCTCAGGTGATCCGCCCACCTCAGCCTCCTGAAGTGCTGGGGATTACAGGCATGAGCCACTGCGCCCAGCTGAGAATTTCTAATTTTTAAAAATATTAATTACTAATTATTTAATTTTAGTTTTTTATTTTTATAAAAATAGAGAAGGGGTCTCCTTATGTTTCCCAGGCTGGTCTTGAACTCTGGGCTCGAAGGAATCCTCCCTTCTTGGCCTCCCAAAGTGGTGGGATTACAGGTGTGAGCCACCTTGCCCAGCCTAATTTTAATTCAGTTTTACATGGTCACAAGTGTCTAATGGTAAGACCTGGCGCAGTCATTCATGCCTGTAATCCCAGCACTTTAGGAGGCTGAGGCGGGCAAATCACTTGGGGTTAGGTGTTCGAGACCAGCCTGGCCAACATGACGAAACCCTGTCTCTACTAAAAATACAAAAATTAGCCAGGTGTACCTGTACGTGCCTGTAATCTCAGCTACTTGGGAGGCTGAGGCAAGAGAATCGCTTGAACCCGGGAGATGGAGGTTGCAGTGACCTGAGATTGTGCCACTGTACTCCAGCCTGGGCGACAGTGACCCATCTCAAAAAAAAAAAAAAAAAGTGTCTAGTGGCTACCAAATTGGATAGCAGTGAATTGAACAGATCTAGTGGGAAAAATAAAACAAAGTTAACAAATAACAATGATACATCAAAGCATGACCTGATACATCCTCAGAGCAAGGCCGTCCCAGCTAGACGACTGATACATCCAATCATTCATCAGTGTGCTGATATTATTCCCTTAATATGTGTCAGTTTTTTTTTCTTCTTCCTCACATTTACTGCCAAGTGAACATACCAATTTTCAGGATAAGTTCTTCCAGAAAGATGGTATAAGCCCTGAACTTCAGAGACTGGTGAAGAAGCCCACGTTTTACCACATCAACCTGTGGCTGTTAGATCTGGCAGGCCTTTCCCCTCTGCAGGTGGTGTCACTCGTGGTGGTGGGGACTGTTAGGGAGCTAGGTTCAAGGAGAAACTGCTCCATGAGAGGCTACCCTCTGCTTTGGCTCCACCAGGCCACCTGTTCTGACAAGTGTCTATATTCCAGGCATGTTAATCATGAACTGCACAGTTAGTGTGTGGTCGTCTCTTCCTGCTAGTGTGTGGCCACCTGACATCACTTGCACCCTTTAAAAGTTGAACTGCTGTCCTTCTCTTTTAGTTTAAACCCATTTTCCTGAACACAATTGACCCATCTCACCCCATGGCAAAGCTGAGCAGAGCTGCCAATACCCAGAAGTGCATCCGGGCTGGGGGCAAACATAATGACCTGGACGATGTGGGCAAGGATGTCTATCATCACACCTTCTTCGAGATGCTGGGCTCTTGGTCTTTTGGAGATTACTTTAAGGTAAGTTCAGAGCAGAAGAACCACTAGGGTTTTGAGGAAAATGGTCTTTTCCACACTGGGAACTGGGTTCTAATTTTGCATGTTTTAAAATATGAAATATCATCTAGGTGATTCAGGAATGAATGGCATTTATTAATTCTAAGACTTCCTGGAAGTAGTACCTATAATTTGGTGATTTCAGTATATATTTGGATTTCTTACATAAACTGATCTTGAATTTGAATTTAGAGTGAACATGTTGTGATTTTGTATCTGTGTTCCTAGCATCTGGTCTCATACTAAATAGATTTTGGTTTGGCAATGTTCCATATCTTTCTCTCTGTTCTTTTTGTAGGAATTGGCATGTAAGATGGCTCTGGAACTCCTCACCCAAGAGTTTGGCATTCCCATTGAAAGACTTTATGTTACTTACTTTGGCGGGGATGAAGCAGCTGGCTTAGAAGCAGATCTGGAATGCAAACAGATCTGGCAAAATTTGGGGTAAGAATGCACATCACTTCTTGAGAGTATGGAGGAGTGAAATGACACTCAGTGCCAGAGTGGGGTTTTATGACCTGGAATATGTGGTCATTTTGCATCTCAGGGTTCCTTTTGAGATGCACATGGGGAGGAGTGAGGCTAGAGAATCGCTTGAACCCAGGAGGTGGAGGTTGCAGTGACCTGAGATCACTCCACTGCACTCCAGCCTGGGCGACAGAGTAATTATCTTTAGATGCATTAATATCTTTATTTATTTATTTATTTATTTTTTTGAGACAGAGCTTGCTCTGTCAGCTAGGCTGGAGTGCAGTGGCACGACCTCGGCTCACTGCAACCTCTGTCTCCTGGGCTTAAGCAATTCTCCTGCCTCAGCCTCCCAAGTAGCTGGGATTACAGGCGTGTGCCACCATGCCCAGCTAACTTTTGTATTTTTTTTAGTAGAGACGGGGTTTCATCATGTTGGCCAGGCTGGTCTCGAACTCCTGACCTCAGGTAATCCACCGTGCCCGGCCGCATTCATATGGTTTTTTTTTTTTTTTTTTTTTTTTTGAGATGGAGTCTTGCTCTGTCTCCCAGACTGGAGTGCAGTGGCGTGATCTCAGTTCACTGCAAACTCTGCTTCCTGGGTTCATGCCATTCTCCTTCCTCAGCCTCCTGAGTAGCTGGGACTGCAGATGCCTGCCACCACACCCAGCTAATATATATATATTTTTGTTGTTGTTGTTGTTGGAGTCTCGCTCTGTCACCCAGGCTGGAGTGCAGTGGCGCGATCTCAGCTCACTGCAAGCTCCGCCTCCCAGGTTCACGCCATTCTCCTGCCTCAGCCTCCCGAGTAGCTGGGACTACAGGCGCCCACCACCACGCCCGGCTAATTTTTTGTATTTTTTAGTAGAGACGGGGTTTCACCGTGTTAGCCAGGGTGGTCTCGATCTCCTGACCTCGTGATCCGCCTGCCTCGGCCTCCCAAAGTGCTGGGATTACAGGCGTGAGGAACCATGCCCGGCCAATTGTTTTTTTATATATATATATTTTTTAGTAGAGACTGGGTTTCACCGTGTTAGCCAGGATGATCTCGATCTCCTGACCTCGTGATCTGCCCGCCGTGGCCTCCCAAAGTGCTGGGATTACAGGCATGAGTCACCACGCCTGGCCCATATCTTTAGATCCATTCGTTGCTTCTTAATATGTTCAATAATTCTGTTGTTTATGTTTGTTTGTTTGTTTTTGAGACAGAGTCTCAGTCTGTCACCTAGGCTGGAGTGCACTGGTGCGATCTTGGCTCACTGTAACCTCTGCCTCCCGGGTTAAGGCGATTCTTCTGCCTCAGCCTCCTGAGTAGCTGGGACTACAGGTGCGCGCCACCACACCTGGCTAATTTTTGTATTTTTAGTAGAGATGGGATTTCACCATGTTAGCCAGGCTAGTCTCAAACTCCTGACTTCAGGTGATCCACCCGCTTTGGCCTCCCAAAGTGCTAGGATTACAGATGTGAGCCACTGTGCCCAGCCAATCATTCTGTTGTTGAAAGCCAAAACAAGTCTTTTTTTTTTTACTTTATATAGTTTTAAAAGTTACACGTGTGTTGTAAAAATTCAAACCTTATAGAAATGTAGAAAATAGAAAGTGGAAGTTCCCTCAATCATCATTAATAGTTTAATATCCCATATCTAGTCTTCCTGGCCTTGTTCATAGTTCTGTAACCTTGTGTGTATGTGTGTATCTTTTCCTTCCCCACCCCCACTCCACTCCCCCACCCCCGCCGAGATGGAATCTCGCTCTGTCGCCCAGAGCTGGAGTGCAATGACGCGATCTCAGCTCACTGCAACCTCTGCCTCCTGGGTTCAAGCAATTCTCCTGCCTCAGCCTCCCGAGTACCTGGGATTATAGGCACACACTACCACGCCTGGCTAATTTTTGTATTTTTAGTAGAGATGGGGTTTCATCATGTTGGCCAGGCTGGTCTTGAACTCCTGACCTGGTGATCCACACGCCTCGGCCTCCCAAAGTGCTGGGATTACAGGTGTGAGCCACCGTGCCCAGCCATGTCTGTCTTTTTCAACAGAGTTGTATTCTTCATATGAAACAGTTTGTTTCTTATGGAAATGAAATAGACTAGGAGAAAGGAAATTTTTTTTTCTTTTTTTGAGATGGAGTTTCGCTCTTGTTGCCCAGGCTGGAGTGTGATGGTGCGATCTTGGCTCACCGCAACCTCCGTCTCCCGGATTCAAGCAATTCTCCTGTCTCAGCCTCCCGAGTAGCTGGGATTACAGGCACGTGCCACCACACCCAGCTAATTTTTTTTTTTTTTTTCTTAGTAGAGACGGGTTTCTCCATGTTGGTCAGGCTGGTCTCGAACTCCTGACCTCAGGTGATTCACCCACCTCGGCCTCCCAAAGTGCTGGGATTACAGGCATGAGCCACCACACCAAGCTGGAAAAAGGAATTTTTTTGTTTCGTTTTTTTGAGACAGGGTCTCACTCTCACCCAGGCTGGAGTGCAGTGGCATAATCATAGTTTACTGCCTGAGCTCAGGCGATCGTCCCACCTCAGCCTCCCGAGTAACTAGGACTAGAAGCATTCGCCACCTGCCTGGCTAATTTTTTTTTTTTTTTTTTTTTTTTTGGAGACGGAGTCCCGCTCTGTCGCCCATGCTGGAGTGCAGTGGCGCGATCTTGGCTCACTGCAAGCTCCGCCTCCCGGGTTCATGCCATTCTCCTGCCTCAGCCTCCTGAGTAGCTGGGACTACAGGCGCCCACCACCACGCCCGGCTAATTTTTTGTATTTTTTAGTAGAGACGGGGTTTCACCGTGTCAGCCAGGATGGTCTCGATCTCATGACCTCATGATCGGCCTGCCTTGGCCTCCCAAAGTGCTGGGATTACAGGCGTGAGCCACTGCGCCCGGCCCTGTCTGGCTAATTTTTGTATTTTTTGTAGGGACAGGGTTTTGCTATGTTGCCCAGGCTGATCTTGAACTCCTGAGCTCAAGCGATCTACCTGCCTTGACCTTTCAAATTGCTGGGATTACAGATATGAGCCACTGTGCCTAGCCAGTTTTTTTGGCATAATGTAATTCTAAAGTATAATCACATAGTATAAAAGCTAAGACAGTAGGTGAGCTATATGTGTTCTGTGCTGTGAACTTGGTCGAATTTGTGAAGTGCTGCATCAAGGAGAATCTGAACATGGGGTGTGTGCCCTCTGTAGACAGCTGGGCTGTCCATGATGTGTTTGCCTCATTTTCTTGTTCCTTTTACTTAATTCTTTCATCCTTTAGTGCATAGCTTTTTACTATACTTGGAAACAGGGCTGCTTCTCTTTTTTTAATTACTTTTACTCTAGATATATTATTCCAACCCAACTTCCCCTTTTACTTGATCTAAAACTCCTATTCGGTTGACTCTGTAGTCTAAGTGTAGTTGGAATTTTGGGTAGTGACACCTGTAAAAATTAAATATTAATCTTGACGCTGGTTTTTAAAATCCTCTTTTACCTTGACTTCATGTACTGTATATCTACACTTTAAAAGTGTAGCTTTTAAAAGATAAGCAAGCACAATCTTTTGTGTGTGTGTGTGTGTGTGTGTGTGTGTGTGTGTCACCCAGGCTGGAGTGCAGTGGCATGATCACAGCTCACTGCAGCCTCAACTTCCTGGGCTCAAGTGATCCTCTCCCGAGTAGCTGGGACTACAGGTATGCATCACCCCCCCAGCTAATTTTTTTTTGTATTTTTTAGAGAGTCGGGGTTTCGCAATGTTGCCCAGGCTGGTCTCGAACTCCTGAGCTCAAGCAATGCGCGTGGCCAGCGTTTTCATTATTATGTGTTCCTTTCTAGGCCTTACTCATGTCCTTGTGTATTTTCATTGAGTTTCGAGCATATCATGTGTATATTTTGTACTGTCTTCTATTGTAGGCACTCTTGAGAAGAGTCATGTGCTGTTTCTTTAGCGGGTTTTTTTTTTTTTTTTTTTTTTTTTTTTTTGAGATGGAGTTTTGCTCTCGTTGCCCAGGCTGGAGTGCAATGGCGCGATCCCGGCTCATCGCAGCCTCTGCCTCCTGGGTTCTAGTGATTCTCCTGCCTCAGCCTCCCGAGTAGCTGGGATTACAGGCATGCGCCACCACACCCAGCTAATTTTTTGTATTTTTAGTAGAGACAAGGTTTCTCCATGTTGATGAGGCTGGTCTCAAACTCCCAACCTCAGGTGATCCGCCCGCCTCGGCCTCCCAAAATGCTGGGATTACAGGCATGAGCCACCACGCCCAGCTTCTTTAGCAGGTTTAATGTGCAGGCTTAGCATTAGTACTTGCTGAAGGTTGGAACTTCTTCATTAAAAATTCTAAGAATTTTTTTTTTTTCTTTTTTGAGACAGAGTCTCGCTCTGTTGTCTAGGCTGGAGTGCAGTAACATGAGCCACTGTGCCCGGCCAATCCTAAGAATTTCTTTTGCGGTGGTTGCAAGTCTGGGCAGAACTCTTGTCAGGGGCTGTAACTGGACTTATCTTTACTCCTTTGTCAGGCTGGATGACACCAAAATCCTCCCAGGCAACATGAAGGATAACTTCTGGGAGATGGGTGACACGGGCCCCTGTGGTCCTTGCAGTGAGATCCACTACGACCGGATTGGTGGTCGGGACGCCGCACATCTTGTCAACCAGGACGACCCTAATGTGCTGGAGATCTGGAACCTTGTGTTCATCCAGTATAACAGGTAGCCTTGGGTTCCTACTCCATTCCTTTCCTTGAGCTGAGCAGGGGAGGAGGAACTCGGAGCTGTGTAGCTCTCTTCTCAGCTAAAAGCTCATTTCTTTATTTCTCAGATTACCTGTCTGATCTCTGGAACAAGGATGGGCCTATTCTTTCATGAACTAAACCTTATCGCACATAATAGCTTCTTGCGAGCTATTCCTATAATGTCATGCTTGCTGTACTTCGGGCTGCTGTTTTTTTTTTTTGTTTTTTTGAGACAGAGTTTTCCTCTTGTTACCCAGGCTGGAGTGCAATGGTGTGATCTTGGCTTACTGCAACATCTGTGCCCTGGGTTCAAGCGATTCTCCTGCCTCAGCCTTCCGAGTAGCTGGGATTACAGGCATGTGCCACCACGCCCGGCTAATTTTGTATTTTTAGTGGAGACGGGGTTTCTCCATGTTGGTCAGGCTGGTCTCGAACTCCCAACCTCAGGTGATCCGCCCGCCTCAGCCTCCCAAAGTGCTGGGATTATAGGTGTGAGCCACCGTGCCAGAACTGGACTGCTGTTTTAAAGCCTATTTCCTTGAAGCTTGCCTCAGTTTTGTTTTTGTTTTTGTTTTTGTTTTTGGAGATGGAGTCTTGCTCTGTCACCCAGGCTGGAGTGCAGTGGCAAGATCTCAGCCCACTGCAACCTTTGCCTGCTGGGTTCAAGCGATTCTCCTGCCTCAGCCTGCTGAGTTCTCCTGCCTCAGCCTCCTGAGTAGCTAGGGTTACAGGTGCATGCCACCATGCCAGGCTAATTTTTAAAATATTTTTGGCAGGGATGGGGTTTCATCATGTTGGCCAGGCTGGTCTCGAACTCCTGACCTCAAGTGATTCCCCCGCCTCGGCCTCCCAAAATGCTGGTATTACAGGCGTGAGCCACCATGCCCAGTCTTTTTCTTTTCTTTTTTTTTTTTTTTTTTGAGATGGAGTTTTGCTCTTGTTGCCCAGGCTGTAGTGCAATGGTGAAATCTCAGCTCACCACAACCTCCGCCTCCTGGGTTCAAGCGATTCTCCTGCTTCAGCCTCCCGAGTAGCTGGGATTACAGGCATGTGCCACCATGCTCGGCTAATTTTGTATTTTTAGTAGAGATGGGGTTTCTTCATGTTGAGCAGGCTGGTCTCGAGCTCCTGACCTCAGATGGTCCACCACCTCGGCCTCCCAAAGTGCTGGGATTACAGGCATGAGCCACTGCGCCTGGCCTTTCCTCACTCTTAAATGAACCCCAGAGTTCATTTAAGAATGAACTCTTCCTTTCTCCTTCCTTTCTCCCTCCACTTCCCTCTTCCCACCAAACCGGGCAAATGGCAGATGGTCACAGCCTGCAAACTGTTCTGTAAATGAATTTTAACCAGCAGGGACTGGAGAGGTGGCAGCTTGAGTCTCTGCTTCAACCTCCTCTTCTTCTGGATCATACAGGGAAGCTGATGGCATTCTGAAACCTCTTCCCAAGAAAAGCATTGACACAGGGATGGGCCTGGAACGACTGGTATCTGTGCTGCAGAATAAGATGTCCAACTATGACACTGACCTTTTTGTCCCTTACTTTGAAGCCATTCAGAAGGTACTGGTGCTATTGCAAACATTGTAAACTTCTGTGGAGTTTTCCAGGCTGTACTCTTAACAGTGCTGTCAAAGAAAAAATGACCATATGCTTTGCCAGCCAAGGGTACCCATTTCCATCTGCCTACTTCATTGTTAATAATGTGAGGCTCCACAAATTGGTGTTCTAAATGTCTTAAGAACCTAATTAAATAGCTGACTACAAAAAAAAAATAATAATGTGAGGCTCTAGACCTGAGACAGTATAATTTTTGAGTGTAGGGGCTGGCTGGAGTCTCTCTACTTCCCCAATGTCACGTTCTTGGGGTTATAGGATCTGGCAAGACCGGCATCCTTTCTGCTAATGCTCCTCAATCCTCCAGGAACCTCCTTGGGCAAGGTAGCGCCAGAAAGTCTGCTTCCTAAAGGGCTGCCTCCTGATTCTTATCTATAGGGCACAGGTGCCCGACCATACACTGGGAAAGTTGGTGCTGAGGATGCCGATGGGATTGACATGGCCTACCGGGTGCTGGCTGACCACGCTCG
Organism: Homo sapiens; assembly: GCF_000001405.40. Classification (NCBI taxonomy): domain Eukaryota; kingdom Metazoa; phylum Chordata; class Mammalia; order Primates; family Hominidae; genus Homo; species Homo sapiens. The sequence goes on along the minus strand of NC_000016.10, from coordinate 70,269,671 downwards.
GACCATCACTGTGGCACTGGCTGATGGTGGCCGGCCTGACAACACAGGGCGTGGGTAAGTATGCTGCACACTGGGTGGTGTTTGGAGCGGCACCACGTGTGCTATGTGTGACTCTTTATGAAACTTTTCTTTGTGTGTGAGATTGAGTGTTGCTCTGTTGCCCAGGCTGGAGTACAATGGCGTGATCTTGCCTCACTGCAACCTCTGCCTGCTGGGTTCAAGTGATTCTGCCTCAGCCTCCCACGTAGCTGGGATTATAGGTGCACACCACCACGCCTGGCTAATTTTTGTACTTTTAGTAGAGACGGTTGTTTTTTTTTTTTTTTTTTTTTTTTTTTTTTTTTTTTTTCTGAGACAGAATTTTGCTTTTGTTGCCCGGGCTAGAGTGCAATGGCCCGATCTTGGCTCACCGCAACCTCCACCTCCTGAGTTCAAGCAATTCTTTTCCCTCAGCCTCCCGAATAGATGGGATTACAGGCATGAGCCACCATGCCTAGTTTTGTATTTTTAGTAAAGATGGGGTTCCTTCCATGTTGGTCAGGCTGGTCTCAAACTCCCAACCTCAGGTGATCCGCCCGCCTCGGCCTCCCACAGTGCTGGGATTACAGGCGTGAGCCACCGTGCCCGGCCAGAGGTGGGGTTTTGCCATGTTGGCCAGGCTGGTCTCGAACTCCTGACCTCAGATGATCCACCTGCTACGACCTCCCAAAGTGATGGGATTACAGGTGTGAGCCACCATGCCCGGCCTCTTTATGAAACTTAAAGCCATCTTTCGTTATTGTTTCCTTGTCTTGGGCAGGTGGAAGAATCCCCCACCCCTTTTTTAAGGGATGAAGGGAGTTTCAGCTAGTGTCACAGAGTTGCCACTATATTAAATCTCTGCTGCTGAGTACAGATGATAAGGATTGTATTCAAAGTTGCCTGATAGGAGATTGGCAGGGGCAGGGTGAGGGTAGGTATTGACCAGCCCTGGGAATCTCTCTTACTGACAGGCAGGACCTGGGATCACAGGCATCAAGTACACATCTGGTCTGTCCATCTTTCCTCCCTCTATGGGTAACTGAATGTGAAAGGAAAACAAACCAGCGTTTACCCTAGGGAAGCCTTGACGGGTATTTGTGGGTATGTTACTGAGTCTTGTGCTAAAATTAATGACCTTGGGGAATGCGAAAGAAGCAGGCTTAGGATAAAAGAAAGTTCCTGAAAGAGGTGTTGCTTTGGGTAGGATTCCAAGGGACTCAAGACAAAACCCTCAGCTGGGAACGTTGGGGACTAGTTTTTGCCTCTTACAGATATGTGTTGAGACGGATTCTCCGCCGAGCTGTCCGATACGCCCATGAAAAGCTCAATGCCAGCAGGGGCTTCTTTGCTACGTTAGTGGATGTTGTCGTCCAGTCCCTGGTAGGTTTATTTCTCTGCTTACCCTTCTGTGCTAAAGCAGTCCGTTAAGAGGGATGGAGTGGGAGAGGGCATACTGTTAAGCAGCTTTTTGTTGCTGTTTTTTGAGACGGAGTCTCACTCTGTCACCCACGCTGGAGTGCAATAGAGTGATCTTGGCTCACTGCAACCTCTGTCTCCTGGGTTCAAGCGATTCTCCTGTCTCAGCCTTCCGAATAGCTGGGATTACAGGTGCACACCGCCAAGCCTGGCTAATCTTTTCTGTTTTAGTAGAGACAGGGTTTCACCGTGTTGCCCAGGCTGGTCTTGAACTCCTGAGCTCAGGCAATCCACCTGCCTCGGCTTCCCAAAGTGGTAGGATTACAGGCGTGAGCCACTGCACCCAGCTAAGGAGCTTTTTTAAGACGGGGCAGGGAACAGTCTCTGGCTTCATCCAGCCCCTCATCTTGCTTCCCCTTTGTCAGGGAGATGCATTTCCTGAGCTGAAGAAGGACCCAGACATGGTGAAGGACATCATTAATGAAGAAGAGGTGCAGTTTCTCAAGACTCTCAGCAGAGGGCGTCGCATCCTGGACAGGAAAATTCAGAGCCTGGGAGACAGCAAGACCATTCCCGGTAGGTACCAGTTTTTGCCCTTCTCCATCCTGGCCGTTTGATCTTTCTGGGAAAGACAAGCCCTTTCTGACAGACTGACTGTGGGCTCTCATGTCTCTGAGGCTGAACATAGCTTGATTGAATTGCTTTTGGTGCAAACTGGAATTTATAGTAAAATGGTAAAAGTAATGCATCATTGTGGCCAAAGTATTCAAACAATACAGAATACAAAAGTGTTCAGAAAATGAAAATCCTCTTTTCCACACTCATTTCTCAGAGGGAACAACTCTTAATGGTTTGGTGTAGAACTCTTCAGGATTCTTCTCTGTTTGCATGCAAATACATGTAGATATTTGTGTGTGTGTATTTTTCAAGCAAAAGTGGGAATATTTGGTATGTACTGTTTTGCAATTTGGGGAAAATTAATTCCAAAGATTTTCTCCCCAGTTTCCAAAGATTCTTTATTGAAGTATAATGAACAAGGGAAAAGCTTGATGAATTTTCACAAATTGAACACACATTCAGATCAAGAAATAGATTTGTCAGCTGGGTGTGGTGGCTCACACCTGTAATCCTAGCACTTTGGGATGCCGAGGCGGGCGGATCACGAGGTCATGAGTTCAAGACCAGCCTGCCCAACATGGCAAAACCCCGTCTCTACTAAAAATACAAAAAATTAGCTGGGTGTGGTGGCATGCGCCTGTAATCCCAGCTACTTGGGAGGCTGAGACAGGAGAATTGCTTGAACCGGGGAGGCGGAGGTTGCATTGAGCCAAAATCATGCCACTGCACTCCAGCCTGGGCAACAAGAGCGAAACACCATCTCAAAAAGAAAAAGAAAAAGAAATAGATGTGTAAGGCTGGGCACAGTGGCTCACACCTTTAATCCCATCACTTTGGGAGGCTGAGGCAGGCAGATCACCTGAGGTCAGGAATTTGAGACCAGCCTGGCCAACATGGTAAAACCCCATCTCTACTAAAAATGCAAAAATTAGCCATGCATGATGGCGGGCACCCATAATCCCAGCTACTCGGGAGACTGAAGCAGGAGAATCGCTTGAATCCTGGAGCTGGAGAGTGCAATGAGCCGAGATCACACCAGTACACTCCAGCCTGGGCAACAGAGTGAGACTCTCAAAAAAAAAGAAATAGAAAATTGTCCAGGTGAGGTTGTTTTTGTTTTTGAGATGGAGTCTCACTCTGTTGCCCAGGCTGGAGTGCAGTGGTGTGATCTCAGCTCACTGCAAGCTCCGCCTCCCAGGGTCATGCCATTCTCCTGCCTCAGCCTCTCTAGTAGCTGGGACTACAGGTGTCCGCCACCGCGCCTGGCAATTTTTTTATTTATTTTTTTTTATTTTTTATTTTTGAGACAGAGTCTTGCTCTGTCGCCCAGGCTGGAGTGCAGTGGCGCTATCTCGGCTCACTGCAAGCTCCACCTCCCGGGTTCACGCCATTCTCCTGCCTCAGCCTCCCGAGTAGCTGGGACTACAGGCGCCCGCCACCATGCCCGGCTAATTTTTTTGTATTTTTAGTAGAGACAGGGTTTCACCGTATTGGCCAAGATGGTCTCGATCTCCTGACCTCCTGATCCGCCCGCCTCGGCCTCCCAAAGTGCTGGGATTACAGGCGTGAGCCACAGCGCCTGGCCAAATTTTTTGTATTTTTCCTAGAGACGGGGTTTCACCATGTTAGTCAGGATGGTCTCAATCTCCTGACCTCATGATCCGCCCGCCTCGGCCTCTCAAAGTGCTGGGATTACAGGCGCGAGCCACGGTGCCCAGCCCAGGTGAGGTTTAAAAAACAAAACAAAACAAAACAGAATTGTATCAGGACATCCATTGTGCTTCCCCCAGGTTAACTGAAAAAGATGTGCTGGATTTTCTGATGGGCACACAGGGCCGATACTGATAGCCTTGTGTCTTTAATTCCTTCTGCCAGTCCCAGCATCCTTTTGGAGGGCTTGGCATGGAAAAGGGGCTGTCTGTTTTTTTTGACACACCTCCTTTGTGCTGTGTAGGAGACACTGCTTGGCTCCTCTATGACACCTATGGGTTTCCAGTGGATCTGACTGGACTGATTGCTGAAGAGAAGGGCCTGGTGGTAGACATGGATGGCTTTGAAGAGGAGAGGAAACTGGCCCAGGTAAAGAACTTGGAGAGTGAACAGGAAACCCAACACCTTCCAACCCAGCACCACTTGGCTGCAGACTGAGCATGAGTTTCCTTCCATTAAAGTCTTTGAAGTGCTTTTTCCCCTAGATCAGTGGTTCTCAAGTGGGGGCGAGTCTGCCTTCCAGGGAGTAATTGGCGATAATGTCTGAAGACATTTTTGATTTTCACAACTAGGGGCAGATCCTGCTGTCACGTACTTGGTAGAGGCCAGGGTGCCCCTCAGCATCCCACACTGCAAGAGAAGTTTCCACAACAGAGAATGATCTGGCCCCAAATGTCAGTAGTGCCAGGATTGAAAAACCCTGTTCTGGCAGTTTATGCTGGGCATAGTTTAGCAAGTTCCAGTCCTTTGGAGTCCCTTTTCTCCTACTTTACGGTAACTTATGCTTGTTTCTCTTGCTGACAGCTGAAATCACAGGGCAAGGGAGCTGGTGGGGAAGACCTCATTATGCTGGACATTTACGCTATCGAAGAGCTCCGGGCACGGGGTCTGGAGGTCACAGATGATTCCCCAAAGTACAATTACCATTTGGACTCCAGTGGTAGCTATGGTATGTTGCTGTGCTCCTTCCACATCTGAGCATTCTGCCCCGTATCTGGGGGGTATTTGAAAGATTGTTTCTCAAGATTAGCTCTCCAGCAGACTGCTGACAGCCTCTCCTGGAGTGCCGTACAGTCACGCTATGCACTTTTATACACATAGGCACCCTTGGCTGGAGGTTTTCTTAACTCTATTTTGAAATAATTATTGTCACAGGAAGTTGTAAAAAAAAAAAATTTGTAGGAAGGGTCTCACACCCTTTTATCCAGTTTCCCCTAATTGTAACATCATGCAGGAAACTGGGCAATTGACATTGATACAATCCACAGTGACTATCAGAATGCTATTAGGGGCCTGGCGCTGTGCCTCACACCTGTAATCCCAACACTTTGGGAGGCCGGGGCAGGTGGATCACCTAAGGTCAGGAGTTTGAGACCAGCCTGACCAACATGATGAAACCCCATCTCTACTAAAAATACGGAAATTAGCCGGGCGTGGTGGCGTGCCCCTGTAATCCCAGCTACTCGGGAGGCTGAGGCAGGAGAATCGCCTGAACCTGGGAGGCAGAGGTTGCAGTGAGCCAAGATCATGCCATTGCACTCCAGCCTGGACAACAAGAGTGAAATTCCGTCTCGGGGAAAAAGAAAAAGAATGCTATTAGGATTCTATTATCCTAATGCTGTTAGAATGCTATTATCCTAATAGCATTCTTTTTTTTTTCTGAGATGGAATCTCCCTCTGTTGCCCAGGCTGGAGTGCAATAGTGTGATCTCGGCTCACTGCAACCTCCACCTCCTGGGTTCAAGCGATTCTCCGGCCTCAGCCTCCCAAGTAGCTGGGATTACAGCCACGCACCACCACACCCGGCTGATTTTTGTGTTTTTAGTAGAGACAGGGTTTCACCATGTTTGCCAGGCAGGTCTCAAACTCCTGACCTCATGATCTGCCTGCCTTGGCCTCCCAAAGTGCTGGGATTACAGGCGTAAGCCATCTCGCCCGACCGGATAATAGTATTCTAAAGTTAAGAAACAAAGCCAGTGCAATGACTCATGCCTGTAATCCCAGCACTTCGGGATGCCAGGGTGGGCTGATCAGTTGAGCTCTGGTGTTTGAGACCAGTCTGGGCAACATGGCGAAACCCTGTCTCTACCAGAAATACAAAAATTAGCTAGGTGTGGTGGCGCATGCCTGTAGTCCCAGCTATTTGTGGGGCTGAGGCAGGAGGATCACTTGAGCCTGGGAGATTGAGAGGCTGCAGTCAGCCATATTTGTGCCACTGCACTCCAGCCTGGGCTACAGAGTGAGACCCTGTCTCAAAAAAAACATAAAAATAAATTGGCAATACATGTTTTTGCAGCTTTTTTGCCCTGGTAGAGAACAATCTTTTTTTTTTTTTTGAGATGGAGTTTCGCTCTGTCACCCAGGCTGGAGTGCAGTGGCGCATTCTCGGCTCACTGCAACTTCTGCCTCCCAGCTTGAAGTGATTCTCCTGCCTCAGCCTCCCAATTAACTGGGATTACAGGCATGTGCCACCACACCTGGCTAATTTTTGTATTGTAGTGGACACGGGGTTTCACCGTGTTGGCCAGGCTGGTCTCAAACTGCTGAGCTCAGGTTATCCACCCGTCTCAGCCTCACAAAGTGCCAGGATGACAGGTGTGAGCCACCGTGCCCGGCTGAGAACAATCTTACACCTAAATCTATTCAAGCAAGCCTACAAAATGAGTACATTCTTTGTGAGTTGACCTTGGACTAGGGAATTTATTACTACTCTTAAAGATCTACTAATCTGATGCACCAAGTTTCTGTTCAGTAGCTCAGAGTTAGGGTAACCCATTGTCCCAGTTTTAACACTGAAGCCTGCATCCCAGGAAACCCCTCAGTCCTAAAAATTGGGACAGTTGGTCACCCGACAGAGTGTTGCATTCTTTGATGGAAAGCCAGCATGCGAAGCCCTTTGTTGTTGTTGTTTTTTTTTTTTTTTTTTTTTTTTTTTTTTTGAGACCGAGTCTTGCTTTGTCACCCAGGCTGGAGTGGAGTGGCACAATCTCGGCTCACTGCAAGCTCCGCCTCCTGGGTTCACGCCATTCTTCTGCCTCAGCCTCCTGAGTAGCTGGGACTACAGGTGCCCGCCACCACACCCGGCTAATGTTTTGTATTTTTGGTAGAGACAGGGTTTCAGCGTGTTAGCCAGGATGGTCTCGATCTCTTGACCCCGTGATCCGCCTGCCTCGACCTCCCAAAGTGCTGGGATTATAGGGGGAGCCACCGCGCCCGGCCGCGAAGCCCTTTCATATTGTCTAATGAGTTTGCTTCCAAAATACAATTGGACAATTAGGAGCTAAGAAGAGTTTGCGAAAGAGAATCCAGCAAAAGTCAGCCAAGAAGGAGTGAAAAGGTCATTGACCCCACTGTCCCCTTTCTATGCATTTCCCTTGAGCAGTATTTGAGAACACAGTGGCTACGGTGATGGCTCTGCGCAGGGAGAAGATGTTCGTGGAAGAGGTGTCCACAGGCCAGGAGTGTGGAGTGGTGCTGGACAAGACCTGTTTCTATGCTGAGCAAGGAGGCCAGATCTATGACGAAGGCTACCTGGTGAAGGTGGATGACAGCAGTGAAGATGTGAGCCAACAGTTCTTCCTTGTTAGCCGAGGAGGGCCAGGCGTGGAGCCGGGGAGCTGCTTTTGCCCCACAGTGCTCCAGGCCTTGGGAGCAGACCTGACACACCTTTGGGTTGGGTTCCATGGTATTTCTGAAGCCGAGGGAGCTGTTGCTTGTACCTGTTGCTTTCCTGGCCATCGGGTACCCTCGTAGGAGTATTTTTGCAGCCAGGGTACAAGTTTCCTACAAGCTTTGCACATTAAAAAGGAGAGGCAGCTCTCTGAAGGGGAGATGTCCTTGTAGAAAACTCAGCCTCGAGCTCTGCCGCTGCTGAATGAGTTACTTTGTCTCCCTAGGCTTCAGGTTCCTTATGGAGGCTTTTAGATACTCAAAGATGCGGCTGGGTGTGGTGGCTCATGACTATAATCCTAGCACTTTGGGAGGCCAAGGCGGGTGGATCGCCTGAGGTCAGGAGTTCAAGACCAGCCTGGCCAACATGGTGAAACCCTGTCTCTACTGACATACAAAAATTAGCCAGGTATGGTGGTGGATGCCTGTAATCCCACCTGCTCGGGAAGCTGAGAGGGGAGAATCGCTTGAACCCAGGAGAGGGTGGTTGCAGTGAGCCGAGATTGCGCCACTGCACTCCAGCTTGGGTGGCTGAGCGAGACTCTGTCTCAAAAAAAAAAAAAAAATTCTAAGATGCTCCTTAATATTGGTTATGTCTGTGTGTGTGCACAAATATATTTAATTTTTTTTTTTTTTTTTTGAGATGGAGTCTCGCTCTGTAGCCAAGGCTGGAGTGCAGTGGCATGATCTTGGCTCACTGTAACCTCTGCCTTCCGGGTTCAAGCGATTCTCCTGCCTCTGCCTCCTGAGTAGGTGGAATTATAGGCACTTGCCTTCACGCCTGGCTAATTTTTGTATTTTTTTAGTAGAGATGGGATTTCACCATGTTGGCCAAGCTGGTCTCGAACTCCTGGCCTCAGGTGATCTACTCACCTGAGCCTCCCAAAGTGCTGGGATTACAGTCATGAGCCACTGCACCTGGCCTATTTAATCATATTTAATGATATTAAGGGAGTATGTGTGTGTGTGCAATTTACATATGTAAAGAGAAGTTATATACACGAGTTTATATTGAAAATATAAGAAAATTTGTATGTTTTTAAGGATTTATTTATTGGTCTCTTCCTTGACCCCTCTTAGAAAACAGAGTTTACAGTGAAGAATGCTCAGGTCCGAGGAGGGTATGTGCTACACATTGGAACCATCTACGGTGACCTGAAAGTGGGGGATCAGGTCTGGCTGTTTATTGATGAGGTGAGTTGGGTTACTGTGGCCCCCATTGGATCTGGTTAGTAATTATCTTCTCCTCTGGCTTTAAATTGTCCTGTCACTGTTGGGCCGGGTGTGGTGGCTCACACTTGTAATCCCAGCACTTTGGGAGGCCGAGGCGGGTGGATCATGAGGTCAGGAGATCGAGACCATCCTGGCTAACACGGTGAAACCCCGTCTCTACTAAAAATATAAAAAATGAGCTGGGCGTGGTGGCAGGCGCCTATAGTCCCAGCTACTCGGGAGGCTGAGGCAGGAGAATGGCGTGAACCCGGGAGGGGGAGCTTGCAGTGAGCCAAGATCCCGCCACTGCACACCAGCCTGGGCAACAGAGCGAGACTCCGCCTCAAAAAAAAAATTGTCCTGTCACTGTTATCACTCCCTAGTGTAAGTAGACCGCAGGGGTTAATTTAGGTGCATTTGGTGGATTGTGAGGGATGCAACTAAGAGTTAATCTATATGTTCCCAAGTCAGTGATTTCACCAGTGATTTCAGTTAAGATCCCGTGGACTTGTTTTCACGGATTGCTTTTCTAACGTCACCTACTTCTTTGGGAGCCAAGGATGCTGAAGAATGAAGAGGTAGGCTCTGGCATGTGACAGAGCTCCAGAGTAAGAGTAGCTTAAAACCAGGATAGCAGTGTATGTTCTAAAAAGCTCAAGCTGATACGGAGGCTCTGCCCCACAGTCAGAGGGCCTGGTTTCTCCTCACCTGTCACTCCACCTTCTTTCCTGGGGCATTGCCTTTGATTTCCTGGTTCAGAGGATAGCTATCAGATCCATTGTCTAGGCCAGGGGTTGGCAAACTTTGTGTAAATAACTGGATACTAAATATTTTTGGCTTTGCTGACCACATGTTCCTGGTGATGAGTACTCAGCTCTATAGTTGGAGTGTTCAAGCAGCCATTGACCATATGTAAATGAACAGGTGTGGCTGTGTTCCAATAAACCTGTTTATGGCTGGGCACAGTGGCTCATGCCTGTAATCCCGGCACTTTGGGAGGCCGAGGCGAGCAGATCACCTGAGGTCGGGAGTTCGAGACCAGCCTGACCAACATGGAGAAACCCTGTCTCTACTAAAAATACAAAATTAGCCGGGTGTGGTGGTGCATGCCTGTAATCCCAGCTACTCAGGAGGCTGAGGCAGGAGAATCGCTTGAACTCGGGAGATGGAGGCTGCAGTGAGCCGAGATCATGCCATAGCACTCCAGACTGGGCAACAAGAGCGAAACTCCTTATAAAAAAAAAAAACTGTTTATAAAAATTTATAAACACATACATTTGGGGAGGCTGAGGTGGGAGGATTGCTTGAGGCCAAGAGTTTGAGACCCAGCCTGGGCAACAACATGAGACCCCATCTCTACAAAAAAATAAAAAATATTAGTTGGGGGTAGTGGTGTGTGCCTGTAGTCCCAGCTACTTGGGAGGCTGAGGCAAGAGGATCACTTGAGCCCAGGAGTTTGAGGTGGCACTGAGCTACAATCGCGCCGCTGTACTCTATCCTGGGTGACAGAGCAAGACCCTGTCTCTAAAAATGAAAAGACAGATGACAGGCTAGATTTAGCCATCGGCCGTCATTTGGCAATTCCTGTTCTAGGCGGTGGAAAAGAAATGGGAGGACCTGCCCCATCCCTTTAATGGTAGACATCACTTCTGTTCAAAACCTTTTGACCCGAACTTAGTCACATGGACACACTTAGCCATAGGGAAGCTGGGAAATGTAACCTTTATTCTGCACAGCCATATTTCCAACTAAAAATTGTAGCACTCGGGGGAGCAGATAACGAGGAGATAACTAGCAGTCTATTACAGACCTCTCCATGAGCCCCTCTGCCCTTTCCAGCCCCGACGAAGACCCATCATGAGCAACCACACAGCTACGCACATTCTGAACTTCGCCCTGCGCTCAGTGCTTGGGGAAGCTGACCAGAAAGGCTCATTGGTTGCTCCTGACCGCCTCAGATTTGACTTTACTGCCAAGGGAGCCATGTCCACCCAACAGATCAAGAAGGCTGAAGAGATTGCTAATGAGATGATTGAGGCAGCCAAGGTAGGATGGGCGACGGCTGAATGCCCCCCCTCCCCACACCGTCACTGTCTGTCCACAGTCTTAGCAGTGCGGTGCTCTCACTCTGTTGTATCAGATTCGTCCTGCACGTAGATTTGCTTAAAGCAGGCTGGGCACGGTAGCTCACGCCTGTAATCCCAGCACTTTGGGAGGCCGAGGCGGGCGGATCACGAGGTCAGGAGATTGAGACCATCCTGGCTAACCCTGTCTCTACTAAAAATAGAAAAAATTAGCCGGGCGTGGTGGCGGGCACCTGTAGTCCCAGCTACTCAGGAGGCTGAGGCAGGAGAATGGTGTGAACCCGGGAGGTGGAGCTTGCAGTGAGCCGAGATTGCGCCATTGCACTCTAGCCTGGGAAACAGAGCGAGACTCCGTCTCAAAAAAAAAAAAAGTTTGTTTAAAGCAGTGATTCTCCATCTGTGCTTTTGCCGGGGGCAGTGGTGGTGGTTGGTGGAGGGGAGAGGGAGAGGCATTTGTCCCACCCCACCTTGGGAGAACCAGAGCTGTTCTAGTTAAGTCTGTTCACATATGAGATTTGGTCCACAGTTTAACAAAATAGTTGGAAATTCCCATACTGATGCCCTTGACTTTGCACGTGGCGTGTGATTGAGGAAGCTCATGGCACGTGCTAGGCCAAGCCAGGTTGGAACCCGAGTCCTGCCTGCAGGACCATGCTTTCCTGCCTCGTCGTACCGCACCTCCAGGGATCTCTTCCAGCTCTTTTCTGTCTTCTTGGTCTGGCAGGCCGTCTATACCCAGGATTGCCCCCTGGCAGCAGCGAAAGCCATCCAGGGCCTACGGGCTGTGTTTGATGAGACCTATCCTGACCCTGTGCGAGTCGTCTCCATTGGGGTCCCGGTGTCCGAGTTGCTGGATGACCCCTCTGGGCCTGCTGGCTCCCTGACTTCTGTTGAGTTCTGTGGGGGAACGTGAGTACTGCAGAGGGGCAGAGTAGACAGGTCATCTACCTTCATCCTCTGAGGATGTAGGTCTTAGGCTGGACCAACTCTTGTCTGTCTAAGGTTGAAGTGAAGTCCTCAGAAATGCCGTTGCTAAATAGCGTTCCCAAGAATCTCAGCATCCTAGCATGCTCATTAGATCCCTGTATCTGAAGGTAACATTTCCTGACGAAACATTCCCAGGAGGAAAAGGGGGAAAACATTGTATTCACATTACCACACAGTTGCTTGCTGTTGTTTGCTGGGCTGAAACTAGCAAGAAGGCTTGTGTGAATTTGGGATTCAGCAAGGCCTGGAGTGCTTGTTGAGCTCTTGATGTGGGCCTAGCCCTTCCCATTCCTGGTATCTCACCTAATTTCCTTTGACAGCTTGGGCGGCATCTGGGGAATGTAGCTCCATTGTCTCAGAGCCCCCGAGCAGGCCACGTGGTTGACTCAGCTCAGTTTGGCTTGGGATAGCCACTTCTGCCAATTTGGATTCCTCTGTATCTCTCTGGGCCTTTTTGGGAAGGTCATGGTGGCCTGGAAAGTTTCTGCTTCCAAATGAAGCCTTGTGAAAAGAATTGTGGTTTTTTTTGTTTGTTTTTTTGAAGTGGAGTCTTGCTCTGTCCCGCAGGGTGGAGTGTAGTGGCACAGTCTCGGCTCATTGCAACCTCTACCTCCTGGCTTCGATTCTCATGCCTCAGCCTCCCAAGTAGCTGGGACTATAGGCATGTGCCCCCATGCCCAGCCATGAAGAGAACATTCTTTTTTTTTTTTTGAGACGGAGTTTCATTGCCCAGGCTGGAGTGCAATGGCGCAATCTTGGCTAACTGCAACCTCCACCTCCAGGGTTCAAGCGAGTCTCCTGCCTCAGCCTCCTGAGTAGCTGGGACTACAGGCACACACCACCACGCCCAGCTAATTTTTTGTATTTTTAGTAGAGATGGGGTTTCACCCTGTTAGCCAGGATGGTCTCCATCTTCTGACCTCGTGAGCCACCCACCTCAGCCTCCCAAAGTGCTGGGATTACAGGTGTGAGCCACCGTGCCTGGCCTAATTTTGTATTTTTAGTAGAGAGGGGGTTTCTCCACGTTGGTCAGGCTGGTCTTGAACTCCTGATCTCAGGTGACCCACCCGCCTCAGCCTCCCAAAGTGCTGAGATTACAGGTGTGAGCCACCACGCCCGGCTGAAAAGAACATTCTTAATGTCATGGTTGAGACCCTCCAGGGTCTCCTGCAGGCCTCTGGCAGGCAGGGAGCAAGTAGGATGTGCAGAGAGTAGGATAGGGGCCTGGGGGATTGAGTTCAAGGCTTTTCTGCCCAGCTGAATTGGGCCTTCAAACGAGTCCCACTTTGCCTGATTACCTGTTTGCTCATACCCTTTAGACTACAGGAAACAGCTTTCAAAAACTTTATACCAAGGGTTGGGTATGTTGCCTCATGCCTTTAATCCCAGCACTTAGGGAGGCTGAGGCAGGCAGATCACTTGAGGTCAGGAGTTCAAGACCAGCCTGTGCAACATGGTGAAAACCTGTCTGTACTAAAAATACAAAAATTAGGAGTGGTGGCGGGCACCTGTATCCAAGCTACTTGGGTGGCTGAGGCAAGAGAATCATTTGAAACTGGGAGGCAGAGGTTGTGGTGAGCCAAGATCACACCATTGCACTCCAGCCTGAACAACAGAACAGGACTCTGTCTCAAAACAAACAAACAAAAAAAACTATACTATCTTCAAAGAATGAGGATGAATTAATGAACATTTGAGGTTCTCTGAACTGAGAAATAAAGCCTGTTTAAGGGGTTGTGGTAAGATTTTAAAAGTAATCCTCCAAAATTGTCACCTAGTGAGCAGAATACAAAAATGGAGCTTAAGTTCCACTACAAGACCAAAACTGTCACGTAGAGCCTAAGGGTAAGACTGTATTGGATATTAGGGACCACAAAGCACTTTCATGTTTACCTCATTTGATTTTCACAGCAACTGTGTGGGGAGAATCATCCCCATTTGAGAACTGAGAACACTCAGGCTCAGCGAGCTGGTGTCCCGCTTGGTGTCAGAATACTCTCAAGCCCAGGCTTTCCCTGACTGTCAACCCATTCCTGCTTCTCTTGTCCGCTAGTGTGACCCCCCAGCCAAGGGCTGCCAGGGCCTCTTTCACTATGGACTTTGTGTTCTGCCATTCAGGCACCTGCGGAACTCGAGTCATGCAGGAGCTTTTGTGATCGTGACGGAAGAAGCCATTGCCAAGGGTATCCGGAGGATTGTGGCTGTCACAGGTGCCGAGGCCCAGAAGGTGAGCAGGTCAGGCTGGTTTGTGGCTTATCTGAAGAAGGCAAGAGGAGCCCAGTCTGCGAATCCATAGAGCAAACACTGCTCTGCGTGGCTGCTGCAGTCAGAGTGAAAGTACAGGCTGGGCCACTCCCCCTGCCCCAGTGTCCTACCCCTGAGTGGCAGAAGAAACCTGCCACCACACAAGATCTCCTAGCTTTCCTATGTTTAGTCTTTTAAAATATATGTGAATCAGGCCGGACGCAGTGGCTCACGCCTGTAATCCCAGCACTTTGGGAGGCCGAGGCGGGTGGATCACTAGGTCAAGAGTTCGAGACCAGCCTGACCAACATACTGAAACCCTGTCTCTACTAAAAATACAAAAATTAGCTGGGTGTAGTGGCGCGCGTCTGTAATCCCAGCTACTTGGGAGGCTGGGGCAGGAGAATCACTTGAACCTGGGAGGCAGAGGTTGCAGTGAGCCGAGATCGCACCACTGCGTTCCAGCTTGGGTGACGGGGCGAGACTCCGTCTCCAAAAAAAAAAAAAAAAAAAAAATGTGAATCTGGCCATCTACCCCCTCCTGTCTCCATGTGGAGGAGGGTAAGACATAGATTCGCTGTGGCATCGGGGCCCCCAGCGCTGATCCATGTACTCCTAGGGGCGTGCTTAGTCTGAGGCCGTGCAGTAGAGGATGGGTGCTCTTTCATGGGAACTGGTGTGTCTGACTTGTGCTAAAGCCCCAGGGGTGGCCACTTCCTGGGGGAAGGGGCTCCTGATTCTCGAGCTTGATCACCCCTGAGTCTGAGTTGGGTGCAGCCTTTGCCAATGGGCCTGTGAGCACTGTGCTCCTTGCTGGGGCCTGGGGCTGCCAGCACCTACTCCCCACAGACACTTTTGGGGTGTTGGGGTATGTTGCTGCAAGGCCTACCGCCGGGGCTTCCGCAGCTGCTCAGACACAGGATAGTGAGTCTGACTCAGACCTCCTGCTTGGGGTTGACCCGGTGTCCCCTCCCAGGCCCTCAGGAAAGCAGAGAGCTTGAAGAAATGTCTCTCTGTCATGGAAGCCAAAGTGAAGGCTCAGACTGCTCCAAACAAGGATGTGCAGAGGGAGATCGCTGACCTTGGAGAGGTAGGGGCGGCTTCCCTCCCTCCGTCCTCAGGGCCTGGTGCATGAAACATGCCCCGTCTTCAGGAAATCATCTGTAGTCAGTCAGGCCCTGGTTCTTGGTGGAATGGGCCTTTGGGCTGACTTCTGTTGTCCTGTAGCCTTGTAGCAGGGACCCCATGGATCCTGTCCTTGGACCCTGGACATTCCCTGCTGCTCCCAGTGCTGCTAGCAGGAGAGCTCTTCCCAAGCATGTATGGGCACTGGGGTGGAGGGATTTGGGGAATGGGCTAAGGCTGGCCCCTGCTTCCAAGCCTGCCTGGTATTTATTTGCATTTCAAGCTGCCAGGAAGCTTATCACAGGCTGTTCCCAGCCTGGTAAGGACCGGGCCTGATTTGGGAGCCCAGCTTTCTGCTGCTCCTTTCTCTCTAGCCCTGCTTGTTTCACCTGCCACAGCTGCTCCTAAAGGGACTGGTCTCAAAGCTTTCCTTGCTTTCCTTTCCAGGACACTAGTCAGGGAGGACTTGGGTTCGGGTGGGGTGGGCTGGACCCTGACATCCCAGCAAGTTGTGGCCCAGATTGAGATGGTCGTCTATTGGTTCCAGGCCCTGGCCACTGCAGTCATCCCCCAGTGGCAGAAGGATGAATTGCGGGAGACTCTCAAATCCCTAAAGAAGGTCATGGATGACTTGGACCGAGCCAGCAAAGCCGATGTCCAGAAACGAGTGAGTCCTGGCAGCACCAGTGGCCAGAGTGTTTCCTAGGCAAAGGCTGGCAGAACAGCCAGGGGTTCGGGGCCTGGGCTTTTGGTCTGAGCTGCTGTTCTGGACTTTTTTCTTGCAGGTGTTAGAGAAGACGAAGCAGTTCATCGACAGCAACCCCAACCAGCCTCTTGTCATCCTGGAGATGGAGAGCGGCGCCTCAGCCAAGGCAACCCAGGGGCCAGGGTCCCCTCCCCTAGGGCTCATCAGCTCTCTGGTGGCTGACATGTGGCCTCTGTGGCTCTGAGCGAAGTGGTTGCCTAAGGGCCCACGGTCTGGGATTGAGATTGGGAGGAGCAGCAGCTCCCTGCATGTGGGAGGCATACCTGGGCCAGGGTAGGGGCAGGGCCCGGCGCTGGGGTCCTCCCCACAGGCCCTGGGCACAGCCCCTGCTCTGGGAAGGGGTAGGGGTGGGTGGCAGGCCTTCTGAGGGCTGCAAATGCTCACACTAGTGAGGGTCCCTGCTCCAGCACCGTGGCCTGAGCCAGGTCCTCCCCACAGGCCCTGAATGAAGCCTTGAAGCTCTTCAAGATGCACTCCCCTCAGACTTCTGCCATGCTCTTCACGGTGGACAATGAGGCTGGCAAGATCACGTGCCTGTGTCAAGTTCCCCAGGTCAGCACCACCTCGCACCAGTGGGAAGTGTTAGGTCTTAAGGTTGTTGGCTGAGGCCTGTGTGTGTACAGCCTGCATTCGAAACAGCCTTTCTGCCCACCGGTTGGTTACCTTTGCCAGTACCCCTTACCCAGGCCTTCTTATTGGTGAAGACATCTGGTTGATACCTGGCTTTGCCACTCTGTCCTGTCCTGGCAGTGGCCATGGCCGCCCCCTGTACCAGCCGTAAAGTCTGTCTCGGCCTCCAGCAGTATCACCCAGGGCAAGGAGTGGGTGATGGCTCCTCCATCCTTTCTTTCCCTGCATTCCTCCCTCAATCCCATCTTCTGTGCTGACTCCCCCTTCCCTTCCTGTCTTCTAGAATGCAGCCAATCGGGGCTTAAAAGCCAGCGAGTGGGTGCAGCAGGTGTCAGGCTTGATGGACGGTAAAGGTGGTGGCAAGGATGTGTCTGCACAGGCCACAGGCAAGAACGTTGGCTGCCTGCAGGAGGCGCTGCAGCTGGCCACTTCCTTCGCCCAGCTGCGCCTCGGGGATGTAAAGAACTGAGTGGGGAAGGAGGAGGCTCCCACTGGATCCATCCGTCCAGCCAAGAGCTCTTCATCTGCTACAAGAACATTTGAATCTTGGGACCTTTAAAGAGCCCCTCCTAACCCAGCAGTAACTGGAACACACTTGGGAGCAGTCCTATGTCTCAGTGCCCCTTAAATTTCTGCCCTGAGCCCTCCACGTCAGTGCCATCGGTCTAGAACCACTAACCCCGCATTGCTGTTGATCGTCACGCTCGCATCTATAGATAACGGCTCTCCAGACCTGAGCTTTCCGCGTCAGCAAGTAGGAATCGTTTTTGCTGCAGAGAATAAAAGGACCACGTGCAATACTTAATGCCGCATGATCTCTATCCCTCTTCCCAATAGGGGCTGGCTCTTTTGACAGCCTTTGGCGTCTGTAGAATAAATGCTGTGGCTCCTGCTGGCTGCTGTGGTGTTCACCTAGTCCAGCCCCAGAACCCAAAATTTTGGGAACAGCCCCTAGGGCTGCCTCAAACGTCTGTGGAGGTGGAGGCCAAATAGGTGGGGTGACTTGGAGCAAGGCGTTCATAATTCAGTAGATGAGGGGTGGAGGTAGTTGGAAGCAGAGAAGCCTTTCTTGGAGCTGCTCTCCCCCCTCCCTTCCAGCAAGATGGATGGATCCGGCTACCCTGCACAACTGGGACCGGGCCGTTCTCCCTCCGGGCCTCCAGGGGCGCTGTAGTGCCTCCCGCCGCTCTCTCGACAGCCCATGCGCAGCCGCGCGTCTTTAAACAACGGAAGAACCAGTGGATGCGGCAGGGCGTTGGGCGGAAGGGGTTCGCACGCCAAGAACCGCCATGCCTGGGGATCACCGCCGCATCCGCGGCCCTGAAGAATCGCAGCCGCCGCAGCTGTACGCGGCCGACGAGGAGGAGGCGCCCGGCACCCGCGACCCAACGCGGCTACGGCCCGTGTACGCGCGCGCCGGGCTGCTGAGCCAGGCCAAGGGCTCGGCCTACCTGGAGGCGGGAGGCACCAAGGTGCTGTGTGCCGTGTCGGGCCCGCGACAGGCCGAGGGCGGCGAGCGCGGCGGCGGCCCGGCCGGAGCAGGCGGCGAGGCCCCGGCCGCGCTGCGCGGTCGCCTGCTCTGCGACTTCCGCCGCGCACCCTTCGCGGGCCGCCGGCGCCGCGCTCCCCCGGGCGGCTGCGAGGAGCGTGAGCTGGCGCTGGCGCTGCAGGAGGCGCTGGAGCCGGCTGTGCGCCTGGGCCGCTACCCGCGCGCGCAGCTCGAGGTGTCGGCGCTGCTGCTGGAGGACGGTGGCTCGGCCCTGGCCGCCGCGCTCACCGCCGCCGCGCTCGCCCTGGCCGACGCGGGCGTGGAGATGTACGACCTGGTGGTGGGCTGCGGCCTCAGCCTCGCGCCGGGGCCCGCGCCCACCTGGCTCCTGGACCCCACGCGGCTCGAGGAAGAGCGCGCCGCCGCCGGCCTCACCGTGGCGCTCATGCCTGTGCTGAATCAGGTGGCCGGGCTGCTGGGCAGCGGCGAGGGCGGCCTGACAGAGAGCTGGGCGGAGGCCGTACGCCTGGGCCTCGAGGGCTGCCAGCGCCTCTACCCCGTGCTGCAGCAGAGCCTGGTGCGGGCCGCCCGCCGCAGGGGCGCCGCCGCCCAGCCCTGAACCAGAAGCCTGAGCAACTACGGACGCAAGCCGAGGACCGTGCTGCCGCCGTCCACGAAAAGACCCGCGCCATCGGCCTCCAGTTTGCGTCGAGAATTCCTGGAAGGGCCCTGATATGACTGTGGTTGGACTGACCTGACTGCCAGATGGTGGGACTTGGTCTGGAGCAGGGACTACTTGGAATGATAAAGGCAAAACTCAACAGCCCCTGGAGCTGCGCTTGTGGTGGAGCTGGACCCTGAAATTACCTGGACCTTTTTTTTAGAGACAGGGTTTCTTTCTGCAGTCTCAAACTCCTAGCCTTGATTGATCCTCCTGCCTTGGCCTCCCAAAGTGCTGGGACTACAGGTGCATGCAACCACACCTGGCTAATTTTCTTTTCTTCTTTCTTTCTTTTTTTTTTTTTTTTTTTTTTGATGGAGTCTTGTTCTGTTGCCCAGGCTGGAGTGCAATGGTGCAATCTTGGCTCACTGCAACCTCTGCCTCCTGGGTTCAATCCATTCTCCTGCCTCAGCCTCCCAAGTAGCTGGGATTACAGGCACATGCCTCCATACCGGGCTAATTTTTGTATTTTTAGTAGAGATGGGGTTTCGCCATGTGGGCCAGGCTGTTCTCGAATGCCTGACCTCAGGTGATCCACCCGCCTTGGCCTCCCAAAGTGCTGGAATTACAGGTGTGAGCCACTGTGCCCAGCTGAGTAAATTTCTTGATTGCACAGAATGTACGGTGATATTGGCGGACTTAAGGACATCGAATTGTTTATCAGGAATAAAGTATTATGTGTGTTTTCTGCGGCCCTGGATAATGCTGTAGCATTCAGGGTCGATTGAGTAAAAAAAATGTAGAGATGGTTTCCTGTTTGTTTTTGCTTCTAGTTTTCATTCATTTGCTATTTATTCTCTTCTGGCTTTGCTTGTGTATGCATATATATAAAACCATTATTATTATTATTATTATTTTTAGTTTCTAGTGGAAGGCTTTTATTTGGTTCTGTGAATAGTCATTTTGTTTCCTAAGAACTTCCAGCAAGTTGTATTCATTCCATTCATCTAGAATTCCTAGGCTGCCTTTGTCGGGCCTGCAGGTATTAATGGAGAATAGCAGCTTTTTATTTTTTTATATTTATTTTTTGAGACAGAGTCTCACTCTGTTGCCCAGGCTGGAGTGCAATGGCGCGATCTCAGCTCACTGCAACCTCCGCCTCAGAGGTTCAAGTGATTCTCCTGCCTCAGCCTCTGGAATAGCTGGGACTACAGGCACCTGCCACCACACCCAGCTAACTTTTTGTATTTTTAGAGAAGATGGGGTTTCATCATGTTGGCCAAGCTGGTCTCAAACTCCTGATCTCAGTGATCCATCTGCCTCAGCCTCCCAAAGTTATAAGATTTTTTTCCTCTGGTTTTTAGTAAATGTTTTTTTTGAGATTGCTTAGCACCAGAATGATTTGCAAATTTGAAAATAGGAACTCCACTAGGAATGCCGGATAGAAGAGTGCTTCACATTTGTAGAGGGAGACAAGAACTAAATATCACGACGTCTTTCTGAGCCTTTTGGTTTGCTAACGTGCCCCAAATTCTTATTCCAAACGGTATAAGATAATTATGTGTAAATGAATACCAGCTCTACTTAGTTTTATTTCATATTTGTGTATCTGAATATATTAAAATATCTTTTTTTTTTTTTTGATGCGGAGTCTTGCTCTGTTGTCCAGCCTGGAGTGCAGTGGCATGATCTCGGCTCACTGCAACCTCTGCCTCCCAGGTTCAAGCGATTCTCCTGCCTCAGCCTCCTAAGTAGCTGGTATTACAGGAGTGTGCCATTAGCCTGGCTAATTTTTGTATTTTTAGTAGAGATGGATTTTCATTGTGTTGGCCATGCTGGTCTTGAACTCCTGACCTCAAGTGATCCTCCTGCCTTGGCCTCCCAAAGTACTGTGATTACTATCATGAGCCACCACACCTGGCCTAAAAGATCATTGATTTAGTTTTGAGTAAGATTTTAAGTGATTAAATTATGGTATTGTTGTGTCTGGAATATCTGATATTAGGGTTTTTTTTTTTTTTTTTTACAGTTTTTGATATGCTTTATTTTGGGTATGTAGTTTACAAAATATAAAGGAAATATAAGGAGTGTTCTCTTTTTTTTTTAAATAAAAAGTGTATTTTTAACTGGGCATGGTGGCTCACTCCTGTAACCCCAGCACTGTGGGAGGCTGAGGCTGGTGAATCGCCTGAGTCCAGGAGTTTGAGACCAGCCTGGGCAACAAGGTGAAACCCTGTTTCTATCAAAAAAAAAAAAAAAAAAAAAAAAGGAAAAAAAATAAGTCAGGCATGGTGGTATGCACCTGTAGTCCCAGCTACTTGAAGGCTGAGGCAGGAGGATCGCTTGTGCCTGGGAGGTTGAAGCTACAGTGAGCTATGGTCAAGCTACTGCACTCCATTATAGGCAACCCTATCTCAAAAAAGCAAAGCAAAACAAAACATTTTTCCCCTTGATTATAGAGGTTTGAGAAAAATTTGAGGGAAGATTCAGAAAATTACCTGTAACTGAACAGAATGCCACCAGCTTGGGCTTATTCTGCATGCATAATTATGAACATTTTCCCAGCTCTTGTGAAAATTCTCACATTCATAGAAAGATAGATGCACCAGTAAAATAAATACCTGTAAATACGATAATAATTTCATAATAATATGCTTCACCTAGATTTACCAGTTACTAATATTTTGCCAGTTTTATTTTCTCACACACTTTTGTTGAGCATCTGAAAACCATACACATGATGACAGTTCAACCCATAATGTTTTAGTTTGCATCTCCCAAGAATAAGGTTTTTCTTCTGTATAACAAGAATATTGTAATCATACCTAAGAAAATGAATTTTATTACATATGTGTTCTATATTCAAATTTCTGTAATTACCCCTAAGATGTCTTTTAAATGATTTTTAGCATTGATAGTCTGTGCCTGTGTAGATTATAACATTGGCTATTGCAAAATAATGGTTTTCTTTTTCTCTTTTTTTTTGAGACGAAATCTTGCTCTATTGTCCAAGCTGGAGGGCAGTGGCACAATCTCGGCTCACTGCAACCTCCGCCTCCCAGGTTCAAGCAGTTCTCATGCTTCACCCTCCTGAGTAGCTGGGATTACAGGCAGGTGCCACTGTGCTCTGCTAATTTTTATATTTTTAGTAGAGACGGAGTTTCATCGAGCTGGCCAGACTGGTCTTGAACTCCTGACCTCAAGTGATCCACCTGCCTCGTCCTCCCAAAGTGCTGGGGTTACAGGTGTGAGCCACTGCACCCAGCCTAAAATGATGGTTTTCTGATTCTAGCATTTCTTTTATAAGATTGCTATGTAAAGCACAGCTTTTCTTTTTTTAGGGAAAAATGTCTTTTAACAGCTGCAAAATAAATATTCTTTCAATGGAATGACAATTATTATTTTTGCCATATATTTATTTTAAAAATTTATGTATAATGGTAACCTGAGCCTGCATGTTATTCATGTGTGGTGCCATACTGATCTTTAATTTTAATGTGAAGCAAGTACTAATATAGTAAAGCATAAATTATATAAAATTTGCTTTATATTTTGGATTGCAAATTAATTGCTGTACTTTATAGAAAAGTTTCCCAAATCCGTTTTACTTTTTTGTATTTGAAATTTAATCACAGGTGGAATCTTAAAGAGAGCATTTAGGGATATTGTAAACAGATGTTATTAAGGACTAATGTTAACAAACATTGAAGAAGAGAAAACAGTATTTGTTTTTAGCTTAACATCTTAGTGGAGTGAAATATTTTCAGTATATTTATTTTATTTATTTATTAATTATTTTTTTTTTTGAGATGGAGTCTGGCTGTATTGTCCAGGCTGGAGTGCAGCGGTGCAATCTCAGCTCACTGCAACCTCTGCCTCCTGGGTTCAAGCGATTCTTGTGTCTCAGCCTCCCGAGTAGTTGGGATTTACAAGTCAATTTTTTTTTTAACTAAAACTACAGAATCTATTTTTCTTGGTCTCATACTCAGTTTTTTATGTAGTCACTTAGTAAATAACCTAATTTGCTTGTTTTCTCCACACTAATTTTAGGGTGAATTCCTCATTTCGCTTTTCAGATCATGGGGTGAGGGGGATGGTTGTGTGTGTGAGGAACTGAGGAATCAGATGGAAAACAATGCCTCTGCTCCTTTGAGTATAATCAGTGATATTTGAGGTTCCAGGGTTAAATGCTGCATTTTTATTTCTGACGTTCGTACCTTAAAATATTTGAAGAAAATAAACTATTTCATTGTTGTCAGAAATGTAGTTCTTTTATTTTCCTGCCCCTCTCCCCTTTCTAAGTTTCTAGAATGTTGAGTAGGTAGAACATAGATGCTCCTTTTAGGATCTTTTGCTGTGGAATGGTCCACAGGTGAATGGCAGTAATATCTTAAAATGATTGGCCCCCTCTCTCTTTGTTTCCATCAAGGATACAGTTGATATATTAGTTGGATGGCATATAGATCATACTCAGAAACCTTCGCTCACGCAGCAGGTATCTGGTAAGTCTTGCAGCCTATACCAGTTATTTAAATACTGTCGGGGAGGAGCAGTGGTCCCCCAGTGACCATCTATCAATAACATTTCTTTAATAATGCAAGAAAACTAATTCAGAGAAATGTTATATTGTAAATGAACATTACTTGTTAGCTAAATATATATTTTCAGAAGAAATTACTAGTAGGTGGGTAGAATAAGTACAGACAGGACTTACCCAAGTTATTTGTAGTTTGTACTGGTAGGAAAAAGTATATGGTAAGAATATATTGCAGTGGCAATACCCTGAAGTGGACAATGGAAGATCCAAGTTATTTGTAACATTTTATTGTTTTTCTGGTTATTTTTTTAAAAAAGGAAATAGGGTTAATTTGGAGAATTGTCATAAATGAGAAATGGTTTTGTTTCCCATTTTTTTGGAGTTAAGTGAATGACTAGCATGGCTCATTTGCACATTTCAGCTTGTTTCAAGTGTCATAGTTTCTCGTAACTTACTTGGTGTAATAAACTTTTGAAAATAGGATATTCAGGTGATAGTGGTCTGTTTCATTTTCACTGAGGAGATAAGTATACACCTTTAATGGTTAGATGTGGCCCTGGGATTAGCCAGGCCAATGGTAGATTGTGGCATTTTAGTGTTAAGTCATGTGTAGTGACAATATAGATAGGAAATTTACTGAAAAAGTAAGGAAATAACATTTACATGTTAATTTTTGCAGAAATTAAAGAGGTATTAATTAAAGAGGTATTGGTTAATCGTGATCAGCATGTTTAGCAGTCTTAATTTTATGATATAGGACATGTTTTAGGGTATGCTGCTTGAAAACCGGATACTTTTTAAAACAAGCCTCTTATATTTTTTTAATTTGGATTTTTTGGTGTTTTTTCTCCCCCCACCCTTTCACAATTTCTTATACGATTCCAAGGGTGGTTGCAGAGTTTGGAGCCATTTTGGGTAGCTGATCTTGCATTTTCTACGACTCTTCTTGGTCATTTTCTAGAAGACATGGAAGCATATGCTGAGGTGAGTATATAGAAAGCTGTTTCTTAAAATTTTGGTTAAGAAAAAATCTTAAATTGTGCTAGATTTATTTTAAAATGGCTCAGACCTCCTGACATTTAAGCAGAAATTACAAGCCCATTGCAATATTTTGAAAAAAAAATTTTTTTTTGAGACGGAGTCTCACTCTGTCACTCAGGCTGGAGTGCAATGGCACGATCTCAGCTCACTGCAACCTCCACCTCCTGGGTTCAAATGATTCTCCTGCCTCAGCCTCCTGAGTAGCTGGAATTACAGGTGCCCGCCACTATGCCCAGCTAATTTTTGTATTTTTAGTAGAGACGGGGTTTCACCATGTTGGCCAGGCTGGTCTCAAACTCCTGACCACTGGTGATCCACCCGCGTCGGCCTCCCAAATGCTGGGATTATAGGCATGAGCCCCCGTGCTCAGTCAGTATTTTAAACATTTATTTCAGATGTATTTAAGTTACCAGGAGAATTACTGGAGAGACTAAAAGAAACGTTGCAAGCTTCGTATTTCGCAAAGCTTTACATACTCTTGGTAGCTGGTATTTTTCTAAAGACATTTTTTGTTATTTATTTTTATTTTTTGTTCCCAGTCTTCAGAGTCTTAAAGCAAATTGATGTTGTGTTATAAAAAAACACAAAACACCAAAAGCTCCTAAAGATTTTCCTCTTACATATGTACGGGAGATCTGAATCGTACTTTGGAGGACAGGCCTTGGCTTCAGCCAGCTTTTGTGGCTGTACGAATATAGCATAGGAGCTTTAAGAGCACTGCTGAAGCCTCTGTTACTGGTACTTGGCTTTTCTGGCCCCACTGTCATGGCTTAACTCTGTGCTATCTCTTATCTGAATCTCTTTGTGTTTCTCCCCTATTCAGATCAACCAATCAAGGCTCCCATAAAGATTTTGGCCTCATCTTGTTTTTATCATCTTTGCTGCTTGTAGTCAACAGGAATTCAGTACCTTTAGCTGTACTGATGTGTTTACTCTTTCCTAGAAAAGCAAGGAAATGTTTTGCTTCTGTGTTGTTTTTTCTTTGCCCCCACACCTAGAATGTCTTTTTTCACAGCCCACGTTTAAAGCTGATCTACCTCTCATAAGCCACACATTCTAGTTTGTAGAGATGCTTCCCCTTGTTATCCTTAAGATCTCATTCTCTTCTGTTATTTTGGTGCTTAATTTTAGGTAAATGTATAGATTGGTTCTAGTATCCTAGTTTTTGCGAATCTTGTCCTTTTCATATATCGTACTTCTTCAGTTACACATCTGTAGACCAGGTCTTGTAATCTCCCTTTGCTCTTCATGTGCATGCTCTTGGTTTGGAGGACTTACTGTTGAGCTGAGTGGCTCAAAGAATACCTAGAATGAGATTTTTAGCCAAAAACTAATTCAGGAGTGGCAAAAGCTTCCGTCTTCATTTATACCTACATATAACTAGAGCATATGTGCTAGAATTTATTTTTCCCCAACAGCTTTCTGAGTTGATTTAAGAGATTATTTCCTTAATTTGTTGTCTATTGGGTTTAATGTTGGCTTTTTGAAATAATTAGGTAAAACCCATTTTTATATTCAGAGTCATGAATATTCTCATGGGCCACAGTTCTCTTTCTAAAAGCCTAAAAATCTATTCTAAAATGAATTGATTGAAATATTTTAGAGTTTTTTTTTTTTTAAACAATGTACTACTTATTAAGAATGCTGTGAATTCACATCTAGGACCTCAGCCATGTGGCCTCTGGGGAATCAGTGGATGAAGACGTCCCTCCTCCATCAGTGTCATTACCAAAGCTGACTGCGCTTCTCCGGGTATTTAGTACTGTGGTGAGGAGCATTGGGGAACGCTTCAGCCCAATTCGGGTCCTCCGATTACTGAGGCATACGTAACAGATGTAAGTGCTTTTGGGCATTTGAAGTGTCATTCAAAAATAAAATTGTTTTACATTGTAAATGCTTCTCTTTACCAGGTGAACTGTTATTAATCCTTCATTTGTTTAGCATGTATGTATGTATGTGTATATGTATATATTGTCTGACTGCTTTCTTAAATAACCAGAAAAGCAGGGAATCCTTTTATATCTCATCCTCCTTTCATCCAACTTCCCTACCCTCCCATGACAAAAGGCCACTCTGAATTTTTAAATCTTATTCTTTCATTTTTAAATAATATTTCTTATAATTTTACTTTTAAATTATTGGGTTTCCTTTTAGTTTTTCAACATATTACGAATAGCACACTATAGGAGAAGCCTCAGAAAGTAATCTTCTCTGAGCATAAGATGGAACTCATATGAAAACTTGTATATCTTTATATTCTTTGATAGCCTGATATCAAAGAACATAAACAAATTAAAAATGAGGTAGATAGATTGCCACACTTCAGCAGCCTCAAACATTAGCTGCACTGTATATAGCACATCCAATGAGGGTTCAGTGGAAAAGACACAAGAAATGAACCCCAGGCATTGTACTCGGCTGTGAATAAGGAGAAAGAAGCATGTGTGATACAGTCATAAAAAATTTAATCTAACTGATGAAAATTTTACCGTTAGGATAAAACTTGCTTTTAGGAGCATATACTTTTGCTGAACATGTTGCTAAATAAAATAGGATATTGATTATATAGTAAGTTGTGTACTTGAGCAGAAATGTCAGAACTTAAAGATAAATGAAACCAGCATATCGGTATTTTAAACCAATATGGTTTCAAAATGGTTTAATATCTTTGCTTCATTTTTAATGTCTAAAAGGTGGTTGTTTGAAGACTGTACAGAGTTGAAATAAAAAGCTGTTAATTCAGACATAAAATAAAAGGGACATAATTTATAGGATAGGTGTATATTGATTTATGAGGATCTTTTAGGCCTTTGAGAATGGTAGAATGGTGGGGTTTTTATTTTTTTATTTTATTTTTATTTATTTTTGGAGCTGGAGCCTCACTCTCTCACCCAGGCTGGAGTGTAGTAGTGCAATCATAGCTCACTGTAGTCTTGAACTCTTGGGCCCAGGTGAACTTCCCACCTCACTCAGCCCTACAAGCGGGTGTCACCATACCCAGCTCTTTTTTTTTTCTTTTTAAAGTGGGGTGGTGCCATCACGACTCAGTGCAGCCTCTATCTCTTGGGCTCAAGTGATCCTCCCACCATAGCTCCTGCTAATTTTTTATTTTTGTAGAGATGGCGTCTCAGTGTTTCCCAGGCTGGTCTTGAACTTTTGGCCTCAAGCAGTCTTCCCACCTCAGCCTCCCAAAGTGTTGGGATTATAGACATGAGCCACTGGTCTCTGTTGCCCAGGCTGGAGTGCAGTGGCACGATCTTGGCTCACTGCAGCCTTGACTTCCCAGGCTTAAGTGATCCTCCCACCTCAGCCTCTCAAGTAGTTGGTGGGACTACTGGTGTGAGCCACCACGCCCAACCAATTTAAAAACAAATTTGGTAGAGATGAGGTGTTGTTATGTTGACATGGCTGGTCTTAAACTCCTGGACTCAAGAGAACCTTCCAGCTAATCCTCTCAAAGTGCTAGGATGATAGATGTGAGTCACTATGCCCAACCTCCAAGGATACTTTTAATGAAAATTATGGGTAGACTAAATAAAATCCTGTATGTATTGGTTGTTAAATATTATAGAAGTATTTTTTAACATTTGCTCTGTTTTCTCCCCTATTTTATTAGAAATTTAGTACACAATTATTGGCCATTATAGTTAAGTGGGGGATTTTGTTTGTGTGTGTATTGGAAATCATATGATTTTTGAAGATACTATGTGGTAAGCATGAGAGTGCTTATCTTTCAAAAGAGACCATCAGTAGATAGAAAGTTTAATAAGCTTAAAGTGACTTGTATGTTCAGTTTTGAAAGATTGATTCCCAAAAGCCCAAGAGCTAGCTTGTAGTATGTGTGGGCAGGCTATTCCCATGCTGTCAATACCATTACTGTCGTGGTGTATTTCATGATAAAGATTCTGAGCTTCAGCCATTTAGTGACATTGGGAGAAACGAAGTTGGGTATATGGGAAATAGAGGATGGCAGATTCCATTTCCTGTCATAGTAGCACTTTAGGATTTTTTAGCCAAGATCATGTTTACATATTGTAGTAAAGGTATCATTATTCAGCTACTGAGAACTAGAATATTAAGAGACTGCTGGCAAGGCAAGCAGTTAATTTTCAGTTGAAATTGCATTAAATAAAAAGTATTTCCTTGCTTTGTGGAAGCACGTGAATTTTTTTAAAAAGCTGCTTGTTTTCCCCATTTACAGATTCTGTACAGAGTAATGAGATGTGTGACGGCTGCAAACCAGGTGTTTTTTTCTGAGGCTGTGTTGACAGCTGCTAATGAGTGTGTTGGTGTTTTGCTCGGCAGCTTGGATCCTAGCATGACTATACATTGTGACATGGTCATTACATATGGATTAGACCAACTGGAGAATTGCCAGACTTGTGGTACCGATTATATCATCTCAGTCTTGAATTTACTCATGCTGGTATGTGAATTATTCTTTTCCTTTTTAATGTGTTGGTTTATTCAGGCCCTTAAATCGATATGTAAGAAATTAAGGGCTTTGTCTGGGTATGGTGGCTTATGCTTGTAATCCCAGCACTTTGGGAGGCCAAAGCAGAAGGATTGCTGGCATCCAGGAATTCTGGCACAGCTTGGGCAATGTAGTGAGACCCCATCTGTACAAAAAGTCAAAAATTAGCTTGGTGTAGTGGTGTGCACCTGCAGTCCTAGCTACTCGGGAGGCTGAGGGAGGAGGATCGATTAAGCCCAGGAACTTGAGGTTGAAGTGAGCTCTGATTGTGCCACTGCACTCAGCCAAGGTGACAAAAAAGGCCCTGTCTCCAAAAAAGAAAAAACATAAGGGCTTTGCTTTATTATATTATTTTTTTAGAGTACATTCATCAGTCTTATAATCTATGCCTTCATTTTAGTGTCTATTTACTTTTATTTTTAATGCAATTTTTTTTTGAGACAGGGTCTCACTCTGTTGCACAAGATGAAGTGCAGTGGCATGATTTTGGCTCACTGTAGCCTTGACCTCTTGGGTTCAGGTGATCCTCCCACCTCAGCCCCCCAGGTAGCTAGGACTACAGGCGTGCACCACCACACCTGGCTAATTTTTTATATTATTTTGTAGAGATGGAGTTTTGCCATGTTGCCCAGGCTGGTCTTGAATTCTTGGGCTCAAGAAATCCACCTGCCTTGGCCTCCCAAAGTACTGGGATTATAGGCATGAGCCACTCTGCCAGGCCTCTATTTTTAGTGGTTGATAGCTAGTCTCAGTGTAGCTTTACTCGTTTTTTCTGAGGAAACATTGCTCTACGCACCAGATTCTTTGTTTTTTGCTTTTCTTTTCTTTCTTTTCTTTTTTTTTTTTTTTTGGTCACAGGATCTTGCTATATTCCCCTGGCTGGAGTGCAGCGGTACAATCAGAGCTCACTGCAGCCTCAAACTCCTGGGCTCAAGTGATCCTCCCACTCAGCCTCCCGACTATCTGGGACTACAGATGCATGCCACCATGCCTGGCTAACCTTTGTATTTTTTGGAGAGAAGGGGTCTCACTGCATTGTCTAGGCTGGACTTGAATTCTTGGTCTCAAGTAATCCTCCTGCCTTGCCCTCCCAAAGTGCTGGGATTACAGGTGTGAGCAGTCATGCCTGGTCTCCTTTAATTTCTTTTTTTTTTTTTTTTTTTTTGAGACGGAGTCTCACTCTTTCGCCCAGGCTGGAGTGCAGTGGCACAATTGTATTTTTAGTAGAGACGGGGTTTCACCATGTTAGCCAGGATGGTCTCGATCTCCTGACCTCGTGATCTGCCTGCCTTGGCCTCCCAAAGTGCTGGGATTACAGGCGTGAGCCACCGTGCCCGGCTGGCCTCCTTTAATTTCTTAACCATAAATATCCTCCCCCCACTTTTATTATGGACATTCTGAAGCACATAAAAATAGGGAGCATAGTATAATAAATTTGTACATATTTAACACTCAGCTTCTATAATTAGAAGCAAACGGCCCATCTGGTTTCATCTAGGCCTCTTTGCTATCCTTTCATCTCTAACTGGCTTATTTTAAAGCAAATTCTAGATGACATTCTGCTGAGCATTTCTGCCAGAATTACACCTCTCTTTGCTAATGTGAAAAAATGCCCATGATAACTGTAAAATAAGTGTGTCCTATTTAGGTGTCTAAACACTTTAATGTCACAGTATTAAGGCCTTAAAATATAGCTTAGATATATTTTTCTAAATTAAAAGACTTTATTTTTTAGATATACAGAAAATTGAGCAGAAAACAATGAGTTCCCATATACCTTCTTCATCCCAACAGTTTCCCCCTCATTAACATATTGTGTTAGTGTGGTACATTTATTACAAAGGAGTGAATATTGATATATTATTATTAACTAATTTCATAGTTTACTTTGTGTTATGTATTCTATGGACTTTAACATGTGTAATGACATGTATCCCCTATTACCAGTATCATACAGGATAGTTTCACTTCCCTAAAAATCTTTTATGTTCTACCCACTCCTTCCTCATTCCCTCTCCCCACTCCTCCCTCCCTCCATCTTAAGCCCATGGCAACCCCTGATCTTTTTACTGTCTCCATCATTTTGCTTTTTCCAGAATGCCATGTAGTTGGAGTCATATAGTATGTAGCCTTTTCAATTGGCTTCTTTCACTTACCAGTATGCATTTAAGGTTTCTCCATGTAACAAACAGCCATATTTAAGACATGCCTGGATAAATAAAATTGGTAGGAATGTTTTCTTGCCATTATATTTAACTTTTCTTCTTTTTCCTTGACAAATCTTGATAAGTTTTTTTATATTAGTTTTATTTTCTAGAAAATGTCTTATGAATTTCTCCTGTTTGCTCTAGCATGCTTATAGAAAATGTCAGTGTTTCTTACAGCTCAAATTTGTATAGTTGTTTTAAAATGCGGTCTCTTTCTTCTTCCCCTGGTACTTTTTTCTTTCTGTCTACTGAAGTTAGTTCTTATACATGGTCTTATATTTTGGCTGTCTCTTTTTCCCTAGAAACATTCATACAGGTTGAATATTCCTTATCTGAAATACTTGGGACTGGAAGTGTTTTTGATTTTGGATTTTGGAATACTTTTTTTTTTTTGGAGATAGTGTTTTACTCTTGTTGCCCAGGCTGAAGTGCAATGGTGCGATCTTGGCTCGCTGCAACCTCCGCCTCCCAGGTACAAGCGATTCTCCTGTTTCAGCCTCCCAAGTAGCTCGGATTACAGGCATGCGCCACCACGCCTGGCTAATTTTTTTGTATTTAATAGAGATGGGTTTTCACCATGTTAGCCAGGCTGGTTGTGAACTCCTGACCTCAGGTGATCCACCTGCCTTGGCCTCCAAAAATGCTGGGATTACAGGTGAGCACCACCATGCCCAGCCGGATTTTGGAATATTTTCATAACACTTACTGGTGAGCATCCCTAATCTGAAAATCCTAAATCTAAAATGCTCCAAAATTTGAAACTTTTTGAGCACCAGTATGATGCCCCAAGTGGAAAACCCCAAACCCGACCTCATGTGATGAGTCCAAACTGTTGTATGCACAAAATTATTTAAAATATTGCATAAAATGATCTTCAGGCTATGAATAGAAGGTGTCTATGAAACATAAGTGAATTTCGTGTTTAGACTTGGGTCCCATCCCCCACATATCTCATTTTATATATATGCAGGTATTCTCAAATCCAAACATATACAAAGTCTGAAAGACTTCTGGTCCCAAGCATTTTGAATAAGGGATACTCAACCTTTAGTCTTTCTTTTGGGGGGGGGGGAATTTTTTTTTTTTTTTTTGGAGACAGAGTCATGCTGTTGTCACCTGGGCTGGAGTGCAGTGGTGCAATCTCGGCTCACTGCCACCTCTGCCTCCCGGGTTCCAGCAATTCTCCTGCCTCAGCCTCCCGAGTAGCTGAGATACAGACACCTGCCACTATGACGGGCTAATTTTTGTATTTTTAGTAGAGACTTGATTTCACCATGTTGGCCAGGCTGGTCTCAAACTCCTGACCTCAGGTGATCCACCCGCTTCAGCCTCCCAAAGTGCTGGAATTACAGGCATGAGCCACCGCGCCCAGCCTGTGTGTGTTTTTTTTTTAAGTAATTTGACGTGGCCCTGCTCTTGATTTGTATTTATTGTTTATGGTTTGTGTATTTCTTCTTCCTATTGGACCACACAGAGTTGAAAAACATTATTTTTAATAGAAAATAATAGGTGTAGGCTGGGCATGGTTGCTGACACCTGTAAACCCAGCACTCTGGAAGGCCAAGTCGGGCTGATCACTTGTGGTCAGGAGTTTGAGACCAACCTGGCCAACATGGTGAAAGCTCACCTCTACTAAAAATAGAAAAATTAGCCAGGGGTGGTGGTGCACAGCTGTAATCCTAGCTACTTTGGAGGCTGAGGTAGGAGAATTGCTTGAACCCAGGAAGTGGAGGTTGCAGTGAGCTGAGATCACACCACCGCACTCCAGCCTGGGCTACAGAACCAGACTCTGTCTCAAAAGAAAAAAAAAAAAAAAGAAAGAAACAAAGAAAGAAAGTAATGGATGTAATTAGGGAATAAAGTTTTTAGGAGGAAGAAGGTAAAATTTGATGTTTGCGCTTCAATGTGCTCCGTGTTGTTTGATTGGATTGCCTTGTATAATTCCATAGCTGCTTCGCTTATTACCAGTTACAGCTTATGTTTGAAGTCACAATAAACTCTTCTTCAAACATGAAAGCTTGATTTTTGAGGAAAATTATTCACATTATTTACAGATTCAAAGATGTTTATGTCCTGTACTCTAGAAATAAGGAGAAAGTGGGTGGGGATGGGGCAGTCAGGTGGAATGGAGTGTCTTGGCAGTGTAAAGGAAAAAGATGGATGGAAAAGGTGTAGAGTGGCAGGGTGTGCCTTTGTTTCCTTATTGAACAGGGCACCTTGCCATTTGCAGTATATGGAAAATTGAGGAAATACAGTCTACTTCCACAAAAGGCACATACAAAGGGCTCTGTTTAGATCAGAGATCAGCAAACTATGGTCCGTGGGCCAAATACAGCCCAGCACCTGTTTTTTGTTTGTTATTTTAAGTGTATAATTCACTGATTTTTAGTATATTCACAGAAGTGTACAACCATCACAACACTAGTGCCTGTTTTTGTAAAGAAAGTTCTCGGGCTGGGCGCAGTGGTTCACGCCTGTAATCCCTCAGGAGACTGAGACAGGCAGATCACCCGAGCTCAGGAGTTCAAGACCAGCCTGGCCCACATGGTGAAACCCTATCTCTACTAAAAAAATACAAAAGTTAGCAGGGCGTGGTGATGGGCACCTGTAATCCCAGCTACTTGGGAGACTGAGGCAGGGAGAATTGCTTGAACCCCAGAGGTAGAGGTTGCAGTGAGCTGAGATCACCCCATTGCACTCCAGCCTGGGCAACAGAGCGAGAGACTCCGACTCAAGAAAGTTTTCTTGGAACACAGGTACTCTCATTCCTGTGTTTTGTATGTGGCTGGTGTTTTGTTTTGTTTTGAGAGAGAGAGTCTTAACTTTGTCATCTAGGCTGGAGTGCATTGGTATGATATCGGGTCACTGCAACCTCTGCCTCCCAAGTTCAAGCAATTCTCCTGCCTCAGCCTCCTGAGTAGCTGGGATTACAAGTGTGCGCCACCATGCCCAGCTAATTTTTGTAATTTTAGTAGAGATGCGGTCCCGCTGTGTTGCCCAGGCTGGTTTCAAACTCCTGGGCTCAAGTGATCTGCCCACCTTAGCCTCCCAAAGTGCTAGGATTACAGGTGTGAGCCACAACACCTGACCTGTGGCTGTTTTCTTACTGTAGCGATAGACGAGGAGTTGCTGCATTGCATAGAGATGCTATATTGCACGCAAAGGCTTTACTGACTTCACAAAAGAGTATTTGTCCCAGGTGTAGTGTACTAGATCCCTTCCAGTCTGTAATTTTAATTTAAAAATGTCCAAATACCCCTGTTTTGAAGGATAAACTCTGTATGCTTGTGCTTATTTTGGAGAAGCCATAAACTTACTTTGTTTTGTACATGATCAGATGTGGGCGCTATCTCCAACTGTCTTTGCACTTCTGAGTAAGAATCTGATGATTGTGCACAGTGACCTGGCTGTTCACTTCCCTACCATTCAGTATGCTGTGCTCTACACTTTGTATTCTCATTGTACCAGGTACTGTATTCACAAATTTTTCTTAACAAAAGAACCCCACAAAACATTTTATTTTTTTAATGGATAGATTTTAAAGATGTATGTTGATTTAACTTTGGGCTTGCTTGCTTTCTTTGATTAAAGATGAAAAGATAATCTATGCTTTGTCTTTCAGGCATGATCACTTTATCTCTAGTAGCCTCAGTTCTTCCTCTCCTCCTTTGTTTGATGGAGCTGTGATTAGCACTGTAACTACGGCCACAAAGAAACATTTCTCAATTATGTTAAATCTTCTGGGAATATTACTTAAGAAAGATAACCTTAACCAGGACACGAGGTAACAGATATTATATAGTATTAACTATTCCTAACTTTGTTAATTTGCCTTTATAATTTGAGAATAAGAAATGTGGATTACAAAACATTTAAAAAAATGTGGATTATAGAGGTGAGGTAGAGCAGCTTCTTTATTGTCAAACACCTTATAATTTGGTTTTATTATTTAATCTAGGCTTTCTTATTCTTTCTGAAAAGAAATACATGAAAAACCTCAATCCCTCACCCCCAGTGTTTCATAGAAGAATATATATAGATTTTTAATATTCTATGCTTTTTTTTTTTTTGAGACGGAGTTTTGCTCACTGCAACCTCTGCCTCCCAGGTTCAAGCAATTCTCCTGCCTCAGCCTCCCAAGTAGCCGTGATTACAGGTGACCGCCACCACACCCAGCTAATTTTTGTATTTTTAGTAGAGATGGTGTTTCACCATGTTGTTGGCCAGGCTGGTCTTGAACTCCTGACCTCAGGTAAGCCACCATGCCCGGCCTCTTTGCTATTATGCTGCGTTGGGAGGTTTTCTTAAAAGGCACACAACAATTTTGACAGTAATTTCTATAGTTTCATTTTTTATTTTTATTTTTTATTGTTTGAGATGTTTGAAAAACCAAGAGAAAACCAATGTAAGAAGACTAGGCTTTTAACGTTTTTTTGTTTTTGTTGTTGTTTTTTTTGTGTACAGTCAACTGTATATTTTGTGTTTCAGGAAACTGTTAATGACTTGGGCTTTGGAAGTAGCTGTTTTAATGAAGAAGTCCGAAACATATGCACCTTTATTCTGTCTTCCGTCTTTCCATAAATTTTGCAAAGGCCTTTTAGCCAACAGTAAGACTCTGTTTTTTTTTTTTCTATTTTGTTTATCAGTCCTTAAAAGGGTCTTTGGTAATGGGAGATGGTCATCAATCGAGCTCTTTTCCTGACCTGAAGATGTGTAATCCTCATTTTAATGACAGATACACAGTCTTGATTTTTTTCATTCTTAGTATTAGAAAAATGTTTTGAAGTGATTGTCACATTTTTAAGCTTATGTGAATGTTTATATTTTGCATATACTTTTACATTTTCTCTCAGAAAAAGGTTTGTGTGATGACCCATCAGTTACATTACATGGGTTTTGTTGAATGTGTCATTTTTCCAAATGTGACAGTCAATAAGGATTCTGGACAAGAACAGTGCCTAGTCTGTAGTAGGCACTCACTCTTTGTTGAATGAATGAATGGATTCAGATAATTATGACAAACTGGGATATAATTTCTTTTGGCCAGCTGAAAGTAACTGTCTTTTAATGTTTAATAGCTCTCGTTGAAGATGTGAATATCTGTCTGCAGGCATGCAGCAGTCTACACGCTCTGTCCTCTTCCTTGCCAGATGATCTTTTACAGAGGTATGAAATTAAGATCATGTCTTTTGACATTAACCCTAATAACCTGGAAATGTTAACACACCTGCTTTGTCTATTTCGTTCTTTCATAGATGTGTTGATGTTTGCCGTGTTCAACTAGTGCACCGTGGAACTCGTATTCGACAAGCATTTGGAAAACTGTTGAAATCAATTCCTTTAGATGTTGTCCTAAGGTATAACAGTTGTTTTGGAGCAAAGACATTCTGTTATATTTACAGCCTCTACTGGTTGTCTACTTTAGGAGAAGACAGATCACCTATTAGAGCATTAATGACACATCTTTTATGGCCCTGCTTGCCAGTGATTGAAGTGATGTCAAATAATCAAATTTTGCAGTTCTGCAAGAAAATTAAAAATTTTTAATGAGCTTTATAGGCTCACAATAATTAGTATAGAATAACTCATGTAGTGCCAAAATATGTTTCTTAGTAGCTCAGATATTTGAAAAACTAAACAGTAATCTTTCATTGTTTTTGATCAAGTTGATTTGGGAGCTTTTAAGAGCCTAAACTTGATCCTTTTGTAATACATAAGCATAATGATTGGGTTTTTATGTTCACATGTTTGATATGCCTCCCTCAAATCCTCTTATGATGTCGGCACATTACCCATCTGAGGTGAATAAAAAAAGGATCTAAAGTTGTAATCACATCTCTGTATCCATTTTAAAGTCTCTATTTTACTATATTTTTACCTCCAGTGAGTTAATAAGTAAATAATCCACTTACAGTAGGTGCTAACCTTTTAAGCTAAAATATTTTGCATAACAACAACTTTATTTTCTGTCTACAGCAATAACAATCACACAGAAATTCAAGAAATTTCTTTAGCATTAAGAAGTCACATGAGTAAAGCACCAAGTAATACATTCCACCCCCAAGATTTCTCTGATGTTATTAGTTTTATTTTGTATGGGAACTCTCATAGAACAGGGTAAGGCATTTCTTTGACTATTTTATCTGGGAAAGATAATTTTAAGATTCCCTTGACTTTACATGCAGTTTTGAAGAGAAAATATGTTTGGGGGTGGCAGAGTATCAAGTAACATTCTTCTCATATGGGTTATTTCAGTTTTCATCAATAGGAAAATTGCTTTGAAGATAGCATCTGTAGAAACAAAAATGGGCTTTGAAATTGAGTAATGAAATGTGGTTAACAATTAACTGATGTGATGTCATTAACACTTTGGGGAGTGGGGTGGGGGTGGAGATATTCTAGAGATGCTTAGTTGCATTGAATGAGTTTCATTCCTGACTGGCATGAGCCATTTACCCTAATCATCCTTCCACACTGTACCTCATCCTGTTAACTATAAAAGACCTCAAAATGAGAGGGGGGGACATAATGCTTCTCAATTTCATAGGTTTTGCCTTTTTTTGGAGTAGGGAAAATTACAGTTCCGTATTCCCATTCCCCTTGCATTTTTTTTTTCATTATTAAAATGAAGTTGTCATTGTCTTTTAAATATGAAACTACTTTTCCCAGGAAGGACAATTGGTTGGAAAGACTGTTCTATAGCTGCCAGAGACTGGATAAGTGTGACCAGTCAACAATTCCACGCAATCTCCTGAAGACAGATGCTATCTTTTGGCAGTGGGCCATATGGGAAGCTGCACAATTCACTGTTCTTTCTAAGCTGAGAACCCCACTGGGCAGAGCTCAAGACACCTTCCAGACAATTGAAGGTAACTCGCTCAAGCTTTGTGATGTGAATACTTTCAAAGCCTTATTAAGAAATAATGGATTTTTAAATCTTTGTTAAAGATTTGAGAGTATATGATTTTTTTTGAAAAAAAGTCAATAATTTTCAGGTATGTTTGTTAGAATAAGCTTTCATTGAATAATTGCATTGGAAATATGTTTGGTTTTTTTCCAAAACTTATGGGAGTTGTGTGGAAAATATATATATATTTTTTCCCCTAAAATGAAAGATCTTTCATGTTGGGATTTTTTATTTTTAAATGATGGGTAGACAGAGGATACTTGATAAATGTGAATTTGTCATAAAAAACTCACACTTATTCTAGGAACTTTAAGATTTTTAAAAATTCAGAATGTTGTCTTTGCTTTCAGGTATCATTCGAAGTCTCGCAGCTCACACATTAAACCCTGATCAGGATGTTAGTCAGTGGACAACTGCAGACAATGATGAAGGCCATGGTAACAACCAACTTAGACTTGTTCTTCTTCTGCAGTATCTGGAAAATCTGGAGAAATTAATGTATAATGTATATGAGGGATGTGCTAATGCATTAACTTCACCTCCCAAGGTTGGTTTCCGGGAGATAGTGTTGTTTTATAGCAGTTTAATGGTCACAGCTGGCAGTATGTGCAGAGCTGAAATCACAATAGACTTGTGTATTTGGTTTATATATAGGTGAGACATCCTTACCTACAAATTGAACCAGTCCTGAGCTTTTCTTTCTCTTATCGTAAAGGTCATTAGAGCTTTTTTCTATACCAGTTGCCAAACTTGTCAGGACTGGCTAACGCGGATTCGACTCTCCATCATGAGGGTAGGATTGTTGGCAGGCCAGCCTGCAGTGACAGTGAGACATGGCTTTGACTTGCTTACAGAGATGAAAACAACCAGCCTATCTCAGGTAAAGTGGTGTGTTTGAAATTCATTTTAAGTCTGTTAATAAGAAAAACATGGTTTAATTCCTTTGGTATGATTTAATCTATGGATAAAATAAGTTAAAGCTTGGATTCATTTTCAAAGGTTTTGATCCTGTATTTTGTAAAAGCAACAACTGCCAGAGTTACCTATTTTATTCATGTTAAAACAGTGTTAGAAGTTAAAATAATGTTCATGTTTTTGTTCATGTTAAAACAATATTCATGTTAGAACACGTTAAAACTATATTTCTTACGTGCAAAGTTTAGAACTTTAAAGGTAATTCTGAAAATTTGTTTATGGGGGAAATTATTTATTTATTTATTTATTTTTTTGAGACACAGTTTCACTCTGTCGCCCAGGCTGGAGTGCAGTTGTGCGATCTCGGCTCACTGTAAGCTCCGCCTCTCGGGTTCAAGCCTCTTCTTGCCTCAGTCCCTGGGATTACAGGCACCCACCACCATACCCGGCTAAGTTTTGTATTTTTAGTAGAGACAGGGTTTCACCATGTTGGCCAGGCTGGTCTCGAACTCCTGGCCACAAGTGATCCGCCCACCTCGGCCTTCCAAAGTGCTGGGATTACAGGCATGAGCCACTGCACCTGGCCAGGAGAAATTGTTTTTATAACGTATGACAAATGCTTGAGTAATTCCTGGCTTGCAAGTGGGCTCACAATAAATAACTGGAATCCAAAAATAACAAAATGTTTAGCAATTCAGGTAATGTCAAGCAGTATTCAAACACATGAAGTTAATCATTCCTTAATTCCTGTTTATTTATATTTAATTTTTGCTTTCTTTTTACTCCATGTGTTATTCCTACAGAGGTCACAGGTTAAATGTTTTTGGGTAACTTTGGGGTGGGGGTACAAACATCCATGTGCTGCTAAGGTTCTGTTAGTCACCCTTTGTGGCTATTTTATATGTAAAATTTTAAAGAATTCTGAGCTAAATAATGTGAAAATTGTGAAAATAATTGTTAAATACATTTGGCTTTAAGCAGGCACAGACTGTGATCAGTTGTAAATTTTATAGGGATTTATGTTTTAATGGTATTGGGTGACTAACTTTTCTGAATGCGTTTTCAGGGGAATGAATTGGAAATAACCATTATGATGGTGGTAGAAGCACTATGTGAACTTCATTGTCCTGAAGCTATACAGGGAATTGCTGTCTGGTCATCATCTATTGTTGGAAAAAATCTTCTGTGGATTAACTCAGTGGCTCAACAGGCTGAAGGGAGGTAGGTTGGAGGGAAGGAAATGGGTGACAGAATTACTTTATGTTTAAATTCTTTGTATTACTCACTGACATTGTAGCCAAATCTTAAAACAGCTTTGTTTGCTTTCAGCATTGAAGCTTGCTATAAATCACTTCACCAGGAGGCATCTTCAGTTTGTTCTTTAGTTAGCCGCAATACTGGAGTGCCTTTCTTATTTAAGAATTAGTGGCAAATCACACTGTAAAACAAGACCTGTCAGTTGTTTTATAAACGCTTTTGAACTTGATCCCTAGTTGAGCTCCTTCCCCCTCAGAGTCTGATACAAATTACCCTTTATTGTCAGAGTATTTGCTCATTAGTCCTGTGAACTCTACATTCAGACTCATTGCTTCCTCCAGGTAGAGGAGCTTGTACCATAATATTCTGTGTCCATTTATGTTAGTTTAATGAAATCTTGCAAATTTAGGAAGATAAAAGAACTGCTCATACTTCCATATCTTTGTAGTAACTTCTGTTGTGTGTCCTTTTGTAGTCCCATATTTCCATATCCATATGCTTTGTAATTCTTTTTTCTTTCATGTCGTTTTCTCCATTCTTCACCAAAAC
This sequence comes from Homo sapiens, assembly GCF_000001405.40. Classification (NCBI taxonomy): domain Eukaryota; kingdom Metazoa; phylum Chordata; class Mammalia; order Primates; family Hominidae; genus Homo; species Homo sapiens. The sequence continues at coordinate 70,229,152 of NC_000016.10, read as the reverse complement.
ATCAGTGTACATAGGCACATGGTTTTATGATCTGTTTTTCCCACTCAATATTTAAAAAAAAAAAATTTTCCGTGTTAGGTAGGCTGGGTTCGGTGGCTTACATCTGTATTCCCAGCACTTTGGGAGGCCGAGGCAGGTGGATCACCTGAGGTCAGGAGTTTGAGACTAGCCTAACATGGTGAAACCCCGTCTCTACTAAAAATACAAAACATATTAGTGGGGTGTGGTGGCACATGCCTGTAATCCCAGCTACTTGGGAGGCTGAGGCAGGAGAATCAGTTGAACCTGGGAGGCGGAGGTTGCTGTGAGCCCGGGTTGTGCCACTGCCCTCTAGCCTGGGCAACAAAAGCAAAACTCTGTCTCAAAAAAAAAAAAATTGCCATGTTAAATATTCTACAGTGTTATTTTTAATAAAGGTTTGTATTTATGAGTGTACCATAATTTAATATTTCTTACTGTTGGGCATTAAGGTTGTTTCTGATTTTTTTTTTTACTAAATGTACCATAGCACTTAATATCTTTGCTTATATTTCTGATTACTTTCTTGGAATCCATTCTCATAAACTGATTTACTAGAAGAAAGGCTGCCAAACCATAAGTCTTATAATATATTCTATTGGTAAGTTACTCTACAGAAAAGATGGCTGCAATGTATACCCTTAATAATAGAGTACCCCCTTCCCTTCATCTTTGTGGATACTGAGAGTCACTGAGAAACAAGAATGCTGCCACCACCATCAGCGAAAATAGTTATTGTACTTTACATTTCTATATTTATTAATGACTAATAGTAGAAGTTGCCCCATATAGTGACCTTTTGTGATTTTTTAAAACATGGATCATGTCTTCATGGCCTCTCAATTTTTCCTGTGTTAATCTGTGAAATTTTATTAAATACTAAGATTGTTGATGCTATCCAATTTCTTGATTTATAATTTGTTTTTAATGTTTAGTGTTGTATTTCAGCATTATGCATCTAGATCTGTTACTTGTGCATCTTTTCTTGCATTTTATCCTTCTACAAAGCCTTTCCACACACTGACATCAGTTACTTATCAATATTTTCCACTAGTTCTTTTATACTCTTACATTTTTTTAAAAACATTTAACCACTTTTAAATTTAGTTTCACAGTTGTGAGGAAGACATCAAACCTCCCCCCACCATAGTCAACTCACTGTTTTAGCTCAGTTTATTCTTGCACCATTTTTTGTGGGGGGGGGAAATGAGATATGTGTGTTTAAAATAACAGCCTCCTTTGGGGCTGGGCGCGGTGGCTCATGCCTGAAATCCCAGTACTTGGGGAGACTGAGGTGAGCGGATCGCTTGAGTCCAGGAGTTTGAGACCACCCTGGCCAACAGAGCAAAACCTTGTTTTAGCCAGGTGTGTTGGTGGGTGCCTATAGTCCCAGCTACTTGGGAGGCTGAGGTTGGAGGATTGCATGAGCCTGGTAGGGCAAGGCTGCAGCGAGCCATGATCATGCCACTGCCCTCCAGCCTGGGTGACAGTAAGACTGTCTCAAAAAATAAGTAAGTAAGTAAGTAAAGGCCAGGCGCGGTGGCTCATGCCTGTAATCCCAGCACTTCGGGAGGCCGAGGCAGGCGGATCACCTGAGGTCAGGAGTTCAAGACCAGCCTGGCCAACATGGTGAAACCCCGTCTCTACTAAAAATACAAGAAAATTAGCCGGGCATGGTGGCGAGTGCCTGTAATCCCAGCTACTCAGGAGGCTGAGGCAGGAGAATCACTTGTACCCAGGAGGCAGAGGTTGCATTGAGCTGAGACAGTGCCATTGCATTCCAGCCTGGGCAAGAAGAGCAAAACTTCATCTCAAAAAAGAAAGTAAGTAAGTAGATAAATAAAGAAATAAGACTGCTTCAATTTGCTTTTCAGGTTTGAAAAGGCCTCTGTGGAGTACCAGGAGCACCTGTGTGCCATGACAGGTGTTGATTGCTGCATCTCCAGCTTTGACAAATTGGTGCTCACCTTAGCCAATGCTGGGTGTAACAGTGCCAGCCCGAAACATTGTCTGAATGGTGAGCGTTCAGTATTTTTAAATAAAGCAAAAGTTATAGTGATATATTTTGTACTGATGATCTTATCATGTTTTTAGGTTTCTGTGCTCTTTGAAATATTTCTAATTGATCTGAATCTCTTCTTATTTTATAAAATACTTTCAGGTGAATCCAGAAAAACTGTGCTGTCCAAACCGACTGACTCTTCCCCTGAGGTTATAAATTATTTAGGAAATAAAGCATGTGTGAGTGCTACATCTCAATTGCCGATTGCGCTGCTGTGCAGGAATGGCAGAATGCTATCCATGACTTGAAAAAGAGTACCAGTAGCACTTCCCTCAACCTGAAAGCTGAATTCAACTATATAAAGTAAGGCTTTCTGTTTCCAGTTATAAAACAAATTTCCAATAACTATGATGTTTTTCCTATGGCAAAAAAATATTAAAATTGGTCATATGTAGTAATACAAAATGGTTATATTTCTAACTTACTGCCATTATGAAAATGACAACAGGAAACTGACATCAGAGATGAGGGAAGGTATTTGTATAATGGGAAAACACTGCTGAGATAGTCATTTGGTATTAATTTTCAGAACCTGTCATTCTAAAACCTTAATAGAGTTTGAAGATTATGCCAGAGTGAATATAAGGAAAAATTTGTACTGATTTAGAAAGAATCACATTTGATGGCTTTGTTTCTAAATGAGGTCTGAATATATCAAAAACATTTATTCTAATGAGGACAGAGTTTGTGAACATCTGTAAATTAAACTTTCTTCTCATTCCTCTGTGCTTTTATTAATTCTGTAATTCAAAACTGAGCACTCACTCTGTTGCAGACACTTGGCTGGGAAGATAAAGGTCATTAGACTTTGTCTGATACCCTTGCTTTCTACTGCTAAATGGGTTAATGTGTAATTGCTTCACTGAGCATATACTATGACCCAGGCAGCACATAAAACAGACACAAATTCCAACCTTTTAAAGCAAAGATTAGATAAAGATTATTGATAGAAGGATTAATTGGACCTCACTCACCTTTTCTGTGCCATAAGGAAAGCAGTTAGGTAAAGCTGACCTTCTTTGGAGGGAAGACACAAGGTCAAGGCATGCCCATCAGGATGCCCTTTGGGCCTAGACCTGATGTGAGAATGATGGGCTTGGAGTGTTCTGGAAATAGCTGGGAGGCCTGTGTGTTTAGGAGCACCTTAAACAGTAGGATATAAGGGCAGAGAAGTAGCTGGGAACTGAGAAAAGAACTTTGGCTGTTATTCTAGTAAGACTGAAAATTTCAGGTGGGATTTGAACAGAGATGTGTTGTGATCTGACTTGGTGGTTCATTCTGCTATGGTGAAGAGACTGGAGGTGAGGGGCAAGTATGGAAGCATGGAGACCATTAATTTGTGGGGGCAATGGTAGAGGGAAGAGAAACAATGCTATTAACTGGAGTAGGAGCACACAGAGAACAAGCTATGTTTTAAGATTTCTAATGAAATGTGCAGATGAGATTGTTGGGTAAGCTGTTAAGAATTGGATTTTGGCTCTCCCTCTCCCTCTCCCTCCTCTCCCTCTCCCTCTCCCTCTCCCTCCTCTCCCTCTCCCTCTCCCTCCTCTCCCTCTCCCTCTCTTTCCACGGTCTCCCTCTCCCTCTCTTTCCACGGTTTCCACGGTCTCCCTCTCCCTCTCTTTCCACGGTCTCCCTCTCATGCCAAGCCGAAGCTGGACTGTGCTGCTGCCATCTCGGCTCACTGCAACCTCCCTGCCTGATTCTCCTGCCTCAGCCTGCCGAGTGCCTGCGATTGCAGGCGTGCGCCGCCACACCTGATGGGTTTTCGTACTTTTTTGGTGGAGACGGGGTTTCGCTGTGTTGGCCGGGCTGGTCTCCAGCTCCTAACCGTGAGTGATCCGCCAGCCTCGGCCTCCCGAGGTGCCGGGATTGCAGACGGAGTCTTGTTAACTCAGTGCTCAATGGTGCCCAGGCTGGAGTGCAGTGGCGTGATCTCGGCTACAACCTCCACTTCCCAGCCGCCTGTCTTGGCCCCCCAAAGTGCCGAGATTGCAGCCTCTGCCCGGCCGCTACCCCGTCTGGGAAGTGAGGAGCGTCTCTGCCTGGCCGCCCATCGTCTGGGATGTGAGGAGCCCCTCTGCCTGGCTGCCCAGTCTGGAAAGTGAGGAGTGTCTCTGCCCGGCCGCCATCCCATCTAGGAAGTGAGGAGCGTCTCTGCCCGGCCGCCCATCGTCTGAGATGGGAGCGCCTCTGCCCCGCCGCCCCGTCTGGGAGGTGAGGAGCCCCTCTGCCTGGCCAGCCGCCCTGTCTGGGAGGGAGGTAGGGGGGTCAGCCCCCCGCCCGGCCAGCCGCCCCGTCCAGGAGGTGAGGGGCGCCTCTGCCCGGCCGCCCCTACTGGGAAGTGAGGAGCCCCTCTGCCCGGCCACCACCCCGTCTGGGAGGTGTACCCAACAGCTCATTGAGAACGGGCCATGATGACAATGGCGGTTTTGTGGAATAGAAAAGGGGGAAAGGTGGGGAAAAGATTGAGAAATCGGATGGTTGCCGTGTCTGTGTAGAAAGAAGTAGACATGGGAGACTTTTCATTTTGTTCTGTACTAAGAAAAATTCTTCTGCCTTGGGATCCTGTTGATCTATGACCTTATCCCCAACCCTGTGCTCTCTGAAACATGTGCTGTGTCCACTCAGGGTTAAATGGATTAAGGGCGGTGCAAGATGTGCTTTGTTAAACAGATGCTTGAAGGCAGCATGCTCGTTAAGAGTCATCACCATTCCCTAATCTCAAGTACCCAGGGACACACACACTCTGCCTAGGAAAACCAGAGACCTTTGTTCACTTGTTTATCTGCTGACCTTCCCTCCACTATTGTCCTATGACCCTGCCAAATCCCCCTCTGCGAGAAACACCCAAGAATGATCAATTAAAAAAAAAAAATTGGATTTTGAACTAAGGAGAAAGTCTAAGCTTGAGAGATTTGCACATCATTAGTACACAGAAAAGGCCCTGTTTCCTTTTCAGTCTCTATACTCTAGAGCCTTTGTAAGCAACCAAACCAGAGAGAAGCCTCTGGAGAATAGTGAGTGAAGAGGAAGGAAGGCCTGGGTCAGAATCCTAGTTTAGCATTTTTGTGAAAGTATAGAAGAGGAAGCCATTCAAAAAAATACAGGGACATTGAGAAGGGAAGTGTCCTAGATATAGGACATCCAGATGGGAGTAGTCAGCCTTGTCAGATGCTCTAGGGATTATAAGGAAAAAGAGTTTTGTAGAGAGACAGAAGAAGCTAGATTGAATACTATTGAGTGGTAGAGACATTTGAAAATGAAAAGCTTGAGGTAAGTTATTTGGTCAGTGAGTTTTTCTTGAAGTCGAGGATAGGAAGCTATTGCTGGAGGGAGATATGAGATGTTTATTTTAAATGTTGGAGAGATTATGTTCTTTTGGCCAAGGGGAAGGAGCCACTAGAAAGCAGAGGTTGAAGAAACAGGAGAAAGAACATTGATAGATTAACTGGCCCTCACCTTTTCTCTGCCTCAAGGAAAGCAGTCAAAGTTGGTATAGACAGAATTTTGGCAGTGTATGGTGGATTGGGGGTAGGGGTAGAGGAAATTAAAGCCTGTGTTTTTTTATTTGTTTGTTTTTCTGAGGACTGAGTCATTAGCTGAAAGCATAGGGCATTATAGAGCATAGTGGGGACTTGAGGAACCTGTCACTGGAGAGGACTTAGGACCTTTTAATGGCAGAAATGACGAATGTGTTGGCAGCAGTTCATCAGTGCCCAGTACTCAAGGGTCCCCCTGAGAAGCCAGTGGTTGCACTGATCTAGGTAGAATCAGGCACAGAATAAGTCAGGTGATGTGCCTTTCTAGCACTGGCCTCAGGCTGAGTTATAAGGGAAGTTACACAGCGAGAGGGACAGGCAAAGATGGAAAAGAGAGAGAGTGAGAAACAGTGTCTTCTTCCTGGCTGGAGAGCCCGTGTCATGAAAATGGGGACAGGGTAAGGGATCTGAAAGGAGCAGCATAGAAGCTGGGAGGATGAGGCCTGTCTTCCTGGCATTGATGCTGCAGGACTACAGGAAAGAATTTCAGAGGTGTCATTATTTTTCATAAAAGCAGATGAAAGAGAAGAATTCTTTGAAAAAAGAAAAGTAGGTGAAAAAGGGAGAGATGGAGGGATGCCAGCAGTGAAAGAAGCCAGGACTGAGATACAAGATTATGATGCTGGGAGAGCTGCAAGGGCTCATGCTGTAGGTGAGGAGTGAGGCTGCACAAGGAGCTCACTGGCAGCTTGGAGAGAACTGGGTGTCAAAGTTGTCCTGCAGAGGTCTACTGTCAGTGTGTTAGGCTCTGAAGAGAACAGGCTGCAACACATGAAAACAGGAAGGAGACACAGGGGCGAGTCAGCTCTACTGAAAGTCTGTAGCTGTGACTTTCTGGTTTGCCACTCCAATTTGAGTACTAATTAAGTGGTAGTCACATCTTCAACATAAAAACCAAAATAATGACATCCTCGTGGAAGGAATTTTGTCAGAAAAATGCTGTGTACTTTGCTGTCTTCCTAGGATTTGTTCTGTTTTTGTTTGTTTGTTTTTTTTTAATGGTTCCACAGGCTGCGTAGGAATACAAGCTAACCAATATTTTAATTACAGATCATTAAGCAGCTTCGAGTCTGGAAAATTTGTTGAATGTACTGAGCAATTAGAATTGTTACCAGGAGAAAATATCAATCTACTTGCTGGAGGATCAAAAGAAAAAATAGGTAGGTATTTGAGAAAATAGTTTTAAAGTTATTTTAGTGGACAAGTTGCTCAAAATGTTTGGCTTAGTATATTTTACTGGAAAATCTGGAAGTCATTTTACATTTTTGGGGGGCAGAATCCCATGTGAAGCAACAAATTTAGGGCTGCCCTATTTAAGTTTGATTTGGGAAATGAAAAGCACTTAAAATTAAGTCAAATAAAAAAATGACCACCTTAATGCTTTGAGATTTATCTAGCCATTTTGTTTGATAAAGGACAAAGTAGTGTTTCAGCTAAATATTTTTCTTGATTTTCATCTTGATGTGGCTCATTAAGTTCTTTATCACAAATGGAACACTTTATAAAATGTTATTAAAAAGTTTAATGAGTATTCTGGATTGAGCAAGATTTGCTAATGCAGGTCTAGATTTGTTCCCTTAAATAGTAGATTGACTTACTGATTTTCTTTTTTGTTGAGACAGAGTCTCACTCTGTTGCCCAGGCTGGAGTGCAGTGGCGGGATTTTGGCTCACTGCAACCTCCGTCCTCTGAGTTCAAGCAATTCTCCTGCCTCAGCCTCCTGAGTAGCTGGGATTACAGGTGTCTGCCACTGTGCCCAGCTAATTTTTTGTATTTTTAGTAGAGACGGGGTTTCATCATCTTGGCCAGGCTGGTCTTGAACTCCTGACTTCGTGATCCACCCACCTTGGCCTCCCAAAGTGCTGGGATTACAGGCGTGAGCCACCACGCCTGGCCTCGACTTACTGATTTTTGAGCCTTTGAAGGCAACTGCTTTTTAGGGGTCTGAGGTACAGTAATTTTGTATGAAGTATGATTTTTATATAGCTCTCAGTAATGCTTATAGTGTTTAACTGCCTTAAATATTAAAGGAGCTGTTCATTGGTGATTAGTTTTTAATAATGCCAAACATAAATCAAAATTTATAATAAAAGCACATTAATTAATGACATTTCATTTAACTTCTGTAGACATGAAAAACCTGCTTCGTAACATGTTAAGTCCAGATCCAAGGGAACCTCAGAAATCCATTGAAGTTCAATTGTTAAGAAGTTCTGTTTGTTTGGCAACTGCTTTAAACCCGATAGAACAAGATCAGAAGTGGCAGTCTATAACTGAGTAAGTTACTCTTACGGAGATAAATGTACATTGTGTATATCATGTGATAAACATACATGGGGTGAAGAGGGCTGGAAGGAGAGTTACTAGATTACTAAATACTAGTGCTAATAGCTTCATTTTAGTTGTAGAAGTCATATGATATATGAATGCTGCTTGCCAACAAAAACTGAGGTTGAAATGAAATAAAATGTAAAAATCCCCAAAAGCAAATGTCTTGACTTGCTAATATCATTTTATTATAGAGCAGGCTGCTCCTCTTACTGCCCCCTAACTTTGGATGTCAGTTTGATAGCATCTTATCAATTGCTTTATTCTTTGAGTGGTTATGAATTGTAATTTTTATTAATTGACAGTAAATATTTTGTTTCAGAAATGTGGTAAAGTACTTGAAGCAAACATCCCGCATCGCTGTTGGACCTCTGAGACTTTCTACTTTAACAGTTTCACAGTCTTTGCCAGTTCTAAGTACCTTGCAGCTGTATTGCTCACCTGCTTTGGAGAACACAGTTTCTAACAGACTTTAAACAGAGGTCTGTATATTTTTACAAGCACATTCTTATGACTATTAATGGTCATTACTGTAGAACAAAGACCTTATTTTTTGAGTTTTTTGAAATAGGATTTGTAGTTGGGCAAGCTGGTAAATCCAGAAATCTAACATGCTGTTTTCAGGCAGTCTTTCATTTGGGAAGTACATGGGGCAGATGGAAGAACCTGAGATAATCGCAAGGATGGCAAATTGCTCAGTTTTTTCTTCTATTTTTGGAGTGGGAGGTGGTGTATGTAAAGACAGTTCCTTTAGGCAGATTACGTAAATTTTAGATTTGCTGCAAACAAAGATCTCTCCTCTTCATCCTAAATGGGGTAAAGTTCAACCAGAGATGGGGGCTTCTGAATGAATGATGATCTTCGAGAACTTCATTATAAAGCATTAGTTGTAATGTTTTTCTGCAGTCTGCTTTATAGTAAATGTGCTGTGACTTTTTTTTTGTAATGTGCTTTATTAAGTATATTGATAAATTAGACTTAATATTCTGAAGAAGATTTCCCTTCAAAACAAAAGGCTTTCTCTTACTGTGTGCTTGCCTCTTGTGAGTAGAAGATAAATGATGTAAGGGTATAGTGTAATAGATAAAACTACTGCAATCAATCTGAAGTAGCCAAACTATATTGCAGTCTTTGACTTAAGACTTGCTATATATCTGCAAACGTATCAACAGCCTGTTTTACGTTGAGTAATTTTGGTTTTTCTCTGGCAGGACTGTCTTATTCCACTCTTCGGTGAAGCTTTACGTTCATGTAAACAGCATGATGTGAGGCCATGGATGCAGGCAGTAAGGTATACTATGTACCAGAATCAGTTGTTGGAGAAAAATTAAAGTTAAGTGGTTTTCCTTTTTTTTTTTGTAAGAGAAAATTAAAGGTGTTTTTTTTTTTAAATTTTGCTTTATTGAGGTTTATATTACACATTCTAAGTGTATGGTTTGATGAGTTCTAACATGTCTTCACTTGTGTGACCACCAATACGATTGAGATACAGAACACCGTCTTACCCCAGAAGGTTCCCTTGGGATCATCTCCTCATTTGGCCCTGTCAGCAGTTACTCATTTGCTTTCTGTCACTATGGATTAGACTTGTCTTTACTAAAGTTTCATGTACGTGAAATCATAACAACATGTTCTCTTGTGTTTGGCTTCTCTTGCTCAGCATGATATTTTTAAGGTTCACCCATATTGCATGTATCAGGAATACAATCCTTTTTATTATTGAGTAGTGTTCTATTGTATGTATATACCACAGTTTATTTCTCCCTTCATTCTTTGCTAGATTTTGGGGTTTTTTCACATTGCACTATTCAGTATAAACCTGCTCTCAACATTCATGTGCAAGTCTTTGAGTGGACATATATTTGCGTTTCTCTTGAGTGAATGCACCTTATTGGGTCACGTGGCTTAACTTAAAAAAATTTTAATCACTGTGGTGCATATGTAGTGATTATTAGGATTATCTCATAATTTTATTTTCTTGATGATTAATGATGTTGAGTGTATTTCATTTGTATTTTAGTTTGCAAATGTTTGTTCAAATTCTTCACCCATTTTTAATGAAGACATAAGACTTATTTTTGTGTTCTGAACATAAGTTCTTTGTCACATAAAATGTGCTATGAATGTTGAGTTTTAAATACTCCAAATGAATGGCTAGAGAATTACTATTTGTAGAAATATTTATATGTCAAAGGGATGCTAACAATTTACTTTATTGCTCTAAAATAGAAAAGTTGCCAGAATGCTGTGGAGTTTTAGTGGAAAACATGATAGCTGGTGTTACTGAGTAAATTTGAGTGTTAAATGTCAATGTAAGCTAACGGCCAAGATAGGGACCACTGCAGGGTTGTTACTTGCAGCTATGACTCAACTGGTCCTTCACTGCCAAACATACCTGGGGTTGGATCATTGGCCTGATGTTTACAAATTGAGGAACCTTAGGGCAAATCAGTGAACTTCTGAACTGCCTTCCTCTTCAGTTATATGGGGATTTCCCCACTTTTGAGATACTTGTAAGGATTATATGAGATGAAGAGATGAGACAAGGTATATAAAAGTCCTAGCACAGAGCGTGTCATATAATATGGCTTCACAAGTACCCTCATCTCCTTTCCAGTCATTTTTTGTTTTTTTTTTTTTTGTTTTTTTTTTTTGAGACCATCTCACTCTGTTGCCCAGGCTGGAATGCCTCTTCATTTTTATTTCTTTATTCAGCAAGTATTGATCAAATGTGCTTTGTACCAGGTACTGAGCTCTGTGTTGGGATATAATGGTGATCAAGGAGATTGTAGATTCTGTCAGGGAAAACTGACATCAAACACGGTGACCCAACATAGTGAGACCCTGTCTCTACTAGAAGAATTTTAAAAATCACCCAGGTGTGGGCCAGGCACGGTGGCTAATGCCTGTAATCCCAGCACTTTGAGATGCTGAGGCGGGTGGATCACGAGGTCAGGAGATTGAGACCATCCTGGATAACATGGAGAAACCCCGTCTCTACTAAAAATACAAAAAAATTAGCCGGGCGTGGGGGCGGGCATCTGTAGTCCCAACTACTCAGGAGGCTGCAGCAGGAGAATGGCATGAACCCGGGAGGCGGATCTTGCATTGAGCCAAGATCACGCCACTGCACTCCAGCCTGGGCGACAGAGTGAGACTCCATCTCAAAAAAAAAAAAAAAGAAACCAAGGATATAGAATAAAACGAGTGTAGATTTGGGCATTGAGGCCTTCAAATTGGATTGTTCCCAATGTCCAGAAGAAAAAAAAAATTTAGAAGAGACCCAAATCAGAAAACAAAAGTTGGGCTGAATTCAATGCGAATTATTTTCTAGCTCAATATTAATACTGCTTATGTCAGCTGAATTTCAGCCTTTCAATAACAGCTAGTCAAGTATTTTTTTAGTTGGTTCCTATTGATCGTCATCTTATTTTAGTGGAATCTATTATATTGAAGATGTCAAGTTCCTCATTTCCCATACAAAGAATGTGAGATTCATCTTTCTTGAATCTTTGCTAAGTGTTTAAGGGGACTTTTGGCATCTTTTCAGGAGGACTATAATTGGGCCCTCTAACTAAAAAGTCTCCTATGCCCCTTAGATAGATGAGATTTTTTTTTTGACCTTGCACCCACCAACATTGGTGGGAGGCTCAGAAGGGACTGTGTTTGTAACTTTGTGGCACTTTCTAAACAGTGACCTGTTGTATGGGCATTATAGGACAGTCCGTGGGGTGGGGCGGGGGATGGGGGAGGTGGACAAATGAGGTCTGGTTTAAAGAATGAGAAGTGTGACCAGGCATGGTGACTCATGCCTGTAATCCAGCACTTTGGGATGCTGAGGTAGGAGGATCACTTGAGCCCAGGAGTTTGAGGTTACAGTAAGCTATGATTGTGCCACTGGGCTCCAGCCTGGGTGACAGAACTAGACCCTGTCTCTAAAAAAAGAAGAAGAGGTGTGTATCCTTCTAAATGATAAAACAGATCACTCCCCTGCTTACATAAAACTTTCCGGTGGCTGGCCAGGCACGGTGGCTCACGCCTGTTAATCCCAGCACTTTGGGAGGCCATGGTGGGCAGATCACGAGGTCAGGAAATCGAGACCATCCTGGCTAACGTGATGAAATCCTGTCTCTACTAAAAACACAAAAAATTAGCCAGGTATGGTGGCATGCACCTGTAGTCCCAGCTACTCAGGAGGCTGAGGCAGGAGAATTGCTTGAACCTGGGAGGTGGAGGTTGCAGTGAGCTGAGATTGTGCCACTGCACTCCAGCCTGGGTGACAGAGACTCTGTCTCAAAAAAAAAAAAAAAAATTAGATGGGTGTGGTGGCCTGTGCCTGTAATCCCAGCTACTGGGGAGCCTGAGGCAGGAGAATCGCTTGAACCTGGGAGGCAGAGGTTACAGTGAGCCAAGATTGCACCACTGCAGTCTGCCTGGGTGACAGAGCTAGACTCTGTCTCAAAAACAGAAAAACAAAAAACAACTTTCCAGTGGCTTCTCACTGCCCTGAGAATAAACTCCAGGCTCTTCCATTGCAACCAACAGGATCTGGTGATTTGACCCCAGCCCCTCTTTCCAGGCCCTCATCACCTTGATCCTCTCTTAACCTATCCTGCTCCAGCTGCACTGGCTGCCTTCCTATTCCTCCCGCATACCAAGATTGTTTCTGCCTCAGGGCCTTTGCATCTGCTGTTCTCTTCTCCTGGACTCCTCTTGGTTCTTTTTTTTTTCTTCTTTGAGATGGAGTCTCACTGTCACCCAGGCTGAAGTGCAGTGGCGCAATCTCGGCTCACTGCAAGCTCCGTCTCCCGGGTTCACGCCATTCTCCTGCCTCAGCCTCCCGAGTAGCTGGGACTACAGGCATCCACCACCACGCCCGGCTAATTTTTTTGTATTTTTAGTAGAGACAGGGTTTCACCGTCTTAGCCAGGATGGTCTCGATCTCCTGACCTCGTGATCCGCCCGCCTGGGCCTCCCAAAGTGCTGGGATTACAGGTGTGAGCCACCGTGCCTGGCCATAGAGCAGTCTCTTCCTTTTCCTGTTGGGTTTCTGCTCAAATGTCATGTCAGAGAGGCAGACCTCTGGGGCGGTCTATCTGAGGGAATGCACCCATCTCCCTTCCTCTGACCAGTTAGTTACCTTGCTTATTCTTTCAAAGCTCTTACCACCACCTGAAGTCATCTATCTGGTTTGGTTATTTTATTGTTTAGTAGCAGTCTTTATTTTATTATTACTATTTTTTGATGGAGTCTCACTCTGTTGCCCAGGCTGGAGTGCGGTAGCGTGATCTCGGCTCACCACAACATCTGCCTCCCAGGTTCAAGCGATTCTCCTGCCTTAGCCTCCTGAGTAGCTGGGACTACAGGCACGTGCCACCATGCCCAGCTGATTTTTGTACTTTTAGTAGAAACGGGGTTTCACTATGTTGGCTGGTCTTGAACTCCTGACATCAAGTGATCCGCCCACCTCGGCCTCCCAAAGTACTGGGATTACAGGCATGAGCCACCACGCCAGGCTGGTAGCAGTCTTTCCTAGAATGTGGATGCCTTGGAAAACAGGGGCTTTGCTTTGTTTCCCTAGAACCTAGAATGGCATCTGGCACACAGCAGATGCTACATCTATTGTAAATGAATGAATGAAAGAAGTGTCCTTGCAGCCACACTGGCAGCCGTAACATAGTGGTTATAAATCTAGACTCTGGAGTCTCAAGTGCAAATGTCATTGGCCTCTCCTCCAGCCTCCTCAAGGGGCACTCAATGAAAGAACCGGGAAGCGCCCTGATATGACTGTGGTTGGACTGACCTGACTGCCAGATGGTGGGACTTGGTCTGGAGCAGGGACTACTTGGAATGGTAGAGGCAAAACTCAACAGACCCTGGAGCTGCGCTTGTGGTGGAGCTGGACCCTGATTTTAGCTGGACCTTGTTTTTAGAGACAGGGTTTCCTTCTGCAGTCTCAAACTCCTAGCCTTGATTGATCCTCCTGCCTTGGCCTCCCAAAGTGCTGGGACTACAGGTGCATGCAACCACACCTGGCTAATTTTCTTTTCTTCTTTCTTTCTTTCTTTTTTTTTTTTTTTTTGATGGAGTCTTGTTCTGTTGCCCAGGCTGGAGTGCAGTGGTGCGATCTTGGCTCACTGCAACCTCTGCCTCCTGGGTTCAATCCATTCTCCTGCCTCAGCCTCCCAAGTAGCTGGGATTACAGGCACATGCCTCCATACCGGGCTAATTTTTGTATTTTTAGTAGAGATGGGGTTTCGCCATGTTGGCCAGGCTGGTCTCAACCTCCTGACCTCAGGTGATCCACCCACCTTGGCCTCCCAAAGTGCTGGGACTACAGGCACATGCAACCACATCTGGCTAATTTTCTTGAGTTTTAGTAGAGACTGGGTCTCATTATGTTGTCCAGGCTGGTCCCAAGCTCCTGAGTTCAATCGATCTTCCTGCCTTGGTCTCCCAAAGTGCTGGGCCTACAGGCATGAGCCACCATACCCAGCCCAATTTTTGTATATTTTATAGAGACACAGTCTTGCTATGTTGTCCAGGCTGGTCTCAAACTCCTGGGCTCAAGGGATCTTCTTGCCTTGGCCTCCCGGAGCACCTGATTACAGGAATGACTGCATGTGCTGTTGTGCCTATACTTTCTGGAGATACGTTGTTAGGAATTTATGTAGTTGGCTGGGCACAGTGGCTCATGCCTGTAATCCCAGCACTCTGGGATGCCGAGGCAGGTGGATCACCTGAGGTCAGGAGTTCGAGACCAGCCTGGTCAACATGATGAAACCCTGTCTCTACTAACAATACTAAAATTAGCTGAGCGTGGTGGCACATGCCTGTAGTCCCAGCTACTTGGGAAGCTGAGGCAGGAGAATGGTTTGAGCCCAGGAGCAGAGGTTGCTTGCAGTGAGCCAAGATCATACCATTGCACTCCAGCCTGGGCAACAGAGCGAGACTCTGTCTCAAAAAAAAAAAAAAAAAGGAATTTACATAGTTGAACAACTATTCTTTGGACATCTTTCAGTCCAGTAGACGGTGTTAAACTTGAAGACAAATAATGATTTGACCTGTGATATTTGTTTTTCCCTCTTCTAAGCCCATTCATCCAGGTCATTCATCACCTTTAAAGGCATCCCCAGAGGGAGGCAGGTCTGGACAGAGCTGAAGATTGCACACACCATTTGCAGGCTGGATTCGTTCTCTGGTGACCCACCTGTCTGACTCGAGTTATTTTTTTCCCATGTCTGGACAAGACTGACCTCTGCCCAGCAACTCAGGCCTGGATTTAGTCCAAGGGCCCTCAGTGGCTTTTTTTTGTTTGTTTTTTCAGGAAGTGAAGAATTTAGAGGGATAAAAGGCGGAAATAACTTTTCAGCCTCTGACCTTTGTAACAATCTGGTTTCCTTTTAAAGGAGGATTGTTTGGGCCTGGGGCCACCTAGACCTTCTGATGCTCTTTCCCCACCCTTGGAGGAGGAGGAAAGGAAGAAAATGGGCCCTGAGCGATCACCACATACCAGGCCCTGGGGGTCTAGTGGTGAAGGAGGTAGGTAGGATCTCTGCTTTCATGGAGCTTCTAGTCAAGTGAGACGCACTAAACAGTAAAGGGACAAATAGGATTACTGGAGGTAGCCCTAACTACTGGGACAGAAACAAGATGGTAAG
Source organism: Homo sapiens (assembly GCF_000001405.40). NCBI lineage: Eukaryota > Metazoa > Chordata > Mammalia > Primates > Hominidae > Homo > Homo sapiens. The sequence goes on along the minus strand of NC_000016.10, from coordinate 70,213,541 downwards.
ATAGAGAAGGAAGAGTGGCCTGCTCAGATGGGTTGGTCCAGAGGCCTCTCAGGGGAGGTGACTCCTTTTTATTTTTTTTGAGATGGAATCTAGCTCTGTCGCCCAGCCTGAAGTGCAGTCGTGTGTTTCATGCACGTCCGTGTGAAGAGACCACCAAACAGGCTTTGTGTGAGCAACATGGCTGTTCATTTCACCTGGGTGCAGGCGGGCTGAGTCCGAAAAGAGAGTCAGCAAAGGGTGGTGGATTATCATTAGTTCTTACAGGTTTTGGGATAGGGGGTGAAGAGCCATGTTTTGTGGGCAGGGGTAGATCTCACAAAGTACATTCTGAAGGGTGGGGAGAATTACAAAGGACCTTCTTAAGGGTTGGGGAGATTACAAAGTACCTTCTTAAGGGTGGGGGAGATTACAAAGTATATTGAACAGTTAGGGTGGGGCAGAAACAAATCACAATGGTGGAATGTCATCAGTTAAGGCTATTTTTACTTCTTGTGTGGATCTTCAGTTACTTCAGGCCATCTGGATGTATACGTGCAAGTCACAGGGGATGCAATGGCTTGGCTTGGGCTCAGATGCCAGACAGTGTGATCTTGGCTCACTGCAAACTCTGCCTCCTGGGTTCAAGCAATTTTTGTGCCTCCGCTTCCCGAGTAGCTGGGATTACAGGTGCCCGCCACCATGCCCGGCTAATTTTTGTATTTTTAGTAGAGACAGAGTTTCACCAGATTGGCTAGGCTGGTCTCGAACTCCTGTCTCACGTGTCTGTGTGAAGAGACCACCAAACATGTTTTGTGTGAGCAACATGGCTGTTTATTTCACCTGGGTGCAGGTGGGCTGAGTCTGAAAAAGGAGTCAGCAAAGGGTGGTGTGATTATCATTGGTTCTTATAGGTTTTGGGATAGGCGGTGGAGTTAAGAGCAATGTTTTGGGGGCAGGAGGTGGATCTCATAAAGTACATTCTCAAGGGTGAGGAGAATTACAAAGAAACTTCTTAAGGGTGGGGGAGATTATAAAGAACCTTCTTAAGAGTGTGGCAGATTACAAAGTACATTGATCAGTTAGGGTGGGGCAGAAACAAATCACAATGGTGGAATGTCTTCAGTTGAGGCTGTTTTCACTTCTGTGGATCTTCAGTTGCTTCAGGCCTTCTGGATGTATACATGCAGGTCACTGGGATATGATGGCTTAATGGCTTAGCTTGGACTCAGAGGCCTGACATTCCTGTCTTCTTATGTTAATAAGAAAAATAAAACAAAATAGTGGTAAAGTGTTGGGGTGGCGAAAATTTTTGGGGGTGATATGGAGAGATAATGGGCGATGTTTCTCAGGGCTGCTTCGAGCGGGATTAGGGGCGGCATGGGAACCTACAGTGGGAGAGATTCAACTGAAGAAAGATTTTGGGGTAAGGGCTGATACTGTGGGGTTGTTAGAAGGAGCATTTGTCATATAGAATTATTGGTGATGGCCTGGATATGGTTTTGTATGAATTGAGAAACTAAACAGAAGACACACGGTCTGAATAAGAGAAGGAGAAAAACAGGTATTAAAGGACTAAGAAGTGGGAGGACCCAGGACATCCAATTAAGAGAGTGCCCAAGGGGGTTCAGCATAATTATTTGCTTGGTTGGCAAGTTTTTGGACTCTATCCTTGAGTTTTTTTATGTTGTCATATACCAGGCCAGATTGATTTAGGTAAAAACAACACTCTTCATTTAAAAATATACAGTCGTCCTTTTTCAGCAATGAGTAAATTGAGGCCTTGGTGATTTTGGAGGAAAGAGAATTGCAAAGCCAGCAATTGTTTCTTTTTTTATTTATTTACTTATTTTTTTAAATTATACTTTAAGTTATAGGGTGCATGTGCACAATGTGCAGGTTTGTTACATATGTACACATGTGCCATGTTGGTGTGCTGCACCCATTAACTCGTCATTTACATTAGGTGTATCTCCTACTGCTATCCCTTCCCCCTCCCCCACCACAAAAGAGGCCCCAGTGTGTGATGTTCCCCTTCCTGTGTCCAAGTGTTCTCATTGTTCAATTCCCATCTGTGAGTGAGAACATGCGGTGTTTGGTTTTTTGTCCTTGTGATAGTTTGCTGAGAGTGATCGTTTCCAGCTTCATCCATGTCTCTACAAAGGACATGAACTCATCCTTTTTTATGGCTGCATAGTATATATGTGCCACATTTTCTTAATCCAGTCTATCATTGATGGACATTTGTGTTGGTTCCAAGTCTTTGCTATCGTGAATAGTGCCGCGATAAACATATGTGTGCATGTGTCTTTATGGCAGCATGATTTATAATCCTTTGGGTATATATCCAGTAATGGGATGGCTGGGTCAAATGGTATTTCTAGTTCTGGATCCCTGAGGAATCGCCACACTGTCTTCCACAATGGTTGAACCAGTTTACAGTCCCACCAACAGTGTAAAAGTGTTCCTATTTCTCCACATCCTCTCCAGCACCTGTTGTTTCCTGACTTTTTAATGATCGCCATTCTAACTGGTGTGAGATGATATCTCATTGTGGTTTTGATTTGCATTTCTCTGATGGCCAGTGATGATGAGCATTTTTTCATGTGTCTGTTGGCTGCATAAATGTCTTCTTTTGAGAAGTGTCTGTTCATATCCTTTGCCCACTTTTTGATGGGGTTTGTTTTTTTCTTGTAAATTTGTTGGTGTTCTTTGTAGATTCTGGATATTAGCCTTTTGTCAGATAAGTAGATGGCAAAAATTTTCTCCCATTCTCTAGGTTGCCTGTTCACACTGATCCTAGTTTCTTTTGCTGTGCAGAAGCTCTTTAGTTTAATTAGATCCCATTTGTCAGTTTTGGCTTCTGTTGCCATTGCTTTTGGTGTTTTAGACATGAAGTCCTTGCCCATCCCTATGTCCTGAATGGTATTGCCTAGGTTTTCTTCTAGGGTTTTTACGGCTTTAGGTCTAACATTTAAGTCTTTAATCCATCTTGAATTAATTTTTGTATAAGGTGTAAGGAAGGGATCCAGTTTCAGCTTTCTACATAGGGCTAGCCAGTTTTCCAAGCACTATTTATTAAATCGGGAATCCTTTCCACATTTCTAGTTTTTGTCAGGTTTGTCAAAGATCAGATGGTTGTAGATGTGTGGTATTATTTCTGAGGGCTCTGTTCTGTTCCATTGGTCTATATGTCTGTTTTGGTACCAGTACCATGCTGTTTTGGTTACTGTAGCCTTGTAGTATAGTTTGAAGTCAGGTAGCATGAGGCCTCCAGCTTTGTTCATTGGGTTTAGGATTGTCTTGGCAATGCGGGCTCTTTTTTGGTTCCATATGAACATTAAAGTAGTCTTTTGCAACTCTCATCAGCCCAGTTTAATATTACCTATTTATTATAATGTAATGCTGCTCACACAACTGAGAAAACACTGTTGCTTTACCCCCTCCAGCTCTGTAGCAGCCAGGCACAAATCATAGAACTATAAACATATGCTAATTACACAACCTATGTAGGCAATCAATATTAAGAAAAATTTTTACTGCCCAATATTTCTGTGGTTGAAAATGTAGATACTAATTTTGATCTGCAGTAACATCTAGGTTAATGTTGATTCAGAAGGAAAACGTTTGTTGTTGCCGTGAGAAGAGGCATTGAAACGCTGAATCACCACCACAAATGTTACCACTATTAATATAAGGAGATACATAGGAAGATCGAATTAGACCATCTCGGACCACCAGGTTTACAATTCCACCTGTAGATACATGCAAGAAGTATTGTCACAATACTTATGTCACGTTATTCCGTTGAGGTCATCACCAACTAAGCTTATCATTAATGTGTGGTCAATTTGGTCAATGTCACCAGCGTAGCATACTGACAAAAACAAGGGTTGCAAACTGAGATGCCTATAAGGCAGAACGTAAGACGGTAGGAAGCAAAGTCTATAGGGAACTATATAATAGAGGCTGCAGATTCATGGCAGATTCTAAAGCACAGCAGTCCCCAACATTTTTGGCACCAGGGACCGGCTTTGTGGAAGACAATTTTTCCACAGGCGGCAAGGGATGGGGCGCAGGATGGTAATGGTCTTGGGATGAAACTGTTCCACCACAAATCATCAGGAATTAGATTCTCATAAGGAATATGCAACCTGGATCCCTCGTGTGTGCAATTCACAACAGGGTTCATGCTCCTGTAAGAATCTAATGATGCTGCTGATCTGACAGGAGGCAGAGCTCAGGCAGCAATGCAAGCAATGAGGAGCAGCCAGAAATACAGACGAAGCTTCAATTGTTACCCACCATTCACCTCCTGCTCTGTGGCCCAGTTCCTAACAGGCCACAGACCAGTACATGTCCATGGCCCAGGGGTCAGGGACCCCTGCTGTGGCACATTGCTTAATAGAGGACTGTAGCAGCCATGTGCCCTGACCTTTCCTTTTTTTTTTTTTTTTTTTGAGATGCCAGAAACCCAGAATTTTTTTTTTTTTTTTTTTTTTTTTAAGACAAGGTCTGGCTCTGTTGCCCAGGTTGGAGTGTAGGAGGGTGATCTCAGCTCACTGTAACCTCAACCTCCCAGGCTCAAGCAGTCCTCTCACTTCAGCCTCCCACGTTGCTGGGATTACAGGCACACTCCACTACACCCAGCTAATTTTTTTGTATTATTTGTAGACATGGGGTTTTGCCACGTTGCCCAGGCTAGTCTGGAATTCCTGAGCTCAAGCTGTCTGCCCATCTCAGCCTCCCAAAGTGCTGGGATTGCAGGAGTGCACCACCACACCTGGCCTGAAACCCAGATTTTATTTATTTATTCATTTTTTGAGATGGAGTCTTGCTCTATTGCCTAAGCTTGAGTGCAGTGGCGTGATCTTGGCTCACTGCAACCTCCACCTCCCTGGTTCAAGCGATTCTCCTGCCTCAGCCTTCCAAAGTGCTGGGATTACAGGCATGCAACATCACACCCAGCCTGAAACCCAGATTTTTAATATGAAATCAGAGTCTTCAAACCTTGTAGGTGTCATAAAAAGCACGCTGAGGACCACTAGTTTGCAACTGCCAATCTAAAATATCATAGACTTTATATCACTTTAACCATGAAAAAAAGGTATGTGAGGCAGAAAATGGAAGCAACCATGCCTAATTTATTGTTGAATACTTTTTCCGTATACCAAGAGCTTCCTTTGCACTAGCATCTGAAACTATATTCAGAATGACATTGGTTTTCATAAAAGTGTTGATCCTCACACCTCTTTATAGTCTTGCACCTAGCACAGCAGAGTGAAACACTTTAAATAGCACTTGTTCCTTGAGTATATATGGAAGAAAGTGAAGTATTGATAAGTGTTCAGCTAATATGAGCAGCATCTCAGGAGTCTCCAATTCTTGAATTACCAGGGAGTATTTTTACCATTTTCCCCCAGTGAAAGGCCTATTTTGAGAGACTTACCCTCCAAAATGAATGTATTAAGTCACGTTACTTTTTTTTTTTTTTTTTTTGAGAGACAGGGCCTTGCTCTGTTGCCCAGGCTGGAGTGCAGTGGCATGATAGTTACAGGAAAGGGGTCCCAATCCAGACCCCAAGAGAGGGTTCTTGGATTTTGTGCAAGAAAGAATTCAGGGTGATGCCACAGTGTGAAGTGAAAGCAAGTTTATTAAGAAAGTAAAGGAGGAGGGGCACGGGGTGGCTCACGCCTGTAATCCCAGCACTTTGGGGGGCCGAGACAGGTGGATCACGAGGTCAGGAGATCAAGACCATCCTGGTTAACATGGTGAAACCTCGTCTCTACTAAAAATGCAAAAAAATTAGCCAAGTGTGGTTGCGGGCGCCTGTAGTCCCAGCTACTCTGGAGGCTGAGGCAGGAGAATGGGATGAACCCGAGAGGCGAAGCTTGTAGAAAGCCGAGATCGCACCACTGCACTCCAGCCTGGGTGACAGAGGGAGACTCCATCTCAAAAGAAAAAGAGAAAGTAAAGGAATAAAAGAATGGCTACCCCATAGACAGAGCAGCCGTGAGGGCTGCTGGTTGCCCATTTTTATGGTTATTTCTTGATGATATGCTAAACAAGGGGTGGATTTTTCATGCCTCCTCTTTTTAGACCATATAGGGTAACTTCTTGATGTTGCCATGGCATTTGTAAACTGTCATGGTGCTTGTAGGAATGTAGCAGGGAGGATGATGGGAGGTCACTCTTGTCACTATTTTGGTTTTGGTGGGTTTTGGCCAGCTCCTTCACTGCAACCTGTTTTATCAGCAAGGTCTTTACGACTGGTATTTTGTGCTGACCTTCTATGTCATCCTGTGACTTAGAATGCCTTAACCATCAGGGAATGCAGCCCAGCAGTTTCAGCCTCATTTTTCCCAGCTCCTATTTAAGATGGAGTTGCTCTGGTTCACACACCTCTGACATGATCACTGCTCACTGCGGCCTCCACCTCCTGGGTTCAAGAGATCCTCCTGCCTCACCCTCCCAAGGTGCTGGGACTACAGGTGTGTGCCACTACACTCAGCTAATTTTTGTATTTTTTGTAGAGACGGTGTTTTTCCATGTTGCCCAGGCTGGTCTCAAACTCCTGGGCTCAAGCAATCCTTCTGTCTCAGCCTCCCAAAGTACTGGGATTACAGGCATGTCCCACCATGCCCAGACTAATATTTACTTTTAATCAGACTAAGATAGGGTTACTACTTGAGTTGCTATGGCTCCAGCTGAAAGAAAGCCTGTGCAGTCATATCATGGGTAAACATTTGCTTTATGCTAAAAATATGGTGGACCTGGCATTACAGCTATTACAAATCTCCTAAGGTGTCTCAGGTAGTGTATTAGTTACTTTTCATACTGCTATGAAGAAATACTCGAAACTGGGCAATTTATAAAGAAAAAGAGGTTTAATGTACTCACAGTTCCACAAGGCTGGGGAGGCCTCAGAATCATGGTGGAAGGCAAAGAAGGAGCAAAGGTATGTCTTACATGGCAGCAGGCAAGAGAGCACGTGCAGGGAAACTGCCCTTTATAAAACCATCAGATTTAGTGAGATGTATTCACTATCACGAGAACAGTATGGGAAAAACCTGCCCCCATGATTCGATTACCTCCTACCGGGTCCCTCCCATGACACATGGGGATTATGGGAACTACAATTCAAGATGAAATTTGGGTGGGGATGCAGCCAAACCATATCGGGTAGCAACAACCTAGGGTCAGTTTTGCAGGTGGTAAAGCCATTTACCAAGATAGTTGTAGGTAAAGAAGGGCAGATTTATTAGAGAAATTATGAAAATATGTTGCAATGGGCAGCTCAGCACAGAAGGGGCTACCTGCAAAGAGGCAAGGGCTGGAGGAGAGTTTTATAGGGTCCTGCTGAAGGGTGCTACGTGTGGAATGGGGTCATTGTGCCCGCAGGTTGTTTGTGATTAGCTGTCTCTAACAATTGTTCATACAATAATTGTTCATTATTGTTCTCAACTTGGGGTCTCCCCAACCTGGGGACCCTTCCTTATTGTTGCTTACTTATCAGAACTCCACATAAGGGTGTGGAAACTTCATTCATTCATATCTTCAACACAAATTGTAGGTAGCCTGTTTTTTTTTTTTTTTTTTTTTTAATTTTCTTTTTATTGATAATTCTTGGGTGTTTCTCACAGAGGGGGATTTGGCAGGGTCATGGGACAATAGTGGAGGGAAGGTCAGCAGATAAACAAGTGAACAAAGGTCTCTGGTTTTCCTAGGCAGAGGACCCTGCGGCCTTCCGCAGTGTTTGTGTCCCTGATTACTTGAGATTAGGGATTGGTGATGACTCTTAACGAGCATGCTGCCTTCAAGCATCTGTTTAACAAAGCACATCTTGCACCGCCCTTAATCCATTTAACCCTGAGTGGACACAGCACATGTTTCAGAGAGCACAGGGTTGGGGGTAAGGTCACAGATCAACAGGATCCCAAGGCAGAAGAATTTTTCTTAGTGCAGAACAAAATGAAAAGTCTCCCATGTCTACTTCTTTCTACACAGACACGGCAACCATCCGATTTCTCAATCTTTTCCCCACCTTTCCCGCCTTTCTATTCCACAAAGCCGCCATTGTCATCCTGGCCCGTTCTCAATGAGCTGTTGGGCACACCTCCCAGACGGGGTGGTGGCCAGGCAGGGGGGCTCCTCACTTCCCAGTAGGGGCGGCCGGGCAGAGGCACCCCTCACCTCCCGGACGGGGCGGCTGGCCGGGCGGGGGGGGCTGACCCCCCCCACCTCCCTCCTGGACGGGGCGGCTGGCCGGGCAGAGGGGCTCCTCACTTCCCAATAGGGGCGGCCGGGCAGAGGCACCCCTCACCTCCCAGACGGGGCAGCTGGCCGGGCAGGGGGCTGACCCCCCCACCTCCCTCCCAGACTGGGCAGCTGGCCGGGCAAAGGGGCTCCTCACTTCCCAGTAGGGGCAGCCGGGCAGAGGCGCCCCTCACCTCCCAGACGGGGCAGCTGGCCGGGCGGAGGGCTGACCCCCCCACCTCCCTCCCGGACGGGGCGGCTGGCCGGGCAGAGGGGCTCCTCACTTCCCAGTAGGGGCAGCCGGGCAGAGGCGCCCCTCACCTCCCAGACGGGGCAGCTGGCCGGGTGGAGGGCTGACCCCCCCACCTCCCTCCCGGACGGGGCGGCTGGCCAGGCTGAGGGGCTCCTCACTTCCCAGTAGGGGTGGCCGGGCAGAGGTGCCCCTCACCTCCCGGACGGGGCGGCTGGCCGGGCGGGGGGCTGACCCCCGACCTCCCTCCCGGATGGGGCAGCTGGCCAGGCAGGGGCTGACCACCCCCACCTCCCTCCCGGACGGGGTGGCTGCCGGGCAGAGACGCTCCTCACTTCCCAGATGGGGTGGCTGCCGGGCGGAGAGGCTCCTCACTTCTCAGACGGGGCAGCTGCCGGGCGGAGGGCCTCCTCACTTCTCAGACGGGGTGGTTGCCAGGCAGAGGGTCTCCTCACTTCTCAGACGGGGCGGCTGGGCAGAGACGCTCCTCACCTCCCAGACGGGGTCTCGGCCGGGCAGAGGCACTCCTCACATCCCAGATGGGGCGGCGGGGCAGAGGCGCTCCCCACATCTCAGACGATGGGCAGCCGGGCAGAGACGCTCCTCACTTCCTAGATGTGATGGCGGCTGGGAAGAGGCGCTCCTCACTTCCTAGATGGGATGGCTGCCGGGCGCAGACGCTCCTCACTTTCCAGACTGGGCAGCCAGGCAGAGAGGCTCCTCACATCCCAGACGATGGGCGGCCAGGCAGAGACGCTCCTCACTTCCCAGACGGGGTGGCGGCCGGGCAGAGGCTGCAATCTCGGCACCGTGGGAGGCCAAGGCAGGCGGCTGGGAGGTGTAGGTTGTAGCGAGCCGCGATCACGCCACTGCACTCCAGTCTGGGCACCATTGAGCACTGAGTGAACGAGACTCCGTCTGCAATCCTGGCACCTCGGGAGGCCAAGGCTGGCGGATCACTCGCGGTTAGGGGCTGGAGACCGGCCCGGCCAACACAGCGAAACCCCGTCTCCACCAAGACCAGTCAGGTGTGGCGGCGCGTGCCTGCAATCGCAGGCACTCGGCAGGCTGAGGCAGGAGAATCAGGCACGGAGGTTGCAGTGAGCCGAGATGGCAGCAGTACAGTCCAGCTTCGGCTCCGCATGAGAGGGAGACCGTGGGGAGAGTGAGAGGGAGAGTGAGAGGGAGAGGGAGAGGGAGAGGGAGAGGGAGAGGGAGACGGAGAGGGAGAGGGAGAGGGAGAGGGAGAGGGAGAGGGAGAGGGAGAGGGAGAGGGAGAGGGAGACGGAGAGGGAGAGGGAGAGGGAGACGGAGAGGGAGAGGGAGAGGCCCCCTTACATTTTTGCACGCAAGGCAAGTGCTTCACTGGAGTGTCTTCTTATTCCCCTTCCACCCTCTCCTCTTCCACCCTCCGTGGATGATAATCTCAAGACTCCTCCCTTAGCTACTCAGGAGGCCGAGGCAGAAAAATGACTGAAACCCAAGAGGCAGAGGTTGAGTAAGCTGAGAACAGGTCATTGCACTCAAGCCTGGGCAATAAGAAGAAATCTGTGGGTGGAACAAAAGAAAAAAATCAAAAAACAAAACAAAACCCACACTCCAAAAACAAACTAACAAAGAATAAATAAATAATATAAAAATAAAATAAATACTGCAGTCCTTATGTTATTGCTTTGTTTCAATATCTGGTATGATTGCCTGAGGGACCTGAGGTTTTTAATTGTAGGGTTTTTTTTTAGTCTTTAGAAGTGGTTGGTTATGTAAAATATTATTATTATTTTTTGAGACTGGGTTTTGCTCTGTCACCCAGGCTGGAGTGCAGTGGCTCGATCACAGCTCACTGCAGCCTCAGCCTCCTGGGCTTCAAGCAATCCTGCCTCAGCCTCCCAAGTAGCTGGGATCACAGATGTGTGCCACCATGCCTGGCCAATGTTAAAAAATCCTTTAACTTTTTTGTAGAGATGCACTCCTGGACTCAAGCGATCCTCCTACTGGTCCCAACCACCAGCCTCTTTCTGATAAACATTTACACTGTTTATTATCTGATGCCACTTCTATCTATCTTCTTCCTTGTCGTCCAGACATCAAAGAATTAGGTTTCTTCAGGGTTTTCTTTTTCAAGTCTTCATTGTTAAAGATCACTCACATTAGGGCCAGACACCACGACTCATGCCTGTAATCCCAGCACTTTGGGAGGCCGAGGCGGGCAGAGCACTTGAGGTGGGGAGTTTGAGACCAGCCCGGCCAACTTGGTGAAACCCCACCTCTACTGAAAAAAATACAAAAATTAGCTGGGCGTGATGGTGCATGCCTGTAGTCCCAGCCACTTGGGAGGCTGAGGCATGAGAATGGCTTGAACCCAGGAGGCAGAGGTTGTAGTGAGCCAAGATCACATCAGCACACTCTAGCCTGGGTGACAGAGCGAGACTCTGACTCAAAAAATAAATAAAATAAATATCACTTACATTAGATATACCCAAGGGGTGGTCTATAGAGAGTTGGAAGCAGTGGTTATTGCAACGGGCACGGAAGTCATCTGGCTATGCCAGGATGCCCAGGGGATACTCGGGGTGGGTGGCATGGTGGTGCTGGGGACTCACCGCACAGGACGCTCTGATTGACGCACTGCCAGGAGTAGCGCTCTGTCTTGGGGCTGCAGCCGGCCTCCTCAGCTCGAGTGTAACAACAGTCGTGGCCATGGCAGCACCTGCGGATGTCACATGGGCAGGACAGCAGGTGGGTGAAGCTCTCTCCTGGCCCTCCTCTGCTGCCAGGACCATGGGTGACTGAAGACCCCCAGGGAGGCACAGCATCCTCTAAGATTTTTTTTTTTTTTTTTTTTTTTTAAGAGACAGGGTCTTTCTCTGTCGCCCAGGCTGGAGTGCACAGGCACAATCATAGCTCACGGCAGCCTTGAACTCCTGGGCTCAAGCGATCCTCCCACTTCAGTGTCCCAAGTAGCTGAGACTACAGGCACACACCAGCATGCCCGGCTGGTTTTTTAATTTGTATTTCCTTTGAGACAGCGTATCTCTCTGTCACTCAGGCTGGAGTGCAATGGCTCAATCAGCTCACTTTAGCCTTGAACTCCCGGGCTCAAGTGATACTGCCACCTCAACCTCCCAAGTATGCTACTACAGGAACACAAACTCCTTTTTTAAATTTTTTGTGGATATGGGGTCTCACTATGTTGCCTAGGCTGGTCTCGAACTCCCAGGCGCAAGCAGTCCTCCTACCTCAGCCTCCCCAAATGCTGGGATTACAGGTGGGAGCTACTGTACGCCTGGCCTTATCTAAGCTGTTTCCCTGAAAATGCCCGTCTTGGGTAATGATTCCATTGGCCCCACCATGCCCTGTCCTGCCTTCCTGGCTGTGCCCAAGCTTGGTCCCTGCCTGCCTGCCTCACTCTCTCTCTGGGTCTCGAGCTCCTGTGACACGTGAGTCCTCTCTCTTCCTGGAGTGATCCAAGCCCTGCCACTTCCTGACTTTGCCCACACTGTACCCTCTGCCTGGGGCAACTTCATGTCTGCCCATTGTCCCTTAGGCCTCAGCCCAGGCACAAGCCCCTGCCTGCGGAGGTCATCCAGGCCTCACCAGGCTACACCCTCTCGTAAAATTGGATTCCCTCCCTTCAGGGCAGGTTTATAATGAAACCCTCCTCAGAGGCCAGCTGCGGTGACACCCATCTGTAATCCCAGCACTTTGGGAGGCTGAGGTGGGAGGATCACTTGAGGCCACGGGGTCGAGACCAGCCTGGGCAACATAAGAGAGACTCTTGTCTCTCTTGTCTCTATAACAAATTTAAAAATTAGCTCCCCAGGCCAGGCTCAGTGGCTCATGCCTGTAATCCCAACACTTTGAGAGGCCGAGGCAGGTGGATCATGAGGTCAGGAGTTCGAGAGCAGCCTGACCAACATGGCGAAACCCTGTCTCTACTAAAAATACAAAATTAGCCAGGCATGCTGGCACGCACCTGTAATCCCAGCTACTCGGGAGGCTGAGGCAGGAGAATCGCTTGAACCCAGGAGGTGGAGGTTGCGGTGAGCCAAGATCACGCCATTGCAGTCCAGCCTGAGCAACAGAGCAAGACTCTGTCTCGAGAAAATAAAAACACACAAAAAATTAACTCGCCATGATGGCACATGCCTATAGTCCTAGCTACTTGGGAGGCTGAGGTGGGAGGATTCCCTTCAGCCCAGGAGTTTGAGGCTGCAGTAAGCCACTATGATTGTGCCACTGCACTCTAACCTGGGCAAAAGCGAGACCCCAGGCCAGAGTGCATGATTTTGGGTCACTGCAACCTCCACCTCCCAGGTTCGAGTGATTCTCCTGCCTCAGCCTCTTGAGTAGCTGGGACTACAGGCATGTGCCACCACGCCTGGGTAATTTTTGTATTTTTAGTAGAGACAGGGTTTAGTAGAGACCATGGTGAAACCTCGTCTCTATTAAACAAATCTCTACTAACCCCATCTCTACAAAAAACAGCTGGGCATGGTAGTGCACACCTGTAATTCCAGCTACTTGGGAGGCTGAGGCACGAGAATCATTTGCATCTTGGAGGCAGAGTTTGCAGTGAGCTGAGATCGCACCACTGCACTCCAGCCGGGATGACAGAGCAAGACCCTGTCTCAAAAAAAAAAGAAAAAGGAACAAACAACAGCAACAACAACAAAAAAACCTCTGTGTCAATCACAGCCTTCGAGCTAGGGGAGAGGCGGCCGAATTCTGCCCTCTGCTGACGAGCTATAGCTTTGTGGAGATGGGTGAGTGGCATGCCCTTGTGAGCCTCAGGGTCCCATCTGTAAAATGGGCATAACTGTCATGCCCGTCTTTAAGAACAGCCTTGGGGGTAAATGAGTGGAAGTCATGGAAAGATCTCAGCCCACAACCTTCCACAGAACAGGCGCTTCTCACACAGGAAGTAGCAGGAGTGCAGAGGCTGCAGGCATGAATCCAGCCAGACTGCCTGGGTTCAAGTCCCAGCTCCCACGTCTTGGTAACTAAGTGGCCTCAGACAAGTTACTTAGTATTTCTTTTTTCTTTTTTTTTTTTCCAGACAGAGTTTTGCTCTGTCACCCAGGCTGGAGTGCAGTAGTGTGATCTCGGCTCACTGCAACCTCCGCCTCCCGGGTTCAAGCAGTTCTCCTGCCTCAGCTTCCTGAGTAGCTAGAATTACAGGCACCTGCCACCACACCCAGCTAATTTTTGTATTTTTAGTAGAGACGGGGTTTCACCATGTTGGCCAGGATGGTCTCGAACTCCTGACCTCGTGATCTGCCTGCCTCAGCCTCCCAAAATACTGGAATTACAGGCATGAGCCACCGCATCTGGACACGTTACTGAATATTTCTGTGCCTTGGTTTCTTTATCTGTGAAGTGGGATTGTTGTGAGAACGCAACGGGATTCCCAGGGCAGTTCCTAGTGCATAGTCTGGCTGCCTTTGTGTGTGTGTGTGTGTGTGTGTGTGTGTGTGTGTGTGTGTGTGTGTGTGTGTGTTTTTAATATAGAGACACCCTATCACCCTCCTGTCTCCACCACATCTTAGATGGGAAGGGAGAGTGTCCTGGATTAGCCGCAGGCGAAGCATGGGTCATCCCTTCATCTGCACAGGGCGCCAGTTCACATTAGCCTTTTATGAGCCACAGACCAAATCCTTCATCCAGATAAGGGGTAGCCAATAGAACCTCAAAAGCAGTACTTAAAACCCAGGAGGCTGGGTGCCATGGCTCGTGCCTGTAATCCCAGCACTTTGGGAGGCCGAGGTGGGCCGATTAACGAGGTCAGGAGTTCAAGACCAGCCTGTCCAACATGGTGAAACCCCATCTCTACAAAAAATATGAAAATTAGCCGGGCGTGGTGGGTACTTACCTGTAATCCCAGCTACTTGGGAGGCTGAGGCCAGAGAATCACTTGAACTCAGGAGGCGGAGATTGCAGTGAGCCAAGATCATGCCACTGCGCTCCAGCCTGGGTAAGAGACTTCTCAAAAATAATAATAATAAAAAAAATAAAATACAAAAACAAACTAACAAAACACCTAGGAAACTTTGTAACCAGGCTCTTGAGCCGCTTGCTTAGGCCCACTCCAGCCCTGCAGAGTGCTTTATCTGTTTCATAAATTCCTGCTTTCACTGCTTCCTTCCCATGTTTCATTGCTATGTTACTTTGTGGGTTTTGTTCAATTCTTTGTTCAAAATGCCAAGGTCCTGGACTGCTCACACTCACAGCCCTGCTTCCCGGAACAGGCCTGGCTGAGTTCCAGCTGTGCAGTGAAGCCCAACTGTGGGAGGCGGGGGACCCTGGACCCCCTCTCATGATCTGGACAGAGATGGGGTCTGGGGGTACACCTGGTCTCAGACCAGCCCCAGATTCTTTTGTGACCTGAAGGCAGCTGGCTGGTCATTGGAACTGGCAGAGTCCCTCCAACGATTCGGGGAGGGAGCCTCTGAAGCAATCTTTAGAGTGACATCTGGGACACAGTGAGGAACCCCCTGGCTGCTGAACGAGGGGTGTCCGTGAGCCAGGACCGCTGAGCACCAAGGGCCTGAATCCAGGCTCCTCTGCCCCAGGACTCGTGGTATGCTGTGACTGCAGGGACAGGCAGGACCCCATCCCCTTCTCCCCAAATGCAGTCACACCCAGACGGACCCACTTGCAAGGGTCCTGCGCTTCACTTATGCTCTGCTGTCCTCATCTTGAAATTTTTAGCACATGCCTGTAATCCTACCACTTTGGGAGGCCAAGGCAGGTAGATCGCCTGAGGTCAGGAGTTCGAGACCAGCCAGGTGGAGAAACCCTGTCTCTACTAAAAATACAAAAATTACCCAGACGTGGTGGCGGGCACCTGGAATCCCACCTACTCGGGAGGCTGAGGCAGGAGAATCACTTGAACCCGGGAGGCAGAGGTTGCAGTGAGCCAAGATCGTGCCACTGCACTCCCGCCGGGGTAACAGAGTGAGATTCCATCTAAAAAAAAAAAAATTCTTAGTAACTTCTGAATAAGGGCCCCACATTTTCATTCTGTACCAGGCCCCACAAATGATGTAGCCGGCCCTGCACACCCGCCTTGCTCACCAGTTGCCCAAAGTGGCTGACCTGGAAGGATCCTTCATACTCTGAAGCCCGCGGTGCTTATGTCTTGGGAACTGCATCCTTTACTCTGAACAAAGGGCAGCCAGGTAGAAGAGGCTGTAGACAGGCCCAGAAGAACCTCACAGCCTCTATCTTTCCCTTCCATCTGGTAGGTTGGGCTGCCCGAGCTTCCCCTGCACAGGGTGCCCCGCAGGAAACTTGTTTCAGACAGAGCTGTATATTCTCCCAGTGAGGTGACAAAGTCAGGAGGAAGGAAACCTCGGGTCGGGCTGGAGAACTCTTTGCTGAGCTTGTTCACTGCTCCTGGCATCCCCACTATGCAGAAGAAAAGGGGACTCCCCAAGCAGTGGGATCCCCCGCTTCCCAGCCCAGGCTCTGTCTGCCTTGGCAGAGGCTGGGCTGGCTGAGCACCTGTGGGCAGCCACGCACCTCAGGATGTTGCACTACAGCCTGACCCTATAGAAAGCCAAGTGCAAACGCTGCTCATTAACCTCCACTCCCAAGAATCAGGCTGCTTGGCCTTGTCTCCGCTGTGGCCCCACCACTCGAGCCCTTCCTGCCAGGCTTGGAACCTCGATGGCCATTTAGGGACAGCATCTAAGCCACCTTTGCAACCTTGGCCTTGGAATGGGCTGTTGCACAGGGAGCTCAGCAAATGTTCCTCCAAGTGCCTCAGGCCCTGATTCCCTCTCATCATCCCTAGAATAGCTTTTCCTTTTGAGATGCTCAGGACAGGCAGACACAGGCCTCCTGTTCCCAAGAAGCAGAGAAGGGGACATGGGGCTGCAGGGCCAACACAGGGAGAGTCTTCCTGAGTCCTCCACCTGCCAGCTGGTCTTTGCAGCTACGGCCAGCCCTGGAGGCAGGAGACACAGCTCCAGGGTTCTGCGGCAGCGCCTGCCCCCGTTCCTCCAAGACGGCGTTCTGGGTGCTCTGAGCAAAACTGGATGCTGGCAGGAAGCAGCTCAGCCCTGGCCTTCACGGGAAGGGCAGGCACCCTCTCCTGACCTGGGGCTTCCCAGGCCCTCCTTTGGCACGTACTGAACTGTTTGTGGAACCATCTATGCCACCTCCCTCTTCCCTCCCAGGCTGAGACAGGACAGAGCCGCTCTTTGGAGCTCCTTGTCCCTGTGCAAGGCCAGGGAAGCAGAGGGCAGGGGAGGAGCTGGGAGGAGCTGGCAGGACCAGCACTGCTTCGGCTTCGCAGCCTCCACCTCCAAAACCAGACAGAGCAGGAAAATCAGACTCCAGGCCTGGGAGGGCAATGAGTCCAAACGCCTTCCCCTTCCTGGCTCTCACCCAGAAGTCCTCCAAGATGCCAGAGCAAGGGCTTTTCATCTTTACTTTCCTCCTGAAACCTGAGACCCCATGAAATCAACAAGGAGCAAGTGAGTACTTCCCGGAGGAAGCTTTACCTCTCAGCTGCTTCTCAGGGAATATCTACCCCGACGCTGAACTCCTGAAGATTTCAGTTAAATGCGACCCTCAGCCTGATCCCACGGAGAGCCCCAGGGTGTGAACTGCACATCTGAGATTGTCTTTGTTTTTTTGAGATGGAGTTTCACTCTGTTGCTGAGGCTGGAGTGCAGCGGAGCAATCTTGGCTCACTGCAGCCTCCGCCTCCCGGGTTCAAGGATTCTCCTGCCTCACCTTCCTGAGTAGCTGGGACTCCGGGCACACACCACCCCAACCTGGCTAATTTTTGTATTTTTAGTAGAGATGGAGTTTAACCATGTTATCCAGGCTGGTCTCAAACTCCTGACCTCAAGTGATCCACCCACCTCAGCCTCCCAAAGTGCTGGGATTACAGGCATGAGCCACTGCTACCAGCCTGAGATTGTCCTGTCACCTACAACACCTGGCCCACCCTGAAAGTCACAAAAGTCACATCTCCCCCTTCTCATTCCAGTCTAAGGATAAACAGCCACAGCACTTCTCAGAGAAATTTGCACACCGGAGGATACTTTCCAAAGTCCTTTCACATCGTGTACAGGAGCCCTGTGACCTAAGAAGAGCAAATGTCTTTACCCCGTTTCTCAGATGAGTAAACAGAGGCCCAGGGAGACAAAGTTAACTTGCACAAGGCCATGAAGCATTTTGCCAGAAGTGGGGATGTAATCAATCCACGCACGATTCCCAGGCATGGAATCTTTCCAGTACCCTAGTGCTCACCCACACTCTCCGCCAGAACTTTTTTTTTTTTTTTTTTGAGACTGTCTCGCTCTGTCGCCCAGGCTGGAGTGTAGTGGTGCGATCTCGGCTCACTGCTAGCTCCACCTCCCAGATTCACGCCATTCTCCTGCCTCAGCCTCCCGAGTAGCTGGGACTACAGGCACCCGCCTCCACGTCCGGCTAATTTTTTGTATTTTTAGCAGAGACAGGGTTTCACCGTGTTAGCCAGGATGGTCTCGATCTCCTGACCTCATGATCTGCCTACCTCGGCCTCCCGAAATGCTGGGATTACAGGCATGAGCCACTGCACCCGGGTGACCTGTTTCATTCTGCTTTCTTCCCATCTGGCTACTGACCTCCCCTGTCCTGGTGTCATCTGCTGTCATTCATGATGACCCTGCTCATTAGCTGCCCTACCTGTGCTCCATGCACTCAGCTGTGGTGATGCAGGAGGAAGTCCACCTGGGGAGTCCACTCCTGAGCCAGGAGTCCAGAGCAAGCATCTCCAGCCCGCTTCCAGGTGCTTGGCCCCGTGATGGTTCATTCATTTATTCTCCAGACCCCTACTGAGCACCTGCCTCATGCCCAGCCCTGAGCAGACAGCAGTGAGCAGGTTCCCACCCTCACTCTCTGGTGTAGAGCTGTCCTCTCTGGTAGCAAGTGCTGAGAGAGGGGCCCAAAACCAACGGTACCTCCACCAGGTGATCTGGCTGCGGGAAGCACAAGGGTGGCGTCACCTGACTTCCCAGCCCTCCTTGAAGCTGACTCTTGCATTTAAACCCATGGAGCTTTCCTTCTCTTTTTCTTGTTCTCTTTCTCTTTCTCTTTTTTTTCTTTTTCTTTCTTTCTCTCTTTCTGTCTTTTTTCTTTGTCTTTCAAGAAATTGAGGCCAGGCATGGTGACTCACGCCTGTAATCCTAGCACTTTGGGAGGCCGAGGTGGGGGGTGGATCACCTGAGGTCAGGAGTTCAAGACCAGCCTCACCAACATGGAGAAACTCCATCTCTACTAAAGAAAAAACAACAACAACAAACACAACTAGCATGGTGGGAGATCACATCATTGCACTCCAGCTTGGATTTCAGAGTGCGACTCCTCAAAAAAAAAAAAAAGCCAGCCGGGCACAGTGGCTCACGCCTGTAATCCCAGCACTTTGGGAGGCCAAGGTGGGTGGATCACCTGAGGTCAGGAGGTCGAAACCAGCCCGACCAATGTGATGAAACCCCATCTCTACTAAAAATACAAAAACTAGCCAGGCATGGTGGCATGCACCTGTAGTCCCAGCTACCCGGGAGGCTGAGACAGGAGAATCACTTGAACAAGGAGGCGGAGGTTGCAGTGAGCTGAGACGGTGCTATTGCACTCCAGCCTGGGCAACACGAGTGAAACTCCATCTCCCAAAAACAAACAAACAAAACAAACAAGCCACGTGATCTGAGACTCAGCCTACAAGTGCTGGCTTTGTCAGTCCCATGTTCTGACCAGGGCCTCATTGACCATTGCATTCCATGCGGGGTGAAGCTAGTAGAGAGCGGCCTTGTGCGAAGGCAGTAAGGCCTGGAGCTGGGTGCCCTGAGTATCTGTGATGTCATCTAACTTCTTGAAACCGTGTATCGGTCATGAGGCAGGAGAGCGAGATCTCATTGCTCTCTCAAGGTGTTCTCCATGCGGCCCTGGACACATCTGTTAACCGTTCTGTAAGACGCGGGTATTAATAGCACCTGCTTTGTGAGATGATTTTGAGGATTAAATGAGAAGAGGAGGTTGGGCACCGTGGCTCACACCTGTAATCCCAGCGCTTTGGGGGGCCGAGGTGGGTGGATCACCTGAGGTCAGGAATTCAAGACCAGCCTGGCCAATATGATGAAAGCCAGTCTCTACTAAAAATAACTTCTTTGCCCAGTTACCTTCTTTTTTTGGGGGATGGGGGTGGGGAGACAGCTCCTCACTCTGTCACCCAAGTGGGAGTTTAATGACGTGATCACTGCACCCTCGAACTCCTGGGCTCAAGCAATCCTCCTACCTCATTCTTCCAAAGAGCTGGGATTACAGGCACGAGCCACTGTGCCTGGCCCAATGTCTCTATTTTTTATTTATTTATTTTTTGAGCCACAGTTCCGCTCTTGTTGCCCAGGCTAGAGTGCAATGGCACGATCTCGGCTCACCACAACCTCCGCCTCCCAGGTTTAAGTGATTCTCATGCCTCAGCCTCGCCAATAGCTGGGATTACAGGCATGCGCAACCATGCCTGGCTAATTTTTGTATCTTTAGTAGAGACAGGGTTTCTCCATGTTGGTCAGGCTGGTCTCGAACTCCCGACCTCAGGTGATCCGCCCACCTCGGACTCCCAAAGTGCTGGAATTACAGGCGTGAGCCACCATACCCGGCCTCAGTTTCTTTATTCTTGTCCTTCCATCGACGTGGCCCCTTTTTTTTTTTTGAGACTAGTCTTGCTCTGTCACCCAGCGGGGAGTGCAATGGTGAGATCTCAGCTCACTACAACCTCCACCTCCCGGGTTCAAGCGATTCTCCTACCTCAGTCTCCTGAGTAGCTGGGATTACAGGCGTGCGCCACCCAACCTGACTAATTTTTTGTATTTTTAGTAGAGACAGTGTTTCACCGTGTTGGCCAGGCTAATCTCAAACTTCTGACCTCAGGTGATCCACCCGCCTCGGCCTCCTGAAGTGCTGGGATTACAGGCATGAGCCATTTTCTTTCTGCCCAGCTCTTTTTTTTTGTATTTTTTGGCTAGACGGGGTCTCACCCTGTTGCCCAGGCTGATCTCAAACTCCCGTCCTCAAGCGATCCTCTTGCCTTGGCCTCCCAAAGTGCTGGCATTACAGGCATGAGCCACTGCACCTGGCCTTCGCTTTGAATTAAAGTGGCAGGCAGGAAGAAGCATCATCTCAAAAATTGATGGTGACAGCGGCAGCGACTACATCTAGCTTGCACAGGTGGCAGCTTCTGTCCCACTTCGGTGGTGCCAATTGTAGCTTCTGTGCCAGCAGAGGCTGTGGGGTCTTCACCTGGCCAGCTTTGCCCAATGTCCTCTTCCTGATTTGATTTTCTGACCCTTTTGAGCTCCTGGGAACTAGCCAGGACCTCTGACCAAGTCCCTTTCTGTTTAGAGTTGCCAGAATTAGTTTCTGTTGGTTAAAACTAAGAACCTTGATTCTCACAAAAATAGGACCAGGACTGGACAGAGCAAGAAGCCCCAAAGGAAACAGGAGCAATTGAAGGCTGGAAAGTGGTCAGAGGACAGTGAAAATCCAGCTGGTATTAAGGGACAGGACACCAGCAGCCCCATGGCACGCCCTGGCAAGACAGCTAATCCCATTGTCCCCGGGAACAAAGTACCCATCAAAGGCAAGGCTTTGGGGGACCTAATGGCTCCTGCCATAGAAGAGAATAAAGATTACACTGAAGTCAAGATCTGCTGGGCAGGGCGGTCATGCTAACAGCGCCACATAGCTTAAATGAAAAGACAAGCTCAGAATCCAAATTCTTGGCTCAAGGTATGGTTAGAAAACCCGAGTGTGCCTGGCCAAAATGGCAAAACCCCGTCTCTACTAAAAATACAGAAATTAGCCAGGTGTGGTGGCGGGTGCCTGTAATCCCAGGTACTTGGGAGGCTGAGGCAGGAGAATCGCTTATATCCAGGAGGCAGAGGTTACAGTGAGCTGAGATCACACCACTGCACTCCAGCCTGGGCGACAGAGTGAGACTTTGTCTCCAAAAAAAAAAAAACCAAAACTCGAATGTGTTATTTTGCAGCTGAGAGAGCAGAAAAAACTGAAAACTTGATCCAATGGTTACAGAATGACCAAGGGGACCCACACCTTAAAAGGTCTTTATTTGGGAAAGAGTGAAATGTGGAGACCAGAGGCTATGAAAATTAGGCTGTGTGGAAAGATAGGGAAGCCTTAGGTACCTAGCCCCTCCCCTCCCCACCACCCTTGCCAGCCAAAGCTTCCTCTTTGTCACTCTGAAGATCCTAGTAGCAGGAACTCCCTTGCGGGCAGTTAGGTGTTCTATGTAGCTGAGGTATGGCCTGCAGCGACGGCTGAGTCTGTTTCTACACTGCTATAAAGAAACATCCAAGGTTGGGTGCGGTGGCTCATGCCTGTAATCCCAGCACTTTGGGAGGCCGAGGTGGGCGGATCACCTGAGGCTTGGAGCACGAGACCAGCCTGACCAACATAATGAAACCCCCTCTCTACTAAAAATACAAAACTAGCTGGGTGTGGTGGTTCACGCCTGTAATCCCAGCTACTTGGGAGGCTGAGGCAGGAGAATAGCTTCAACCCGAGAGGCAGAGGTTGCAAAGAGCCGAGATCACGCCATTGCACTCCAACCTGGGCAACAAGAGCAAATCTCCATCTCAAAAAAGCAAACACCGAGACTGGGTAACTTATAAAGAAGTTTAATTGACTCACAGTTCCACACGGCTGGGGAGGCTTCAGGAAACTTACAACCATGGAGGTAGGGGAAAGCAGACACCTTCTCCACAGGATAGTTACGAGGATGTAAGCACGAGAAAGAGGAACTGCCACGCTTTAAAACCATCAGATCTCGTGAGAACTCACTCACTGTCACGAGCACAGCATGGGGGAAACTGCCCCCAGGATGCAAGTACCTCCACCTGGTCCATCCCTCAACCCGTGGGGATTGTAATTCGAGATGAGATCTGGGTGGGGACACAAAGCCTAACCATATGGGTGGGACGGATGGCAGTTATTTCCAGGGTGGGCTGTAGCCTCTTCCTCCAACCTACATCTCCTGTTTCCCAAGCTGGTAACCTGGATGCCCTGGGTGACCTAAGAAGCCATGTGCTAAAGATGTCAGGACCTCAGTCGGCCGGGGTTCCCCCTTCCCCATTTCAGTTGAGGGAGGAAGAGCCTTTCAAGAGCGAGAGCTAGCCAGCAGCTAGCATTTCCCTATGTAACACACCCTGTAATGACCCTGCCCCGAAGGAGTCTCCTTATAAGCCCTACCCCTCATTTTCTCCAGAATTAAATGACAAGTCACATCCCCGCAGGCCCCAGGGGCCAAATCTAGGAGGGTACTGAATCATCAAAAAACTCCAGGGGGAAGATACTGAATCACCAAAAGAAACTTAAAGATTTTGCTAATTGATATTGGCTTACTCACAGTACATGGTTGGCTAAAAAATTTTTTTAATTGATATTGGCAAAAATCTGGGAAGCTGATCTGAGAATGAATTCTGAGGGTGCAGGATGGGTGAGGGAGGAAGGGGATGCTAGATAGGGATGAATGTACCGATATTGAGGATTCCACAGGGACAGCTTGAGAAGCTGGGATTATAGGCGTGAGCCACAGCGATAATGTAGTACTTTCAGTGCTGAAATCAGGATAGTGCCAGGCAAACTCGGACAATTGGTCAACCTAGCTGTTAAGTAACTAACTTGCTCTAAATCACAGTTATTAAGTGGCAGGGCCTGTATTCAAATGCAGGTGGGCTGACTTCAGATTCAAATTGTTTGCTTTTGCCAGTGGTTCTCAATCTTGAGCATGCAAACCTGGAGGCCTTGTTAAAATTCAGATAGCCCCATCTTCAGGGTCTCCAATTCAGTAGGTTGGGGCCGCCGAGAATTTGCCTAACCAGCTCCCTGGTGATGCTGAGGCTGCTGGACTGGGAAGACTGGGAACCAACTGAGAAGACCTTTGTATTTGGCTTTCTCACCTCCAGATAAGGGCTTTTTAACTTTTATTTTGTGAGACAAGGTCTCAATCTCTCACTCACGCTGAAATACAGCTTATGATCATGGTTCACTGCAACCTCAAACTCTTGGGCTCAAGCAATCCCCTGCCTCAGCAATATGAATAAACATATTGGAGGCCAGGTGTGAGACTCCACCTCAAAAAAAAAAAGTAAAGGAATAGGGCTGGGCGCGGTGGCTCACGCATATAATCCCAGCACTTTGGGAGGCCAAGGCAGGCAGATCATCTGAGGACAGGAGTTCGAGACCACCCTGGCCATCGTGGTGAAACCCCGTCTCTATTAAAAGTACAAAAAAAAAAAAAGCCGGCATGGTGGTGGGCACCTGTAGTCCCAGCCACTCGAAAGCTGAGGCAGGAGAATCGCTTGAACCCAGGAGACGGAGATTGCAGTGAGCCGAGATCACGCCACTGCACTCCAGCCTGAGCAAGAGCAAGACTCCCTCTCAAAAAAAAAAAAAAAGTAAAGAAATAAAACAATGGCTACTCCATAGAGCAGCCCCGAGGGCTGCTGGTTGCTCATTTTTATGGTTATTTATTGATTATATGCTAAAGAAGGGGTGGATTATTCATGCCTCCCCTTTTTAGACCATATAGGGTAACATTCTGGCGTTGCCATGGCATTTGTAAGCTGTCTTGGCGCTGGTGGGAGTGTAGCAGTGAGGACGACCAGAGGTCATTCGCATCACCATCTTGGTTTTGGTGGGTTTTGGCCGCGGCTTCTTTACTGCTTGTGCCGGCCTCTCATCTCATCCTGTGACTTAGAATGCCTCCACCACCTGGGAACACAGCCCAGTAGGTCTCAGCCTCATTTTACCCAGCGCCTACTCAAGATGGAGTTGCTCTGGTTCAAAGGCCTCTAACAGAAGCTAAACACAGGTGGGGGCTTTCAAAGAAGCAGATCCAATGCCCACTGCCCTTCCTCACTCCCCTAATAGATGTAGGGCACCATGGACTTTTACAGACTGAGGGACATACTCTGGATGAGAATAGTTTACCCTATCAAGGAAAAGTAAGTTCCCCAGATGAAACGCCACAGATAACAGGCATATTGTAAGTCAGGCTTTGTACGTTTTCCAAAACTCACTACAGGGATCCCCTTTGAGGTGCAGAATCTTGTATCACAATAATCACGATTCCTTGGCCAAGGCCTTTTGATGTCATGGTCCGTGTTTTTCTCCGGATCGTTGGGCATGCGGAGGCAGAAGGAGAGCCTGGCAGAGTGAATGACAAACGCAAGGGAGGCTGCAGAGGGGAGGGAGTGAGGGCGGCCCAGGGCCCAGCCCGGCGGGAGCCGAGGAAGAGAAGGACCAGCCAGCCAAGGGCGGGCGGCTCCAGAGGAGGCCCGGGACTCCCAAGTTTCCCAGCCTCTTCCACCCCACGCGGATCCCTGCCCCGACGCTGATTCAGGGGGTCAAAGCCTCCGGCGGGGCGGACCGCGGCGGTGACTGGAGGCGCCCCAGTTTCTCTGGGTGTGGCCTGCGGACCCCCTCGGGAGCAGGTCGTCCCGCACCAGTGTCTGCCCCCGGCCCCCAGGGACACCTGCACCCGCCCCACTCACGACGGCGCGTCAGGTCCCCAACCAGGCGTGGGGCGGGGTGGGAAGGTCTCGGTTCGGCCGCCCCGCCTGTGCTGTCCCCACCGCCCCCCGGCCTCGGGCAGCGCGCTCCCGGGTCACCCACCTCCCGCGGGCATGCGCAGGGCGGCCCCTCCGGGCGCTGCGGCCGCGGCCCCGGCCAAGGGGCGGGTCCCGGGTCTGGGAGGAAGAGGCGCGGCTGCTGGCTGACCCGGGAACCAGACCGAGCCGGAGAGCGGGCCCTCCCGTCTCCCACCGGGCAGGAAGGCCTGGCGCTCGCAGGCGACCTTGCGCCAGTGCCCGGGCAGGGATCAGGGGGCTCAGCGCCTTCGCGGGAGGTAGAGAGAGCTGGGGGCATCTGTGTGACCACCCCGCGTAGGTCCGCGCTGAGCCAGGACACAGGACAACTGCCCGCGCCCGGTTAGACAGGCGAAGCCCTGGGAAGCAGTGGGAGAGGGAAAGACTGGGCCGGCGCCGGGCCGCATGCCTGTAACCCCAGCACTTTGGGAGGCCCAGGATGGCGGATCGCTTGAGCACGGGAGTTCGAGACCAGCCTGAGCAACATGGTGCAACCCCGTCCCTACAAAAAACACAAAAAATAGCGGGGCGTGGTGGTGCGGACCTGTGGTTCCAGCTACTTGGGTGGCTGAGGCAGGAGGATCGCTTGAGCCTGGGAGTTCGAGGCTGCAGTGAACCCCAATTGCACCCCTGCACTCCAGCCTGTACGACAAAGCGAGACTCTGTCTCAAAAAAGAAAAAAATAGGGCCGGGAGCGGTGGCTCACGCCTGTCATCCCAGCACTTTGGGAGGCCGAGGCGGGTGGATCACGAGGTCGGGAGATCGATACCATCCTGGGTAACACGGTGAAACCCCGTCTCTACTAAAAATACAAAAAACAAATTAGCCGGGCGTGGTGGCGGGCGTCTGTAGTCCCAGCTACTCGGGAGGCTGAGGCAGGACAATGGCGTGAACCTGGGAGGCGGAGTTTGCAGTGAGCGGAGATCGTGCCACTGCACTCCAGCCTGGGCGACAGAGCGAGACTCCGTCTCAAAAAAAAAAAAAAAAAAAAAAAAAAGAAAAGAAAAGAAAAAAAATAAATAAATGACAGCCAGACTCACTGGGTTTGACTCCCAGCTGTATGATCTTATGCAAGTTACTCAATCTCTCTGCCTTCATTTCTTCCGCTGTAAACTGGGACAGTGATAACCCCTTGTGGGTGATGTCTGAGGAGCTGGGTGAGGGAGCGGGACTGCACAGGCTCTGACTACCATTGGCCCTGGTGCGATGACACTCCGCCGGTGGGGGCAACACACACGCGTCGTCTCCCAGACATTCAGAGCAACTTCTATTAATACCCTGCCTGCCTGGGCCCCAGCCATGAGAACTGCCCCTCACTGAGGCAGAGTCTGGTCTTCCTCTTCTTGGGGAGACCCAGAACTTCCAGAGAGTGTCCTGGACCATGAAGGTGACCAGGAAAGGGAATAGGTGGGTGGAGGCCGCTGCAGTGAAGCCTCAGGCCCCCTCTGGTCTCTCCAGGGTCATCCTGGATCATCTGAATTTCCCTTTGAAATGAGCATGCACAGGTTCAGCTGATTCATAATTTAATACCCTGTGGGGTTCATGCCACAGGGAAGCTCCGCTGCCCCACAGGGTCTGGGCCAGGTGGAAGAGAGCAGCCTTTTTGGACCACTGGCGGTGTCCTCTCCTTTGCCATCTAATTGAAGCCCATCTTCCCAATCAAAAGCAGGCGAAGGGCCCCAGCTTCTTCTAACACTCACTCCCTGGCCCTCACTGGCCTCCCTGCCTCTCTCTGCCCAACTTCTGGCATTGTGCAAGGTCTGAGACCTCTTTGGACATGAGGCATGTGGTCTTAACCTGGCCCTTGTTCCAGACAGGTGGGCGGACAGGTAAGCAGAGCCGGTGCTCCCAGGGCAGGCGAGGGAGCCATGTGGTCAGGCCTCAGGACCCTGGGCCCCACCGGGAGATGTGCTCCTGGGCTGGAAGGAAGCAGAAGAGAGCAGGGCTCGATGGCAGCCCAGGCAGTCCCAAGATGGCAGCCCTGTTGCACTCGGTCTGGAAGTGCCCATGGCCGTGGTCCCTGTGGCGCTCCAGGCCTTCCTAGCAGAGGCTGCTGGGAGCTGGTGCCATGCTAGGTTTCACCTCCGCCTCCACCACAGTTCATGGGGCTCCCGGGAACACCAAGGAACCCAACAGGTTCCCAGGCAGCAGCTTTCATGACAGGAGAGGGTCCTTGGAGAAATCCCCTGCAGAGCTGTAGCTCTAGTCCTTCCTGCGTGGCCTTGCTGTATGAAGCTGGGCCCGTCGTTGCCCCTCTGGGCTCAGGAGCCCACAGGTACAAGGCCATCAACAGGGCATCCTCTATGGCCCCGTGTGCCCAGACCCACTCTGAACCTGCCACCTAGATACCCTTGCAGGCTGGACCGGGTCAGCAGCACCCCCAGGGTCAGAGATCAGAGAAGGGGAGCCTCAGGAAGTCCCTCACCAAACTGGCAGATGTAACGGTTTCGGGTTTTGCAGCGCTGGTTGTTCCAGTTGAAGGCAGCTGAAGCCTGCAGCTCCACGCAGTTGCCAAACCTGCAGGCCATGGTGTGGTGGTCAGGAGGCAAGAGTGAAGTCAGGGATCCGGGAGAGGCCTAAGCCCTCCACCCATCAGGACCCTGCATCTCAGGGGCTCCAGTGCCCCCACCTGCCGACGGGGCTGCCGGGAGCCAGGCCCGTCCCCAAGCCCCCAGCCCTGCTCCACTTCTCAGGGAAGCCCCTTCCTGGGGTAACAGCTCTGCCTACCCCATGGCAGCACTCAGCCACACCAGCCTGTGGGGATGGTGGGGACTGGAATAGACAGCCCACTTGAGAGGTACACCTGGGAACCCAACAAGGCCCAGACTTCCTCCAGGCAAGAGGCCAGGGGCACAGGCCGGCTGTTGGCAAGGAGGGCTGGCTGAAATCGCTGGAGCCCTTGGTGGCCTCGCAGCCGGACCACCTCCACCCTGGCCCTGGGCATTGCTGGGCTTTGAAGAGCAGGGTGGGGCCACGTGACCAGAGGGTTCTTGCTACAGGATGGCTGGTGGGTCTGCAGGTGCAGGGTTGTATTGTGAATGAGTGCAGGTGGGTGACAGCTAAGGAATGCTGGCATCAGTGTAACTGATGCAGGCAGAGGGCATGCAGACGGAGGGGTGAGTGGATGAGAATTGGAGGGATGGAGTCACACCAGGGGACACTGGGGATGGACAGATGGATGGAGGCTTCCTGGGTCCCTCTCTCCCCCACGTGACGTGCCTTCCGGCTTGCATCTCCCTCACCCCACCACCGGCCCACACCAGCTGTGCCCACAACTCTCTGGCACCTGGGCAGGCACCAGGGAAGGATCAGACCCTCAAAGGGCCCAGCCAGGCAGCGGGATGGGGGGCTCCACCAGGCAGGCCCAAGTGAGAAGGAGGCCCAGGGGAGGGAGGCACCCCACACTTACCCGTGGTTGTCAGGCTGCCCAAAGGCAAAACTGGTGAAGGCCTGGTGCTCCCCTGTGGCCCAGCGGAAGGAGTCCTTGGCGGTCTTGTAGGTGAGCCCTGGGCCGGGGTAGTCAAGGTTGGCCCACTCAGACCCTGGAGTCTGCTGCCAGCTGCCTTTCTGGCCCCTCTTCCCAGCGCTGGCAGCCCCCATGTGCTCCCTACCTGGGCCCTTCCCGGGAAAGGGGGTGAGCAGCTGGCCCCGCTCTGGGCTCCAGGCCCTCAACACACCCTTGCCATCTGCTGGCAGCCGCCATGGCCCAGGGTTCCTGCAGCAGGGTGGGGCATCACAACCCCTTACTCGCCATACCCCCAATCAGCTGGGCACTCACCGATCCAGAAGTTCCTGGTCTCGAAGTCACTGTCAATCACCTCGTTGGTGGTCTCCAGGCGGCCCAGATAGAAGGCGAGGATGTCCTGCACTTTCTGGCTCTTGATCTGGGCCAGCACCCCGCCTTTCCTCTGTAACCCCACCCTGGGTCACACAGGCAAGGCTCCCAGAGCCCAGGCTGCCCCTTCCTGCCACCCCTGCCCATGGCCTAAGATGCCACGTGTGTGTGCTGGCCGGGCTATCATCACCCCCAGCCCGCACAGCCTCCCTTCCAAGAGCAGGGGTCCCTTCTGCTCCCGTCTGCTTCTCTTCTCCCTGTGCACGGGGGCGCGACCAGCAGCCCACAAGCCCAGGCAAGGTCTGGCCCCTGAGGAGGTTCTGTTTCACCTGCACAGTGTCTTAAATATATCCAAGTTGATTGCCAACCCCAGTAATTAATTGTGGTTTCGAGAGTTGCCAGTGGAAGTCTGGGTTGCTGGTTTTCTTGAACAACCCCGAGCTCTGGCCACCCTGACCTTGCATTCCTGCAAGGCAACCAGTGGCTGGAACTCCCTTAGATGGAGGTTGGTCTTGACCTTGGCCCCTCAGGTCAATAAGTGACCTCCTGGCTTCTATGAGCCTTGGAGTCCACGACCCCTGCTTTATGCTGATGAATAGGGTGAGGTCAGAGACGTGGAAGGAACCACCTCTCACTCCAGGGTCCCTGCATTAAGACCCTCACTTGAGGCCCTAGGGGGTTCCTAGGAAGCTAGGGGTGACTGTCACCTGACATTTCATCCTGGCTCTGTAATAGGTGTCTGCCTCTGAAGACACCATGAAGCAGTCTCCGTCGATCCTCAGGTCACAGGTGTGGAAGGGAAAATGCACCTTGGCTGGGGTAGGGGAGCCTGAGTTTGTGTGTGGACTTCAGAATCCCTGCCCTTTCCTGCCCTGCCGGGGAGCTAAGCTCAGGGTGCCCCTTCCTCTGGCCACCTGCTCCAAAAGAGTGGGTGGTGAGGGTCAGGAGCGAGCTGGTAAGTTGGAATATTGAGCTTGCTCTCTCTCAAAAGAAAAAAAAAAATCCATGGTTTATAGCATTTGCCAATTTCTTTGGTGTAAATATCCATGCTGTGGCCAGTTTCAAGATCTCAACGTGTTGTCACTGAATGAGTTGGAAAGAGAGGCACACAGCGGGCTCCTGGGAGCTGATGCCCCATTGAAGGGGGGTCTTGAGAGGAGCTGGCTCTTTGGGGGCCCTGGGGCAGGACTCACTGGCACACTGGGCTCCCCCGTAGCCGATGTCACAGACGCACGAGCACTCCTCCTCCCGGAACCGGCCGTGCACACACTGCAGGCTGCACCTCACTGCCAGGGCAGGGCAGTGGGGCAGAGGCTCAGCCCCCAGCCTTCTGGACCCCACGCTGCCCCCCAGAGGCCTCGAACATCCAGGGAATGCCAACCACAGCAAGAATACCCCTCCCATAGACAGAACCCACCAAGGCTTCCGATTGCTGGCACGCCTGGTGTCTTTGGTTTGGTCCCCATTGCAGAGTGAGGCATATTGGAGTTTGGGAGGTGACCTGCCCATGGTCACAGAGTGGGTTAGGGTAGAGGGGCAGTAGGGCAAGAATCCACTTCTGGGTCCTAATTCTGTCCTCCTCCCAGAGCCTAAGGGGCTGAACCTGATTTCACTTTGAATCTCCTGCACAGCTCAGGGTCTGGCAAACAGCTAGTGCTCAGTGAATGCTTGTTGAAAGAATGTATGCAGTGGGCAGACTCAGGGAGTACACAGTCAGCACCTCTGACACCCTTGAGACTCTCAGGAAGTGTAGCAGCCCTAGGACCTGCCACGAGAGCAGGGCTGGGCACACCCAGGCTCCAGTGCCCTCACCTTGGCAGTATCTGCCCGTGTAGCCAGGGGGACAGTGGCAGTGGCAGGTGCTGATGTTGAGACGTCCATGGTTCTGGCAGCTCATGCGACAAGGATTCCTGGGGACCTCTGGTCAGAGGAGGAGGGGACTCTGAGAAAAGGGTCTCCTCCCAGCAGGCCGGGCAGGAGCCTCCCTGGGTGCTAAGGGCCAGGGCTTCTGGGACAGCCCAGTAGGATGCTACCACCCCCACCCCAGGGTCACCAGACTGAGCCCTCATGCACTCACCACAGAGCCCCCCTGCATGGTCCCAGGCTTTGAAGCAGCCTGAGACACTGGCTGTGCAGAGCGAACACCAGGCACCCTTCTTATAGGGGACGATTGTCTTCCCGTTGACCTCCCAGTTGCCTCTGTGAGGACGAGCAGGCACCACAGGGTGTGGGAGGGCCTGGCCTTGGGCAAGGCAGAGGCAGGGCCCTGCTGCCTGCCCCCCTGGCCCCTTCAGCTCCTGCGGCCAGGCCAGGGAGTCAGGGAGCTGGGTGAGATAGGGAGATTCCCTGGGAGAGAAGAGATGGCCTCCAAACCAATCCTGGACAAACTCCCTGATACCAGGACCAGTATCCAGGAAGGGACATCCGCAGAGCAGCACCTTCTGCGTGGCCAGAATCTTTAGCACCCTCTGCCTTTCCTCTCCTCCCCTCTCCCACCAAGGGTGCAGAGCAAGGCATCAGGGACTCTACTTTCGGGTGGATGTGTGGGAATCTCACCCTCGGTGAAAGCACCCCTCCCTGTCTCCCAGACATCCCAGCAGAGGGTGTAGCAGGGCTTACCTGGGGGAGTAGGCACAGACAAAGGCTTCTATCGCTGCCTGGCCTGCAGAGCACAGGTGCCGCCCACAGCCCAGCTGGCTTGAGGTGGCCCACACGAGCTACAGGAGACACAGGGGATCAGAAACCCTATTGTGAACCACCCCTGGGGAGGGGGACACAGCTTTCGCTATCATCCAGGTGAACAGAGGGCTCCCTTACCTCCTCGAGGGCTCAGGAGCAGCAGCTGTCCTGGGCAGGGGTAGAAGCATGGGTGGGAATAGTTCAGGAAGGCTTATTTATTTATTTATTTATTTATTTATTTATTTATTTTTGAGATGGAGTTTTGCTCTTGTTGCCCAGGCTGGAGTGCAATGGCCTGATCTTGGCTCACCACAACCTCTACCTCCTGGGTTCATGTGATTCTCCTGCCTCAGCCTCCCGAGTAGCTAGGATTACAGGCCCGGTTAATTTTTTTGTATTTTTAGTAGCGACAGGGCTTCTCCATGTTGGTCAGGCTGGTCTTGAACTCCCAACCTCAGGTGAACTGCTTGCCTCGGCCTCCCAAAGTGCTGGGATTATAGGTGTGAGCCACCGTGCCCGGCCTAGGAAGGCTTTCTTAGTTGAGAGGGGGATGGAGAGGGGAGGTACCTGAAATGAGGGGAGATTGTTGATGGGTGGAGGGGAGTAGCCAAAAAAAGACTGGAACATCAAGGGCCTTGTGACTGCATGGTGACCACAACCATTCATTTCTTGCACCAGGCCACTCCTTTAAATGTGACTCTGCAGCTTTTTGCAGCAAAGAGAGGTGTCTCTTTCCTTGCTCCTTGAATCTGGCTGGCTCTGTAACTGGTTTGGCCACCAGAATGCCACAGAAGTGATACTGAGCCGATTTTGAACCTAGGCCTTAAGAGACCTTGCCATTTCCACTCATTCTCATAGAACCATGCTCAGTCACCACATGAACAAACTCAGTATAGGAGTTTGGAAGGCCTCATGGAACAGAGATGAACCATTAGAGGCCTTTTTGCACAGCCAGCTCCCAGCCGGCCCCCTAGTTGATTGCAGGTGTATGAGTGGGCCCAGCCAAGACCAGAAAACCTCCCTGCTGAGCCCAACCCAAGTGGCTGACCTGCAGAATCGTAAGCTGCTAAATTTTGGGGTAGTATGTCATGCAATAAAACCTAATGGATACAGGTCTGCAAACCAGTTTAAAGTCTTAGAATCAGCAACAGCTTGGAAATAGCACAAATGGGCAATATATAAGAAGAGTGAAACAAACTCTCCAGTAGAGACTAAAAATGACATGTACAAGACTGGCTTGTAGCAGGCAGATGTGAACATGTGATCATATACATGTATCCAACACTTAAAGAATATGTATCGTTTTTAGGAATGCATGGGACTTTTGCAAACCAGAAAGGAGGACCATACATTAGACCACTAAGCAAGTTTCAACAAATAGCAAAGAATCAGCACATCCTACAGCCCACATTCTATGAATTCAATGCAATGAAATTTAAAGTAAATAATTTACAAGTAAATAGAGAAGATAACATAGTTTAGAAACTTAAAGATACACTTCAAAATCTAAAACAACATCATGGCCAGGTGTGGTGGTTCACATCTGTAATCCCAGCACTTTGGGAGGCTGAGTTGGGTGGATCATGTGAGTTCAGAAGTTCAAGATCAGCCTGGCCAACATGGCAAAACCCCATCTCTATTACAAATACAAAAAATTAGCCAGGCATGGTGGCACACACCTGTAGTCCCAGCTACTCCGGACCTGAGGTGAGAAGATCACCTGAGCCCAGGAAATTGAGGCTGCAGTGAGCTGAGATTGCACCACTGCACTCCAGCCTGGGCGACAGAGCCAGACCATGTCTCAAAACAAACAAAAACAACATCATGATTGGAAATAGAAAAAACATCAAAACTTATTGGATGCAGCTGAAATCGTTTAAAGGGAAATTTATAGCTTTAAATGTATATAGTAGAAACAAAAAATGATTTAAAATTAATGATCTAAACATTCACATCAAGAAAATTAGAAACAATAATAGAGGCTGGGCGTGGTGGCTCAAGCCTGTAATCCCAACAGTTTGGGAGGCCGAGGCAGGTGGATTACCTGACGTCAGGAGTACTAAAAATACAAAAATTAGCCAGGTGTGGTGGCAGGCGCCTGTAATCCCAGCTACTCAGGAGGCTGACGCAGGAGAATCTCTTGAACTGGGGAGGCGGAGGTTGTAGTGAGCTGTGATCGCACCACTGCACTCTGGCCTGGGCAACAGAGCAAGACTCTGAATCGAAAAAACAAAAACAAAAACAAAACAAACAAAAAACAACCACCAACAACAAAACAGAGTTAGGTTTTTCACACCTTTGAGTCTGACAAAACTTAAGGAGCCAAGGCTGGGCACAGTGGCTCACACCTGTAATCCCAGCACTCTGGGAGGCCGAGGCAGGCGGATCATGAGGTCAGGAGATCAAGACCACCCTGGCTAATACGGTGAAACCCTGTCTCTACTAAACAAAATACAAAAAAATAACCGGGTGTGGTGGCGTGTGCCTGCAGTCCCAGCTACTAGGGAGGCTGAGGCAGGAGAATGGTGTGAACCCAGGAGGCGGAGCTTGCAGTGAGCCGAGATCGCGCCACTGCACAGTAGCCTGCGCGACAGAGCAAGACTCCGTCTCAAAAAAAAAAAAAAAAATTAAGGAGCCAGAAGATCTTCGGGAAGTGGGAACTGGTTTGCTGGTCTGCACAGTTGGCGTAAGCACTTTGGCAGCACCTAGTTGTAGGGGCACATGTTCTTCTTTTTACTAAGCCAGGGTTTTACTCCTGCTGCCCAGGCTGGAGTGCAATGGCGCAGTCTCAGCTCACTGCAATCTTCACCTCCCAGGCTCCAGCAATTCTCCTACCTCAGCCTCCCAAGTAGCTGGAACTACAGGCGCACACCATCACACCTGGGTAATTTATGTATTTTTTTGTAGAGGCAGGTTTTTTCCATGTGGCCCAGGCTGGTCTCGAACTCCCGGGCTCAGGCAATCCTGCCACCTTGGCCTCCCAAAGTGCTGGGATTACGGGCGTGAGCCACCGCACCCAGCCTTGTGTAATATTTAAACATGCACAACCCACTTGCACAGGTAGTGGAGGTATTAAATATTTCCTGGGATTTTGCTTGTGTTTTTCAGTGCATCTGAAGAGCACCAGGTGTGTGTAGAAGACCCTCAACAAATATTTGTTGAATGAAGAGAAAAAATGGAAACTTGCTTGGCAGTGATGCTCCTGAACTTTGGGAAGATTCCCTCCAGGGAGGGACAGCGGGAAAAGGGGAGGAGCAGGGCTTTAGTTTAGTAGCATCTTCTAAACCTAGGTAGTGGGTAAGAGTGGGGCCGTTTTAAATTTACGTTTGAGGCTGGGTGCGGTGTCTCACACGTGTAATCCCAGCACTTTGGGAGGCCCACGCAGGTGGATCACTTGAGGTCAGGAGTTTGAGACCCAGCCTGGCCAACATGGTGAAACCCTATCTCTACTAAAAATACAAAAATTAGTGGGGTGTGGTGGCTCGTGCCTGTAGTCCTAGCTACTTGGGAGGCTGAGGCAGGACAGTCACCTGAATCTGGGAGGCAGAGGTTCTAGTGAACCGAGATCAAGCCATTGCACTCCATCCTGGGTGACAGAACAAGACTTCGTCTCAAATAAATAAATAAATACGTTTATGTTTGAAATTATTTATATTTCAGATTGAAAAAAAGTGGCTTAGGCCAGGCATGGTGGCTCACGCCTGTAACCCCAGCACTTTGGGAGGCTGAGGCAGGCAGATCATTTGAGGTCAGGAGTTCGAGACCAGCCTGGCCAACATGGTGAAACCCTGTCTCTACTAAAAATACAAAAAAATGAGCTGGGTGTAGAGGCGCACACCTGTAATCCCAGCTACTTGTGAGGCTGAGGCACAAGAATCGCTTGAATCTAGGAGACGGAGGTTGCAGTAAGCTGAGATCACGCCACTGCACTCCAGCCTGGGGTGACAGACTGAGACCATGTCTCCAAAAAAAGAAAAAATGTGGCGGGGCACAGTGGCTCACGCCTGTAATCCCAGCACTTTGGGAGGCTGAGGTGGGTGGATCACTTGAGGCCAGGAGTTCAAGACCAACCTGGCCAACATGGTAAAACCCTATCTCTACTAAAAGTATAAAGCCATTAGCCAGGCCTGGTGGCACATGCCTGTAGTCCCAGCTAGTCAGGAGGCTGAAGTACAAGAATCACTTGAGTCCAGGAG
Source organism: Homo sapiens (assembly GCF_000001405.40). Taxonomy (NCBI): domain Eukaryota; kingdom Metazoa; phylum Chordata; class Mammalia; order Primates; family Hominidae; genus Homo; species Homo sapiens. Next base: position 70,177,691 of record NC_000016.10, on the reverse strand, counting down.
GCGGAGGTTGCAGTGAGCCGAGATCACGCCACTGCACTCTAGCCTGCGCAACACAGCAAGACTCCGTATCAAAAAAAAAAAAAGTAAAACTAAACCAATTGGAGGAAAAGGAATCCCAACATTTAGGACAAACTGTAGCCTCTTCTGAGATGGACCAGTGGAAGTCTGTATCTGGGAGCTGGCACGCTGGCCTCACCTGCAGCACACTCACCTGCGTGTAGTGGGTGCAGGTGGCGTTGCGAGCACACTCTCCTGCCGCGTGGCTGTACCGCTGCCCCTCTGCAAACCATAGGCTGACCACTTCAACAAAGGACGCCAAGCCCGCGGGCAGCAGCTGCATGTTCCAGCCCACTTGCAGGGTGCGCCACAGGCCGGACGCCAGGCTCGGGGTTGGGATTCCACAGAGGGCTGCCCTGGCTTGAGCCAGTTGGGCCAGGCTGTCACTCCAGTCCTGGGGGCAGCACAAACAGACATCTGTGGGAGGCCTTTGACTGCTGGGCCAGGCCTCAAAGATTCAACTCCCCTGCCATCTCTGAGCATCCACCGGGTGCCAGGTCAGGTGGCAAAGAGAGCACTGGATGAGGAGTCCTGCTGGAGGAAGCACTGGTGTTGTCTGATGTCCCTCCAGGAGGAGCCCAGCTCCTCTCACGACTGAGCCTCCATCTCCAAATCCTGTCGTGGGCATCCTTCGGCCCTGCCCAGGCAGTGGGACCCGCTCCTGCTGTCTTTCTCCCATCTGGTCATGTGAGCAGTGCCCACGCGTTGCAGACTGGTTCTGTGTTTGGGCCCTGGCCATTGTCAGAAAGGCTCCACTGCTCCCACCCGGCCATGCTGCCCTCCTGTGATGCAAAAAGCCCTACAGCCACGCCTCTCTGCCCTAGTCTCCTGCCCCCAGGAGCCTGGCCTCATATGCTCCCCACCACGCACAGCTGACCCCGCCCCCTCCCTCTTCTTTTTTTTTTTGAGACAGAGTCTCACCCTGTCGCCCAGGCTGGAGTGCAGTGGAGAAATCCCGGCTTACTGCAACCTCCGCCTCCCAGGTTCAAGCAATTCTCCTGCCTCAGCCTCCCAAGCAGCTGGGATTACAGCCATGTGACACCACACCTGGCTAATTTTTGTATTTTTAGTAGAGACGGGGTTTCACCATGTTGGCCATTGCTGGTCTCAAACTGCTGACCTTAGGTGATCTGCTTGTGTCAGCCTCCCAGAGTGCTGGGATTACAGGTGTGAGCCACCGTGCCCAGCCCCCTCCCTCTTCTTAAACAAGTGGGCCTGGCAATCACCACCCCTGGGTGACTTGGTGCAGTCCCCTGATCTCCCGAGACTCCCTGAGCTCATCTGTAAACGGAGCAGGGAGGTGCCTGCAGGATAGGACTCACAAGCACTGAGTGGATGCAGGGAGGGGGGCCCCTCGGGGCTGCACCCCAAGCCAACTTCATCCTGCACTAATGTCCATCGGGGTTTTACCTCTGATGAAGGCTGGGGCCAGGAGCTGGGGGCTCCCCGGGGTCCCTCAGCAGCCCTCCACCCCCACAAGACCTTCAGTCTCCACTGTGTCCAAAGAAGGGGTGCCCTGGAGCCCTAGAGGCCCGGAGGGTGCTCGGGGCCGGGCCACGAGGGAGGCTGAGCCATGGAGCTCCATTTGCACCTTTATGGAAATGAAGTTTTCTAAGACTTTGACAAAAGGGCCCTGGAAAGGGTGCCAGCTGCCAGCCAACGACCACCGCAGCCCCTCCTGGGGTCCCAGGCAGGAGTACCCAACCACGGAGGTCACAGCTGGGAGCACCCCTGGTTGCCCAGGGTCTGAGCCTGAGGAGAGGCAGAGCCACTCAGGGCTGGGAATGGGGGAGAAGCGACCCCCCGCATTTAGCCACCCCACCCCCACCTCCTGGGAAACTGACCCTAGAGTGCTCAAGGTCGCCACTGTGGCCACCTGCCTTGGAGGAGTTCATGGGAAGCAGCCATGGGGAACCCTCCCGCCCCCACCACCCTGCCCTGGCTCCCTGGCCTGCTAACATGGGCTGGGGCTGCTGGGGTCCCAGACAATGGAGGGCAGCGTTTCTGAGCCTCCAGATGACAGTCCCAACCCCGCAGCCCCAGCCGGGCTGGTGGGGAACTCTATACCCCCGACCCCCGGCCCCTGCTGAAAATGTGGAAAATGTGGACGAGTGAGTGAGCAGAGAACATGGGCAAGGCCCGTCCTCGTGGCTCAGATAAGCTCAGGAGGAGGCGCTGGGTCCTTGCCGCACAGAAGCCCCTCCCCAGCCCAGCACGACCTTCTCCCTCCCTGGCCCGGCCGCCCATCCTGCAGGGCTCCTCGTGAAGCTCCCCTTCCCTGGAGGAGGGGATCCGGCTCCTCCTGTGGCTCCTGGTCTCTGTGGCAACAAGATGCCAGGGAAGGCCCAAGGTCCTGCCCTTCAGGCGAGTGGGAGCCAAGGGGCCCGACCTCCTGAACTGAGGGTGGGGGGTTAAGAAACTGCAGAGACCCCCAGCAACCAGGGCCTCCGTCCCTCAGGGGCAAGGTGGCTGGCTGTGCCTGCCCACCCTGGTCAAGTGGAAGGGCACCTGGACAGGCGTGGCCTCCTGAGCCGCCCTCTGGGGTCCGCGCCTCCGGCCACCCCCCTGGCAGAGCCCAGCTGGGTCGGGTACTCACCAGCCTCCGCATGTCAGCCGCAGGGGGCTGGACCCAGCTGCGCAGGCGGTTGTGCAGGGAGAGGAGCAAGAAACTCTCCTTCCTGTTCAGGGCTGGGGTGGAGAGAGAAGGTCAGGCAGCCCGAGGATGGGGGGACCTGAACCCAACACACGGCAGAATAAGCATGTGTCCCTGCCCTTGGAAAACAAGATGGGAGAGGAGTGTGGTGGGTGCAGGGGACGTGGGGCATAGCAATGGAGCGAGGCTGAGAGAGAGACCAGGTACAGCAGGCGTGGGCTGAGTGCTGGGGTTGGGGTGGCGGGAGGGAACAGCGGTGCGGGCTGGGTGTAGGGGCCAGCCCTGGCTCCCGCAGGCCCCTGTCTGGGGCTCCTCCGGGCCACGGATTTCTCCAGGCCCCAGCCACAGCGCTCCTCGGCGTTCCTCCTTGACCCCAGCCCTGGTCCTCCTTCCTCCTCCTTCCTCCCCAGTCCAGCATCCACCCCTCACCGCCCCCGGGCTGTCCCAGGGCTTCCTCATTAAACCACCCGCACGGCCTGGGGCTCAGGCCTGGGACCGGGCTTCCAGAAGTCTCCTAGCACCCACTCCTCAGAGCTCATAATGGTGCCTCCACCTACCTCCTCACCAGGTGTCCCTTACCTCCGGCCATCGGAGCCTGCTCCTGCAGCTGGGGTGGCCACACCTCTGCCCAGGCGGTGCCAAGGAGGGCCAGGAGCACAGCCAGGAGATGCCCCCGGCCAGGGGAGGTCTCTGGATGCAGCATGGGTCTGTTGGGCCCGTCAGGCACTCCGTGCACAGCCTGGCTCAGCCACCCGGCTTGTTTCTCAGGCTGGATGGAGCTATTCACAATCTCCAGGAGTCAGGCTGGGCTGGTGGACAAAAGAGGGAGGCTGGTGAGTGAGTAATCAGTGTGTCCAGACAGCCTCCTGTTGGCGCTGGCATGAAAAGAGACAACTCCGGGGGATGCCTGCCTGCTCCGGCCTCGGCCTGGCCAGCCCGCCCCCGACAGCAGGCAGAGTGGCGTGCACTGACCCGCGGCCCCTGCTAATCATTGTGGGATTATTAGCACCCTTGGGGAGCCCCCAGAGACCCCGCTGATTGGCCTGCGGACATTCCAGTGCTGCAGATTAGTGACCGATGGCCGTGTCCTGGCTGGGACAGTGTCCTCCGAGCCCACTGATGGCTTCCGCTCCCCAGCCCCGGGCCCTGGGAGGAGGACCTCGGCTATGGTCCTTCTGGTGAGCAGAAACTGGGCAAGACCCCAGGGGAGTTCTTTCCTTTCTTGGGAAGCTCGTCCCAACCCCCCAGCCATGAATTAAACATAGGCAAGAGGTAACCGCACACCAGAGGGGTGCAATCTGTGGGCTCAAAGGGGGGTGGGCTGAGGCCGCACCTGCACGAGGAAAAGGGTGCCTTAGGAAAGTCTGTCTGGGCAGGGTCGGGGGCTGGGCCCAGCCCCGGTGCCCACCACCCTCACCAACGTGACTACAGGCCAGGGGGGGAGTGAGGCAGGAGGAGTCAAAGCAGGCGGGGACCAGAGCACGTGATGCCCTGGGCTGACTCCAGTCCTGCTGGGATCACGTCCGCCTCTAGAAAAACAGGTGGCGTAGCAGGTGGGCAGCACGTTGCCATGATGTGCCGTGGCCCGGCCGTGGCTGGCGTGATCCCACCAGAGTGAGCTGGAGCAGATCTGCACCATGGGCCAAGTTTCTCAGAAAATACATAGCTTCCTGTGGGCTGCAGCCTAATGCCCACGTTCCTCTCGGGGAAGACCAAAGGTTATTCAACCAGGGCAAAGGACAGCCTTGCAAACCAACTACGTCCTCCTTCTGGAGTTTGTGTGACCCCTGGCCCCTGAGCCCACACCCTCTCGGAGCGGGGTTCCAACTCCGTGGAAGCTCTGCTGAGATGCAGGTAGGGTTGGCTTTCCTGGGGAAACACCAGTGGAATGTGGCTATCGTCATGGGTGCCAGGGATGGGGATGAGGCCAGGCATACAGGCCATGAAGGCGGTCTGGAACTGCATGTCCCCCACAATACCTAGGGGCTCAGGAGTTTCTTCTCCCTCAAACAGAAACCCAGCACCCTCAGGGTCACTGCGTGTGGGTCCTAGCAATGCTTAATAGCTACCTGTTTTTTGATGTATTTTTATTTTTATTTTTTAGACAGTTTCACTCTGCCACTCAGGTTGGAGTGTTATAATCTCAGCTCACTGCAGCCTTGACCTCTTGGGCCCAAGTGATCCTCCCACCTCAGCCTCCCAAGGAGCTGGGACCAGGTGTGTGCCACCATGCCTGGCTAATTATTATTATTTTTTTTGGTAGAGACAGGATTTCATCGTCTTGCCCAGGCTGGTCTCCAACTCCTGGGCTCAAGGGATCTTCCCACCTTGGCCTCCCAAAGTGCTGGGGTTGCAGGCATGAGCCACCACACCTGGCCGAGCCACCTGTGTTTATGGAGCTCACAAAGCCTGTTTGCATGTGTGAGTTCAAGTTATTGCCACAAGAACCTGGTGCAGTAGCAGATGGGATGCCCGTCGTGTAGATGAGGAAACGGGCTTAGTGTGTCTAAGGGGCTTGTCCAAGGTCACTCAGCGAGTGCATGGAGCATCCCAGCTAATCCAAGGTCTCTGCCTTCCCATTCCCAACGCTTTAATTCACATCCTGATCTTTCCCAGTGCAGTTTCCACAGCTCTGCTATGCCGGGTGATAAAAGACCCACTTCCTACAATTGGGCTTCCATGGCAAACATGGCCAGTTGACCCATATAGTATGATGCCAGGCACTTGGGACAGGCGGGAGAAAAAGATATTTTGGGGATTAGGGTGGAGCAACTTTTGAAGGGTCCCATGGCCCTGGCTCACTGCAAGAAGAGTCCCAGGCCGGGTGTGATGGCTCACGCCTGTAATCCCAGAACTTTGGGAGGCCAAGGCAGGCGGATCACTTGAGGTCAGGAGCTCGAGACCAGCCTGGCCAACATGGTGAAATCCTGTCTCTACTAAAAATACAAAAATTATCTGGGCAGGGTGGTGGGTGCCTGTAGTCCCAGCTACTCGGTAGGCTGAGGCAGGAGAATTGCTTGAATCTGGGAGGCGGAGGTTGCAGTGAAGCAAGATGGCACCACTGCACTCCATCCTGGGCAACAGAGCGAGACTCTGTCCCACCCCCGACCCCTCAAAAAAAAAAAAAAGAGTCCCAGGAGAGCAAGGTTCATGGGCCAGAAGAGAAGCTGAGTGGATAAAAGATTAATGAGACACTGGAAGACCTAGGCTGGAACCGACACGCTGTGTGACCCTGAGGATGGCACTCCCACTCCTGAAACTCAGTATCCAATGGCGTAGAGCTGGGATGACCCCTCTGCTGGGCCCCTAACCAGGGCATTGCAACTTGGTTTCCATGGTACTCCCTCCTGGGTTCAGACTTTTTAGTGGAGCCTGCTCGGTGGCTGGGGTGGGTTTGGAGAATGGGCAGCCTCATTGTTGCAAGGCAGCTTTCCCCAGGTGAGGCTACTACAGGGTTTACATCCACCACCCAGATTGTAGGATTCACATTTTGCTATATTTTCTTTATCACCTGTGTCTCTATCTATCCCACCCCTCTCCAGCTCATGCATAGCTGATACCTCTTCTCCCAGTCTACATTTGAAGGTTATAGCGTTTGAGTCATTTTATCTCTTCCTGAAGCAGCTCCTTTCTTTAAAGCCTTGAAATCTTGTTGATGGTCTCAAAAAACAAACAAACAAACAAACAAAAAAAACATTTAACTCTAGGAGAGTTGTGGCCACATTTTCTTTTAAAAATTACATGTCCAGGCCAGGCGTAGTAGCTCACTCACACCTATAATCCCAGCACTTTGGGAGGCCAAGCTGGGTGGACTGCTTGATCTCAGGAGTTTGAGACCTGCCTGGGCAGCATGGTGAAACCCCGTCTCTAAAAAAAATACAAAAAATTAGCTGGGCGTGGTAGCACGTGTCCATAGTCCCACCTACCTGGGAGGCTGAGGTGGGAGGATAGCCTGAGCCAGGGAGGTCAAGGCTGCAGTGAGCTGTAATCGTGCCACTACACACCAGCCTGGGTAACAGACCAAGATTCTGTCTCAAGAAAAAAAAAAAAATTAGGCCAGGTGCAGTGGCTCATGCCTGTAGTACCAGCACTTTGGGAGGCTGAGGTGGGCGGATCACCTGAGGTCAGGAGTTTGAGACCAGCCTGGCCAACATGGCAAAATCCCGTCTCTACTAAAAATACAAAAATTAGCTGGGTATGGTGGCACACACCTGTAATCCCAGCTACTTGGGAGGCTGAGGCATGAGAATCACTTGAGCCCAGGAGACAGAGGTTGCAGTGAGCTGAGATCACACCACTGCACTCCAGGCTGGGCAACAGAATGAGACTCTGTCTAAAAAAAAATCATGTCTATTTGATTTTTAAATTTTTCTTGAGACGAAGTCTGGCTCTGTTGCCCAGCTGGAATGCAGTGGCACAATTTTGGTTCACTGTGACCTCTGCTCCTGGGGCTTTGACCTCCACATCCCAGGCTCAAGCCATCCTCCTACCTCAAGCTCCTGAGTAGCTGGACTGTGGGTGTGCGCCACCATGCCAGGTAATTTTTGTATTTTTAGTAGAGATGGGCCTTCCCCATGTTGCCCAGGCTGGTCTCAAAGCTCAAGTCATCTGCTGGGATTATAGGCGTGAGCCACCACAACCAGCCCCAAATTAGTATGTTGAAGTCCTACCTCCATTACCTCCGTGTCACTGTATTTAGAGATAGGGTCTTTAAAGAGGTAATTAAAGTTAAATGAGGTCACTGGGGTGGGTCCTGATCCAGTCTGACTGGCCTCATTATAAGAAGAGACACACAGAGGGAAGATCCTGTGAAGACATAGGGAGAAGGCGGCTGTAGACAAGCCAAGGAGAGAGGTCCTCAGAGGGAACCAACCCCCCGGCACCTTGATCCTGGCCTTTATGCCTCCAGAACTCTGAGAAAATACATTCTGTTTTTTAAGCCACCCAGTGTGTGGTACCTTGTATGGCAGTCCTAGCAAACGAATACAGCCCTTACGCAAAACGTACAGCTAATATCACACTTAACAGTGAGACCAAAGACTTTCCTCCCTAAGATCAAAACAAGGCAAGGATGTCTTTTCTCACCGGTCCCACTAAACATTGTACTATTGAATGCGCAATTTGTGCAATAAGTTAAGAAAAAGACATTAAAGGCATCCACACTGAAAAGAAAGAAGTAAAACTATCTTCATTTGCAGATGACATAATTCTACTGTAGAAAATCCAAAGGAATGTATAAAAAAAAAAAAACCCTACTAGAATAAAGGTCTCAGAATACAAAATTAACATACCAAAATCCACTGCATTTCTACACATTGGCAATAAACAATCTGAAAATGAAATTGAGGAAACAGTTCCACACATGGCCAGGCACAGTGGCTGACATCTGTAATCCCAGCACTTTCCGAGACCGAGGCAGATGGATTGCTTGAGGTCAGGAGTTCAAGACCAGCCTGGCCAACATGGTGAAACCTCATCTCTACTAAAAATACAAAAAATTAGCCAGGCGTGGTGGTGGGCAACTGTAATCCCAGCTACTCTACTCAGGAGGCTGAGGCAGGAGAATTGCTTGAACCCGGGAGGCGGAGGTTACAGTGAGCCGAGATTGAGCCACTGCACTCCAGACTAGGCGACAGAGTGACTCATTCTCAAAAAAAAAAAAAAAAAAAAGAAAATCCATACACATAAAACTGTAAAACAACATTGCTGAGAGAAACTAAAGATCTAAAAAAATGCATAGACATTTCACCTTCATGGAATAGAAGACTCAATATTGTTTTATTGTTTGTTTTTTGAGACTGAGTCTTGCTCTGTCGTCCAGGCTGGAGTGCAGTGGCGTGATCTCTTCCTACTGCAACCTCCGCCTCCTGGGTTCAAGTGATTCTCCTGCCTCAGCCTCCCATGTAGCTGAGATTACAAGCACCTGCCACCATGTCCAGCTAATTTCTTTTTTTTTCTTTTCTTTTTTTTTTTTTTTTTTTGAGACAGAGTCTCACTCTGTCACTGAGGCTGGAGTTCAGTGGCGCGATCTGGGCTCACTGCAACTTCCACCCCTTCGGTTTAAGTGATTCTCCTGCCTCAGCCTCCCAAGTAGCTTGGATCACAGGCGCCCGCCACCACACCCGGCTAATTTTTGTATTTTTAGTAGAGACATGGTTTCACCATGTTGGCCAGGCAGGTCTTGAACTCCTGACCTCAAGTGAGCCACCCACCTTGGCCTCCCAAAGTGCTGAAATTACAGGCATGAGCCACTGCACCTGGCCAGTTTTTGTATTTTTAGTAGAGACAGATTTCACCATGTTGGCCAGGGGAAGACTCAATATTGTTAAGATAGATGGTAATTCTCCCCAAATTTGTCTATTAATTCAATGCAATGCCCATCAAACTTCCAAAAGATTTTTGTTGTTGTTGTATTTTAAAGCAATTGAGAGGCCAGGTTTGGTGGCATGTGCCTGTAATCCCAGCTATTTGGGAGACTGAGGCAAGAGGATCCCTTGAGCCCTGGAGTTTGAGACCAGCCTGGGCAATATAGCAAGATCCATCTCAAAAAAAATTTGAAAACTGGATCTTAAAATTTGCATGGAAACGCAAAGGAATTAGAATAACCAAAACACATTTGAAAAAGAATAAAACTGGAGAATGTATACTACCTGATTTCAAAACTTGCTATGAAACTTCTAGTAATCACATCTATAAGATATGGAAAAAGGACAAGACATATAGATCAAGGAACAGAATGAACAATACAGGAAAAAACTCTTACATTTATGGCCAATTTATTTTGTTTTATTTGAGGGTCTCACTTTGTCACCCAGGCTGGAGTGCAGTGGTACCATAATTGCTGAGTAGCCTCGAATTCCTGGGCTCAAGCCATCCTCATGCCTCAGCCTCCTGAGCAGGTAGGACGATAGGCACGTGCCACCATACCCAGCTACTTTTTTTTTTTTTCCAGACAGGGTCTCACTCTGTCACCCAGGCTGGAGTACAGTGGTGTGCTCACGGCTCCGGGGTTCAGGTGATCCTCCCACCTCAGCGTCCCAGGTAGTTGGGACTATGGGCATGCACCACCATGCCCGGCTAATTTTTTGTATTTTTGGTAGAGACGGGGTCTTGCCATGTTGTCTAGGCTGGTCTAAAACTCCTGGGCTCAAGCGATCCTCCTGCCTTGGCCTCCCAAAGCGCTGGCATTACAGTTGTGAGCCACCGCGCCCGGCTCCGCCTCCCGGGTTTACACCATTCTCCTGCCTCAGCTTCCCGAGTAGCCGGGACTACAGGCGCCCACCACCACACCAGGCTAATTTTTTGTATCTTTAGTAGAGAAGGGGTTTCACTGTGTGAGCCAGGATGGTCTTGATCTGACCTTGTGATCCACCTGCCTTGGCCTCCCAAAGTGCTGGGATTACAATCATGAGCCACCGTGCCTGGCCCTTCTTTTTCTTTTTTTTTAGATAGGGGTCTCACTATGTTGCCCAGGCTGGAGTGCAGTGGCTATTCATAGGTGCAATCATAGTGCACTGCAATCTCCAACTCCTGGTCAGCCGCTACTTCTTAAAATGTTTCTCTGTCTGGTTCATGTTTCAAAGTCTGGTTCATGACTCTGCTACACTTCAGTTTCAAAAGCTGGTAGCAAAGGAAAGAACATGCCAAGAGCTGAGGTTCTGCTGTGATGAGACCACCCAAGCTCCCCGTATCTATACCAAGGGATCTGTTGCCCAGGCTGGAGTGCAGTGGTGTGGCCTTGGCTCACTGCAACCTCTGCCTCCCGGGTTCAAGAGATTCTCCTCCTTCAGCCTCTCAAGTAGCTGGGATTATAGATATGCACTACCACACCCGGCTAATTTTTGTATTTTTAGTAGAGATGGCGTTTCACCATGTTGGCCAGACTGGTTTTGAACTCCTGACCTCAAGTGATCTGCCCGCCTTGGCCTTCCAAAGTGCTGGGATTACAGGCATTAGCCACCGCACCCGGCCCGGATGTCTTACTTAGCTCTTCAAGGCTTACGGAAGTTGGTACCTTGTGGAACTAGGCTGGGGAGGTCTGGATGCCAGATGTTCTTCTGAGGTTGCTGTTCTTATAATTGCTGTATTCAAATATATCACCCAGTTGAGATGAAATGCCTAGAGCACAGCTGCGGAGTGGGACCAGCTGGGCTGAGGAGGGAATGAAGTACAAACATCCAGCGATGTTCAGGGCCCTGAAGCAGCTGGGAAGCGCAGGCGTTCAAATCACCAGAGGCATGGCTATATCAGCTCACATATCATGCACACAGATGCATGTCCTAGGCGTGGAAACAAAGCTCCCCAGACCATGGTTAACTCACCGCATGCACCTGGAGTTCCATCTGCACCAAGGCGCCAGTGGTTACTTTTAGAAATAAACAAGTCACAATGAACACAGTTAAAAGATGTCAGCACTAGTGGCACTTGGGGACTCCAGCCCAGCTCCTGTCACAAGCAACTGGCCACCAGGTCCGGACCCACATCCTTTGCTCTTGGCCTACTGAGGTCATTCAGTTTTGCTCATCTCCCACAACCTGGAAACCCAAGGGGGCAGGCTGTGCAGCTCATCCTGGAAGAATAATAGAAGAGCAGCTGTCGTGCATGGAAAGATCGTGCAATGGGTCAAGTATTTAATTAATTATTTTTTGAGACAGGGCCTTGATCTGTCACCCAGGCTGGAGTGCAGTGGCGCGATCAGGGCTCATTGCAGTCTTGAACTTCTGGGCTGAAGCGATCCTTTCACCTCAGCCTCCCGGGTAACTGGAACTATAGGCACGTACCACTCTACCTGGCTAATTTTTTTATTTTTGGTAGAGACGGGGTCTCCCTAAGTTGCCCAGGCTTGTCTTGAACTCCTGGGCTCAAGCGATCCTCCTGCCTCAGCCTCCCAAAGTGCTGGGATTACAGGCGTGAGCCACTGCGCCCGACCTGTTAATTTATTTTTTGAGACAGGGCCTTGATCTGTCACCCAGGCTGGAGTGCGGTGGCATGATCACGGCTCATTGCAGTCTTGAACTTCTGGGCTGAAGCGATCCTTTCACCTCTGCCTCCCGGGTAGCTAGTACTACAGGCACACACCACTATACCTGGCTAATTTTTTTATTTTTGGTAGAGACGGGGTCTCCCTAAGTTGCCCAGGCTGGTCTTGAACTCCTGGGCTCAAGAGATCCTCCCACCTTGGCCTCCCAGTGTTGGGATTACAGGCGTGAACCACCATGCCAGTCTGGGTCGAGTATTTTATATTCATTAGTTGAGTTTCATAACAACCCTATAAAGTAGGCATCACTGTCCATTTTAAAACAAGTAAACAGAGGCCTAGGAAAAGTAACCACCCAAGGTCCTATACACCAAGGAAGAGGCAATGCTGGCATTCAGACCCAGGCCAGTAAACCCAAAGCCCCATGCCCTTGACCCACCACAACAATCTGGGATTCTGAGCTGCTTGAGTCAGGTGACACCCCAGATCTAAGCATCTGAAGGTCCCTAACTGTGGAGCCTTTCATGAGAACAAGCCACTGGAGGGTAAGCACACGTCGCTCTTCTCAGGGGAGGGTGTACTAAAGGAGCCTCATCTCACTCCCCCTGTGCCATGAAGGCCACACCAGGTGAGCACCCTTGGGAGGGAGACGCATAGCCTGACTGGGGTGCTAATGGGTCCCGGCACTGGGTTCTCCACATGAACAGTTGTGTGAATCCAGGAGGCTCAGATCACGTGCCACAGCGCCACCTACTGGCCTGCGAACAACAACATCGTCCTGTTGTAAAGTCGGCAAACAATCATTTAAAAATTTTCAGGCCGGGCGCGGTGGCTCACGCCTGTAATCCCAGCACTTTGGGAGGCTGAGGTGGGCAGATCATAAGGTCAGGAGATCGAGACCATGCTGGTCAACATGGTGAAACCCGGTATCTACTAAAAATACAAAAAATTAGCTGGGCGTGGTGGCGTGTGCCTGTAATCCCAGCTACTCGGGAGGCTGAGGTGGGAGAATCCCTTGAACCAGGGAGTCAGAGGTTGCAGTGAGCCGAGATCACGCCACTACACTCCAGCCTGGCGACAAAGCAAGACTCTATCTCAACAAGAAAAAAAAATCAAACATTTAAAATCCTTAAATCTTTTTTTCTTTTTGAGACAGAGTTTCGCTCTTGTTGCCCAGGCTGGAGTGCAATGGCGTGATCTCGGCTCACTGCAACCTCCACCTCCTGAGTTCAAGCGATTGTCCTGCCTCAGCCTCCCGCGAAGCTGGGATTATAGGCATGCGCTACCACGCCTAATTTTGTATTTTTAGTAGAGACAAGGTTTCTCCATGTTGGTCAGGCTGGTCTCGAATTCCCAACCTCAGGTGATCCGCCCGCCTCGGCATTCCAAAGTGCTGGGATTACAGGTGTGAGCCACCGCACCTGGCCTAAAATCCTTAAATCTTAAAAGACATTTTAAAGATTTTGCCCTCCACTTTTTGCCCATTCATTTAATCATCTGTTAAACACCAAACACCATGTGAGGTGTTGGAGTTTGGGAGAATTCGAGTCTTTCTCCGAGGGACTTACAGAAGGAGCAGGGCAGATAACCAAATAAAGACACATCAGAAACGGGTGTGTGAGGACCCCAAAGGGGCCATTCTCTTGGGGAAGGAAAGGCTCCACTGTGGGATGATGGTGGTCTTGGGCAGAGCTTTTGAAAGACAGGAGGGGCCAGGCACTGTGGCTCACACCTGTAATCCCAGCACTTTGGGAGGCTGAGGTGGGTTGATCACCTGAGGTCAGGAGTTCGAGACCAGCCTGACCAATGACCACCATAGTGAAACCTCGTCTCTACTAAAAATACAAAATTAGCCAGGCATGGTGGCGCATGCCTGTTATCCCAGCTACTCAGGAGGCTGAGGCAGAATTGCTTGAACCTGGGAGGCGGAGGTTGTGGTGAGCCGAGATCTCGCCACTGCACTCCAGCAGCCTAAGCAAGAAGAACAAAACTCCGTCTCAATCAATCAATCAAATGAAAGACAGGAGGTCTCTGTCAGGACAACTTGGGGGAGTGGGGGTCCATGTGATCCTCAATTTGCGACTTTCCACAAGCACAGGGGAGGGCTGCCAGGAGGCATTTTAGTGAGCAAATATGGGAGTGGGAGACCTCTCAGTGTGACTGGAAAGCAGGATTCGAGGTGAGATCCAGCTGTGGATGGCGAGCACGCACTCGGCTGCAGGACCCACATCACACGCAGCGCAGGCCGGAGCCCTGGGGCAGCGTGGCCTGCCACACCCTGGAGACCCTGGCTGGCCAGGCTAAGGACTGAGAGCTTTGTCTCACGACAAAGGGGAGTCCCTTGAGGGTTTCAAGGCAGTGAGTAAATTGACCTCCCCTGTTTTACAAAGACAACCCTGCAGAGGGAGGGGGGATGACATGAGAAGCAGGAAAATCAGTAAGAGATTGTTCTCGAAGTCAGGGCTGACAACCCTCTCTGCCACAGCAGCAGTGGTGGGGACAGTGAGGTCCGAACAGAGGAGAGGCACTGAGGAGACAGCCCTGTGAGGCTGGGTAATGAGCGGGAGGTGTAGGGAGAGGCGAGTGGGGAGACCAGGTGAGTCCCAGGTTTCTGGCGTGGTTGACTATTCCTGGAACTGGAATAGAAGGGGCTGATTTAGAAGACAAGATGAAGAGATTGTTGTAAACATGTTAACCTATGAGATTCTCAAAAGTACAAATACTTAAAAAAAAAAAAACTACTCAAAAATTACTTTGGGCCAGGCACAGTGGCTCACGCCTGTAATCCCAGCACTTTGGGAGGCCAAGGTGGGTGGATCACTTGAGGTTGGGGGTTTGAGACCAGCCTGGCCAACCTGGCGAAACCCCGTCTCTACGAAAATACAAAAATTAGCTGGGCATGGTGGCGCGTGCCTGTAATCCCAGCTACTCTGGAGGCTAAGGCAGGAAATCACTTGAACCTGGGAGTGGAGGTTGCAGTAAGCCAAGATCACACCACTGTACTCCAGCCTGGGCAAAAGAGCAAGACTCTGCCTCAAAAAAAAAAATTAGTGAACAGGTCAAGTCCAGGGACCAACTTGTGGATGGAAGCTGGTGTAGAAAAAGAGCACTGGTTGTTTCTCTCAGGGTTGTTTCCACAGGGTGAGAACACGACCCCCCTTGCTTTCCACACAAACCTGAGTGCACACGTGCCCGTGTGGAACATCAGGTGGCAGGTTCCTCCTGAGGTCAGCTGTAGGCAGAAGGCCGGTCGGAATTTCAGGAGGCGGGAAGCTTTTACCCCCAGCCACTCCAGCGCTGCAGGGAGGGTAAGATAAACACCTACATCTTCTCTACCCCCGTCCCCAAATCCTCCCTCACACTGGTACACACAGGGAGGTACACACTCTCCTCTGCACGCTGTTTATGCTTTGTGGTGGCAAACACATTTAAGTCACTACAGATGAAGAACATTTCACAAGCAGCCGTGCAAGAGTAGTTAAAATGTGTTTATTCATTTACAAACCCAGTAACATGAGAAGAAACTCAGTGGAAACCTTGCTTGGTGGAGACAGTGCACAGTGTTAGTGCCACATTCACAGGGGCAGAAATGCTCGGTCACCCTGTGCACCCAAAGTCACCCAGGATCTCTAGAAAAGATCCCACTTACTGAAGTGCCTCGGATGTCTTCAGGGCCAGATTGTAACTACACAGGAACAGGGAAGGGCTAAGCTGAACTGCAAATTGACAAACACAAACGATGAGTCACAGGACTCTACAGTAGTTACAATGGCATTTTTATATGTCCCAAGTGTTGACTGGAGAGTAAAGTGTTAACTGAGCTGCTAGAACACCCTTCACTGAAAGAGCTTTCTACCCCACGCCCATTGTTCCGAAGAAGGAGAGGCTATGTGGGGCGGATGGGAACCCACACACCGAGATGAACTTTTCTCTTTCTTCCAATCTGCACCCACCATCTGACATTCTGGAGTGTAAGGCACTAGAACCTGGCTTAGAGAATAGTGGGGCTCTAAGCTCCAGTTCTTGGTGTGCAAAGGAAATTCTGACATACATCTTTTGAAAGAGATGCTAAAAAACCCTCCCTATCTCCTGTAATTTCTGTCTTTGACAGACAGGAAAATAAGAAGGCAGAAGATGGTCTGCAAAGGATAAAAACAGGTGCATCTAAGAATGAGAAAAATGGCTCATGAAGAAATGTGTAACTCTCCAAGAGATGCAGACACTCTGCTCAGAGAAGTCAAGAACCATAAACAACTCTTCATGTTTCATGGACAAAGGGAAGGCAAAGGCATACAAAAATACTCAGTTGTCTTGAAAAGTGTACTGGTAGTGATCAGGGCTACAAAGGCGAGCCCTGTACTGACAATGGAGGAGCCTTACAACTCAGCACCTTAAATTGTTGGCCTGAAGTGGTGGCGGGGAGGGAGGCGCTGACGGAGAGACCCATGGCTCACCACTTATTGCGTGTACACAAGGCCTGGGGCAAGCCTCACAAGTCTACCATTTCTTCCACTCAACTGTGCTTCTCCTGAATCCATGTGCCTGAAATGACATATGCAAGGTGAACATTCTTTATACTGTGTTAATACTGCTTATATCAATGTTCGTGAGGGGTGTGTGGGGGATGGGGTGCAGCAGGAAAATTAGAATGGCAGGAGGTTCTTATTTATTATTAAGCACTGTTGACCAAACCTCTATCTTAGATTTTTTTTTTTTTTTTTTTGAGACAAGAGTCTCACTCTGTTACCCAGGCTGGAGTGCAGTGGTGCAATCTCAGCTCACTGCAACCTCTGCCTCCTGGGTTCAAGCAATTCTCCCACCTCACTGGGCCTCCCAAAGTGCTGGGATTACAGGAGTAAGCGACCACGCCCGGCCAACCAAACCTCTATCTTAGATGTTAAAGAAGACCCTTATTGACTACACTGGCCAAGAAGCAACAGAGATATAAAGCTGAATCTTGTAGCTAACCCCTGAAAGCAAGCCAACGCAAATTCCTCCGCCAGGCCAGTCTTCTAGTGCCAATATGGAGACTGTGGGCCACAGAAGATTCCCTTCTATTTCAGGTTCTCAAAAAGTGGTGTAGACTCAGGCAAATGCCAGGAAATGTGTCCATATGCCAGAGGAGACACAGAGCCAGAAATGAAGGCTATGGGTCCTGTCTTCAGTGAAACACTGAACGCTCTCGGAAAGCTCCCATCATTCTTGCATCGCTACTGCCACCAAGACGGTGGCAAGGGAGGAGGCTAACTTTCAAATGCATGCAACGGCAGGTAATATACTGTGGAAGCTGGAGGTTTACTTTTCATGTTTTAGTTACTTTCTTGCAAACAGCAGTCCAGGAAAGCAAGCAAGCAGGTAAAACTCCGGGTGTGCATGAGGAGATGATCCAAGGCCAGTGGGCCTCCCAGTGAGAACCAAACAGGAGTGGCCAGGCTCCACTCCTGGGGCCAGAGTGAAACCGGGGTTTAATCACTGGGCTATGTGGTCTCTGTGTCTCTGGCCTGAATGAGATCTCTTCAATGTCGGGGGACAGGGATCCCTGGAAGAGCGTGAAAAATACAGTGGTCACTGTGCAGTTCTCTCTGCTGGAGCCTGTCCTGCCATCATACAAGGTGCTGTGACAGCAATGCAAGGTGAAAGGAGATCAAATGGCCCAGCTCAGCAGTTAGTGTTTGTCCCTTTTTGCTCTTCAGAGTTCCTGAATGAGAGCTTTTCTGGCTTCAGTACCAATGATCACAGAAGGAACATCTTCCTGATGCAAGCTTAGATGGAAGTCAATGACCCTGGCAGTGCTAAGAACAGAAGTCACACGTGGCCTGACGATGAAGGGGAGGTAATTAAAGACATTTCAAGGGAGGGGAAGGCCCACGGAAAACTGGCAACCCTGGGTCTCCGTTTGAGGCCAATATACTTTGTGTTCCTAGGTTCAGATGGCATACACCGACAAGAGAAGGCAGAGACCATCCTTCGTGGTGAGCACAAAATGCTATGACAGGTAATTGCAGAGAGAAAAAAGCACCCAACTCTGTAAAGCCAAGTCCAGTCACCCATTCACAAGAGTCCAAAATCCTTCAAATCTCTAGGGACAGAAGACAAACGTGCTGCCCAGAATGAGCTGAGACACAAGGCAAACCCTTGGAAATGACACATGGATGAGGAGGCTGTGGTTGTCCCTCCTTATTCCTGCTGGATTTGCAGCCACGGCTCTGGATCTGGGGCATCTACTGGCCTCCCCTGTTCACTCAAGAGGCCACTGCCTCTCAGGAGTCCAGAATGCTCTGATATCTGACACCGGTGGTCAGGAAGTTATGCTGCCCTCTCCTCTTGAACAGCTAAGATGCTTGGACACTAGACAGAGGCAAAGCAGTTATGCCAGAAGCAGGGGAGAGTCATTCACTGTCAGATCTGTCTGTTCAAAGAGCTCACATTAGACCAATCACAGAAAACCACCAGACTCACACAGCTTGTATTTGAATGAACCAGGAGAGACTTCAAGGATCAACTCTAAAGTGCTAGAAGAGAAATCTGTGTTTGGGGCACTGAATAAACAAGTGATGTCCTAGAAGATCAACACCCCATCAGTCTTAGGAGTATGACCCTATTCATGGACAAGGGGTTTCAATGGACAGCCTGAGTGCTCAGCCCCCCATCCTCCTCTCCTAGCAAGACAAGCAGTCTGTTGCTCAGAGGGGGAAACTGATGTCATTTAACAGGAGGTCAGGATTTCTGGTTCTACTTCAACAAACAGTGCATAATTTTGGACACAGCATCAGATTTCCTGACTTCTTACAAAGGACAGCTAATTAAAAACGTGTCAATCTGTAGTAATTAGTTGGAGATTAACAAGGGCAGAAGAGAATCCAAGTCTTAAAACTCTATGTGGGATACATTTCTGATGAAGCTTCTATTTGACTAATATACTGTGATGATGGCACTATTCGATTTTAAACTATGGAGACAGCTTTTATTATTTCGATTTGGATCCTGGTAAGTGGTGATACTGCTATGTAACAGTTAAAGCACAAATGTATTGCCATAGTTAAGGTTGAAGAGTTATGTCTATGTGTAACTAAATTCTTCTGGATTCAATTACAAATACGTTTTCCTTTACAAAGATGGCTTTGGAGGGGTGCAAATGCTACGTGTTTGGAAGAGCAGAGGAGGCCTGCAGCTCTCAGTCACCTGTCTCCATCTTCGGAGGTAAGTCTGCTCCCTGCTGGTAATGCCTGCATCTGCCCAAGGGCCTGTTCCTCCTCTCCCAAGGCCTTCACAGCTGGTGTTCACTGGTTGGCCCTCCAGCCGGCAACACCTCTCCTCCTCTCTGCCTAGAGGCAGCATCTCTCGGCTAGTTAAGTACATACTTGCTCCAAGACAACTAGACCCCCAAACAGAATTCTAATCATATGCTCCTCTAACAAGCCAACCAGAACCTTCCAAAAAGGTTTAGGCACTAAAGTCAGTAATCACTAGGAGTGGTCTAGTTGGGGAAGTGGCAAGAAATGTCTAGAAGGAGCCAGCGTAAGTGGGTAAACAGAGATCCCAAAGAAACACCAGAGAAGGCAGACACCTGAGCATTTTAAGCTGCTCTAATGAAATGGAAGGATGTCCCTTAATACACTTATAGACCTATCAGAGCTAATGCTTCCAAGATACCAACACGCCAAAGGCTAGAGTTTTACTAACCAAAATGTCTTATAGCAGTTTATTTGCACTTAAAAAAAGTCAGATTAGGGCAGTTGATATGCAAGGGGAAAATGAAGCATTGAGGCTGGACAACAGTCCATGATATCTAAGTTTCACCTTGGGAAAACAGAGACACTGCCTGAAAGCGCAGGGCACTTCTGGGCACCCACATTGTCTCCTGCTCCAGAGGATATGGAAGGGTGGGTGGAGGGAAACAAAGAGCCTGGGGGGAAAGGAGGAAAAGCGGTCTCTAGCCTTATGCAACGTACACCCTTTGGACTCAGAACTCTCAGTGGACTAACGTGGGTCACCTCTGTGTAGCTCTGCTCTGTGCTGGAGAGTCAAACCTGGAATTCCGGCAGCTCTCTGGAACTCAGCACAGCCCGCAAGGTTGAAAGGCCCAGGACAACACACCTGATCCCTTCCCCTCCCTATTCTAAAGGGAGAGAAACATGACTTTATGGGCCAACTGTGAAAGGGACAAGTGAGGCTGACCTGACAAAGTCAAACGCACTGGGAGAAGGGGAAGGAGGAACGGCTGAACTTTGGACAGCTGAGAGAAAAGCAGCATTGTTTCCATAGCAGAACACTCAGCATCACTGGTGGGGACTTTCTAAGGTCAGACCCTTTTGACTGGGAAAAGCAACACACAAGGCAATATGGTTTTTCCCTTTCAAACACTGTGGCTTACTTGTTTACTCAACTAAGAAAGAAAAAGCAACCTTATTATAGAGATTAGCAAGAGATGAAGAAAATTATAGGGAGGCTGCCCTGGCCCAAAGGTCTGCTAATGGCTTCTGCAGGGAGGATGAGGATGGTGCTAGGTTAACTGCTTGTCTCCACTACAGACCAGAGAACGTCCATGCGATGCCTCTTATCAGTGAGGTAGATAATCATCCTCTTGCCAGAGGTATCGAGTGCCAGCCCACAGCACAGCAGAACAGGAGAACGAGCTGCCGGGCTGCAGGCACGAGCTGCCCCTCAGGGCTGCATCCGACACACGGCAACCCCACCAGAACTAATAGGCTGCTCCAAGAAAATGGAACCCAAGGGAGAGGGACTCGTGCCCTGAGACCTGCACCACCCCGGCTTGCCCTGCCTTGAGATGCAGAATTTGAAAGCAGCTGTCACCATCACTCATGTCCACAGTGGAGCTTGCTTCTGTCCTGTCAGACATACCTCCTGCCACCACGAGAAGCTGAGTGAGGGGTGGGAAGGGAAGAAGAGCCCAGAGTGAATATTAGGAGGAGGAGGTGGAAGGGCAAGGAAGGCTGCAGAGCAAAAAAGTTTAAAGTAGGTCAAGTTCAAAATTATATCAAGGAGATAAGAGATGGGAGGCAAAGGCTCCAGAAGAGGAACAGAGGCGGAAGGAAGAGAAGCTCCAAGGTGACGCCCACTCTAGGACAAGATGATGGGGAGGAGGTGAGGCTGCCCTGGTGGCATCACTTCCCATGTAAGTCACTCAGCTCCATGTCATCCTTTCGGCGCTTCTGGGTGAAGAGGGAGGCGACAGGGTAGAGCTTGGCCTTGGCCTGGAAGCGGTATCCCGCGATGTCAATCTCATACTCTCCCCGGTTGATGAAATCTGCTGTCACCACTTGCTCTTCCCCCGTGTCCTCAGAAAAATTGTGCACAAAGCCCAGGCAAACGTGGCGCTCCAGGCTGTAGCTGTAGGCACTGCTGGTGGTCTTGCCAACATACTGCCCATTCCGGTAAATGGGCTCTCCCCACCAAGGCCAAAGGTCTAGGTCTGAATCATGGTCGTCCAGGATGAACATGGTGAGGCGTTTATACACTCCATTCTGCTTCTGCTGCAGGAGGGCGTCGCGACCAATGAAATCCATGCCCTAAGAAAGAAAGGAAACGCCGAGTCATCCAGCGACACTCAGACCCTCGGCACAGAGAGCAGCACCGTGGGAAGGGTCCCCTGGTGTCACTGCAATGGGGCACAGCCGCCTCCTCCCACAACCCTGCCAGCTTTTGGGAAACTGTGCGATTTCTACCATGTGAAAAACTGCATGTGAAATATAAAAGACGCCGCGGTAATTTTTGTAACAACAGAGGTACGCATTTTGTTTCCTATTTTATAAACATAAAGTCACAAGACCAGATAGAACAAAAACGTTTAGGAAGAAAACTCACTCACTTAATAAAATACCTTATCAGTCCAGTACTTTAGAAAAATGTTTTTATATTGGCCAGTCGTGGTGGCTCACGCCTTGAACAGAGATGAGGCAAACCTCATCTCTACTAAAAATACAAAAATAAGCTGGGTGTGGTGGAGTGTGCCTATAGTTCTAGCTACTTGGGAGGCTGAGACAGGAAAATCACTTGAACCTGGGAGGCAGAGGCTGCAGTGAGCCAAGATTCTGGTGGAGTGTGCCTATAATTCTAGGGAGACTGAGACAGGAAAATCGTTTGAACCTGGGTGGCAGAGGCTGCAGTGAGCCAAGATTGCACCACTGCAGTCCAGCCTCGGTTGACACAGCAAAACTCTGTCTCAAAAAAAAAAAAAAAAAGACTTTTTTATATAATCCCAACAAGACCATGCACATCTATATTCAATGCATACACACATATATACACATATGTACAACAAATAAGACTAGAATAAACTATTAACGGTGATTATGGCCAGGCACGGTGGCTCACGCCTGTAATCCCAGCACTTTGGGAGGCTAAGGCGGGGGGATCTCCTGAGGTCAGGAGTTCGAGACCAGCCTGACCAACCTGGAGAAACCCCATCTCTACTAAAAAAAGAAAAAATACAAAAATGCCTTCTCATGCTCAAGTGATTCTCCCACTTCAGCCTCCCAAGTA
Source organism: Homo sapiens (assembly GCF_000001405.40). Classification (NCBI taxonomy): domain Eukaryota; kingdom Metazoa; phylum Chordata; class Mammalia; order Primates; family Hominidae; genus Homo; species Homo sapiens. The sequence continues at coordinate 70,155,501 of NC_000016.10, read as the reverse complement.
GCTGGGCCCACAGATGCGCCACCACACCCACCTAATTTTTTGTATTTTGGTAAAGACAAAAAATACAAAATTAGCTGGATGGCTTACAGCTACTCGGGAGACTGAGGCAGGAGAATCGCTTGAAGCCAGGAGGCAGAGATTGCAGTGAGCTGAGATCGCGCCACTGCACTCCAGCCTGGACAACAAGAACGAAACTCCGTCTCAAGAAAGAAAAAAAAAATAGTTACTACCATTAAATAGACAAAATATGGGTGATTTTAATTTCCTTCTTTATATTTTCCAAAATGGGTTATTACCTTTTTTTTTTTTGGAGATGGAGCCTTGCTCTGTCACCCAGGTGGGAGTACAATGGTATGATCTCGGCTCACTGCAACCTCTGCCTCCCAGGTTCAGGCAATTCTCCTGCCTCAGCCTACCGAGTAGCTGGGATTACAGGTGCCTGCCACCATGCCCAGCTAATTTTTATATTTTTAGCAGATACGGGGTTTCACCATGTTGGCCGGGCTGGTCTCGAACTTGTGAACTCAGGTGATCCGCCCAAAACAAAAAAACCAAAAAAATTAGGCCGGGTGTGCTGTCTCACGCCTGTAATCCCAGCACTCTGGGAGGCCGAGGAGGGCGGATCACCTGAGCTCAGGAGTTCGAGACCACCCTGGCCAATGTGGTGAAACTCTGTCTTTACCAAAATACAAAAAAATTAGCTGGGCATGGTTGTGCATCTGTGGTCCCAGCCACTTGGGAGGCTGAAGTGGGAGGATCACTTGAGCATGAGAGGGCATTGCAGTGAGCCAACATCGCGCCACTGCACTCCAACCTGGGTGACAGAATGAGACCCCACCTCAAAATCAAAAACAAAAGAAAAAAACCACAAAAATTAGGCAGCTGACTATAGGACGACTAGTTTGTACAAATATTCGTGGCATGTTAATGCATCACCATAATTAACTCAGAATAGCTTCCCAGAAAGCACTCAGTCTTTTAGACAGCAGAACACTAGAAATAAGTGGGTTTTTTTGTTTGTTTTTCAATTGTAATTCAGAGACAAGGTCTTGCTGTATTGCCCAGGCTGAGCTCAAGTGATCCTCCTGCCTTGGCCTCCCAAAGTGCTAGGATTACAGTTGTGAGCCACCGCACCTGACCAAGTGTCATCTATTTACTATGTTTTCTTTTTTCTGAGACGGAGTCTTGCCCTGTCACACAGGCTGGAGTGCAGTGGTGCGATTTTGGCTCACTGCAACCTCTGCCTGTTAGGTTCAAGTGATTCTCCTGCCTCAGCCTCCCGAGTAGCTGGAACTACAGGTGCTGGCCACCACGCCCAGCTACTTTTTGTAAATTTTTTTTTTTTTGAGACGGAGTCTCGCTCTGTCGCCCAGGCTGGAGTGCAGTGGCGTGATCTCGGCTCACTGCAACCTCTGCCTCCTGGGTTCACGCCATTCTCCTGACTATAGGCGCCCGCAACCACACCCGGCTAATTTTTTGTATTTTTAGTAGAGACGGGGTTTCACTGTGTTAGCTAGGATGATCTCGATCTCCTGAACTTGTGATCCGCCCGCCTTGGCCTCCCAAAGTGTTGGGATTACAGGTGTGAGCCACCGTGCCCGGCCTACTTTTTGTATTTTTAGTAGAGACGGGTTTTGCCATGTTGGCCAGGCTGGTCTCGAACTCCTGACCTCAGGTGATCCACCCGCCTCAGCCTCCCAAAGTGCTGGGATTCAGGCGTGAGCCACCATTATTATGTTTTCATTTGAAGATATTTTATCCTATAAAGTTTTCATTCTCAGGGCACTCTTGTCCTCATTTACCTGATGCTAACATCAAGGCCTCAATCTTTTCCCCCTTTTCCTGTCACATCAGTTCTTCTTCCTAGTCTAGTGCAGATTCACTACTCGGGATGCTGAGTGAAAGTGGAGTCTGGGTAAACACAGTACCTTCTCTAATTTCACCCGAGACTCTCGTCCACATTCCAGGGGCGTGGTGAGGTTATTTATATCCTGACCCCAGAAGGCAAAAAACTTCTCAATTCGGAGACTGCGAAGAGCGTAATACCCAGCATTCCGGATTCCGTATTTCTGGCCAACACTCATCACTTCATTGTATACATGCAGGGCGTACTATAGGAAGAGACAGAAAGTTCATAAGCAGCAGACCTTCAGAATTAAGCATGGAGCATGTCTGGAAGCGCTGATGGCTCACACTATTAACATGGACAAGAGAGGAGGCGTATAAAACTCCCAGGATGTCTCATCCTTGACACGCTCAGGGCACAGCCCAGGAGTGATGAGCTGGGGTCACCCCAGCCTGGACTTAAGCTCCATGACAACAGGATCCATGTCTTTTCACCTCTCTAAAATGTCTTGTGTGGTGATTCTAGCTTACAGCAATTCTTAAATAATAATTTATAGAAGCTCTCTCACCATTTGGTAAATGGCCAATCTCATCATCATTTCTAAAACAGCCCACCAACCCTCCATGGTCTTCATCTGATTCTGGCTTTGTTCTTTTGCTCCAATTTCCCAACCACTGTTACTCCCTCACGTACTGGCCCAAGCTGTGAGGCCCAGCTCTCACACGTTACTCGAGACGTGTGCACACATCGGATGACGGCGGGGGAGCCAGGAAGGCAGGGCTCGCCTGCTCATGTCCCACAGCATTCAGGCTCTCAAGCTGCTCTTTTCTTGGTTTCAGAAACATGTACGTTATCAGATCAGTGAACAGAAGGTTTTCCAAACTGAAAGCAAATATTCAATCCCTGTCTGAACATACGCTGTTAAGTTTAAAGTCCAACAAAAATGAGACTACACTGTTTGCTTTTAAAACTGTAAAATGAAATCCAAAGCAAGACGTAGCAAAGAACCAGCTTCAGTGGTACTGCAGTTCTTTATCCTAGCACAGTATGTTTCTATGAACTGCACCACTGTAGCTGAACAGGCATCTACCAAACAGACCACTATGATCAAGACAACTTTATTTACTTATTTATTTTTGAGACAGAGTTTTGCTCTTTTGCCCAGGCTAGAGTGAAGTGGCGCGATCTCGGCTCACTGCCATCTCCACTCCCGGGTTCAAGTGAATCTCCTGCCTCAGCCTCCCGAGTAGCTGGTACTATAGGTGGCTGCCGCCACACCCAGCTAATTTTTGTATTTTTAGTAGAGACGAGGTTTCGCCATGTTGACCAGGCTGCTCTCGAACTCCTGACCTCAGATGATTCACTCACCTTGGCCTCCCAAATTGCTGGGATTACAGACATGAGCCACCGTGCCGGGAAGACAACTTTAAATGTGGAAAAAAGGAATCCAAGCTATTGCATGCAACACTCGCCTGTGGTATGTGTGTAAGGGAAACACCTGAATCAGCCAAGGTGGGTGCAGGAGACCCACAGAATGCGGCAGGACGAGGAGAATACACAGCTGGCATCTCCAGGGAATGTGGTACTCTCCCACCTCAAGCTCAATGCCCGGTCCTTTAGGTAAGAGGATGACCAAGGAAGAACGATGTAACCAGGTGACTAGTGTTGGGCCAGATCCAACTACGTGACTAATGCTGGGAAAATCAAAGAGAAGAGTGGGTCCCCACCATTTACTCAAAGAGTAGTTCCCCACCATTTACTCGTTTTTCTCACAAAATACCAGAGATTTAGTGTGAACAAAACGAGAATCTGCCATCTGCCCCCATGTTTTGGAAGACCTCTTCTCAGAGAGACAAACATAAGCTTCCTGGACAAAAGCCAGCTTATAAAGAACCCAAGCGTGGCACAAATAATCTCTTAGACTCTTGAAAAATCATAAGAATGGGAACAGCCCAGGGAAATCAGAAAGCTGAAACCAAGGCCTCCAAGCAAGGATGAAGCTGCTAGAGCCACAGAGCCTCCCCTTCCTGATGAGGTTTGACCACAAGCACCCAGGTGACAACACCTGAACCACTGGGTGGCACTTCAGAATCAACCTGCCTGCACAGGCCAACCATGGCAGCTGCATCTGTTTAAATTCTTCCCAAGTCTTGAACAATCTCTTCATCTTCATATTGTTGTAATACTTCTGAGTGTGGAAAAGCAGATGAAATTTCATGCGCTGATATTATCTGTGCTTTAATCATTTAAAAAGGGTTGGGCACAGTGGCTCAAATAGTTAAAACAGGGCCAGACACAGTGGCTCACGCCGGTAATCCCAACACTTTGGGAGGCTGAGATGAGAGGATCATTTGAGGCTGGAGTTAGAGTCCAGCCTGGGCAACATATTGAGACTCTCAAAGCTACAAAAAATAAAAAAATAGGCCGGGTGCGGTGGCTCATGCCTGTAATCCCAGCACTTTGGGAGGCTGAGGCAGGCGGCTCACGAGGTCAGGCGATTGAGACCATCCTGGCCAACACGGTGAAACCCTGTCTCTATGAAAAATACAAAAAATTAGCCGAGTGTGGTGGCGTGTGCCTGTAGTCCCAGCTACTCAGGAGGCTGAGGCAGGAGAATCGCTTGAACCCAGGAGGTGGGGCTTGCAGTGAGCCGAGATCATGCCACTACACTCCAGCCTGGGCGACAGTGGGAGGCTCCGTCTAAAAACAAAAAAATAAAAGATAGCTGGGCATCTGTGGTCCTATCTACTCAGGAAGCTGAAGTGGGATGACTGCTTAAGCCCAGAAGTTCAAGGCTACAGTGAGCTATGATCATCCCACTGCACTAAAAAATAGTAATAAATAAGGTCGGGGTAGTGGCTCACACATGTAATCCCAATACTTTGGGAGGCTGACGTGAGAGGATCACTAGAGTCCAGGAGTCTGAGACCAGCCTAGGCAACATAGCAAGACCCTGCCTCTACAAAAATAAAATTAAAAAATTAGCTGGGGATGTTGGCACATGCTTGTAGTCCCAGCTATTCAGGAGGCTGAGGCAGGGGGATCACTTCAGCCTCGGAGGTCAAGCTGCAGTAAGCCAGCCTGGGTGACAGAGCAATGCCCTGTCTCACAAAAAAAAAAAAAATTAAGAGAAAACCTATCACTACAAGTAGTATGACTAACATCAAGAAGAAAACAAGCATGCCTACAATCATTGATTGCTACCTGTCACAATAGAACAAAGGAAGGAAATTATAGGAAGAAAGACTATGGGCCCGGGTGCGGTGGCTCACGCCTGTAATTCCAGCACTTTGGGAGGCCGAGGTGGGTGGATCACCTAAGGTCAGGAGTTCGAGACCAAGCTGGCCAACATGGTGAAATCCTGTCTCTACTAAAAATACAAAAATTAGTCGGGTGTGGTGGCAGGCGCCTGTAATCCCAGCTACTCGGGAGGCTGAGGCAGGAGAATCACTTGAACCCGGGAGGCAGAGGTTGCGGTGAGCCTAGATCATGTCATCGCACTCCAGCCTGGGGGACAAGTGTGAGACTTCATCTCAAAAAAAAAAAAGAAAAAAAAAAAAAAAAGCCGGCCGGGTGCGGTGGCTCACGCTTCTAATCCCAGCACTTTGGGAGGCCAAGGCTGGCAGATCACGAGGTAGGAGATCGAGACCATTCTGGTTAACCCGGTGAAACCCCGTCTCTATGAAAAATACAAAAAATTAGCCGGGCGTGGTGGCAGGCGCCTGTAGTCCCAGCTACTCAGGAGGCTGAGGCAGGAGAATGGCGTGAACCCGGGAGGCGGAGCTTGCAGTGAGCCGAGATTGCGCCACTGCACTCCAGCCTGGGCGACAGAGTGAGACTCCGTCTCAAAAAAAAGGTTCTGGAGAAGGAAGAAACTATTACTATTTGCATATGATTAGACTGAACTCAGCCTGCAGACCTTTTTATAACAGCAAAAGACTAGAAATAACATAAATGTCTATTAGTATCGGAATGATGTACCACAATGGAATGCTACGCCACTGTTAAAAAATAAAGAAAAAAAGAACAAGGAAGCTCTTTTGCTTTAGGTACCAACAAAGAAAGAGCTCTAAGAGAAATTGTGAAGTGAGGCCGGGCATGGTAGCTCATGCCTGTAATCCCAGCACTTTGGGAGGCTGAGGTGTGTGGACCACTTGAGGTCAGGAGTTGGAAACAAGCCTGGGCAACATGGTGAAGCCCCGTCTGTACTAAAAATACAAAAATTAGCCAGGCGTGGTGGCGTGCACCTGTAATCCCAGCTACTCGGGAGGCTGAAGCAGGACAATCACTTGAACCTGGGAGGCGAAGGTTGCAGTGAACTGAGATTATGCCACTACATTCCACCCTAGGTGACAGAGTGAGACTCTGCCTCAATTAAAAAAAAAATTGTGAAGTGAAAAAAAAAAAAACAGGATGAAGAATAGCAGTATGCTTCCATTTCTGTTTTTAAAAAGGGGGCTTGGCTGGGTATGGTGGCTCACACCTATAATCCCAGCACTTTGGGAGGACAAGGTGGGTGTATCACCTGAGGTCAGGAGTTTGAGACCAGCTTGAGCGACATGGCAAAACCTGTCTCTACAAAAAAATACAAAAATTAGCCAGGCATGGTGGCACATGCCTACAGTCCCAGCTACTCGGGAGGCGGAGGTGGGAGGGTGGCTTGAGCCCAAGAGGTCGAGGCTGCAGTGAGCCACGGTCATGCCATTGCACTCCACCCTGGGCAAAAGAGTGAGACCCTGTCTCAAAAAAAAAAAAAAATTAATTATGAATTTGCTTGCAATATGCATACAAATCTGAAATGACATATAAAAGTAATACTAATATTATTGGTGACAGTTGGTGAGAACAGATCAGACGGCGCCAAATACTTTTTAAATGTATCACCTATTCAAAAAAACTTATATAACTTAGTTAAAAATGGTCAAATCTCTTCAATGCAGCCTACCTCAGCTCCCAAGGCCCAATCAGATACAGCTCTCCAAACCTGCCAGTGCTGGTGAACGCGCTGCTGGGAGCACTGGCACCCCACAGTGGTTGTGGGAAGGGAAGGGAAGGGAAGGGAAGGGAAGTGAAGGGAAGGGAAGGGAAGGGTGCCCTCTCACCTCTATGGGGATGTAGAGCATGAATCCTGGCTCTCCTGTGTGCGTCATGCTCATCACCCGGATCCCATTTGCATAGCCCACACTCATCTCCTGCAGGGACAAAGGCAGCAGTCAGCCTGGGCACTCACATTACTTGTCAAGGGAGGGACGCCTGGGGAAACCTTTCATTAGTGCTGCACCCTCTGTTTACTGTTGAGGGAGACAGACGTCAAGGCAAGAATTTCATCCCGAAAGTGGTTAACTTCCAGGTCCTGAGGCACAGAGAATGGAGCACTGCCTATGTGACATCTCTGCTTGCTACTGTTACCATCTCAGGAGTTTTAGCCAAGCTGATGGTAGAGAGTGGAGGAAAGTCCTTGACAAGCACAAAATATTCCTCTTTGCCAGGTCCTTGTGTTAGTCGAGGGTAGCAGGCACAATGAGGACAAGGCGAGTGTCTTCTCTGGGGGAATCAGCAGACAAACCCTGGCCGCCTGCCATACAAAAGATGATGCCCGATGCCCACAGACATAATTAATCTGCTATCCTGGGGTCAAAGATGGGCTTCTGATTCTCAGAACACGTTACATAGCAGCTCAGTTCCCTAACAGCGGCCACTGACGCAATCACCGTTCCTATAAAGGAAAGTGGAAAGTCCTGGACAGCACCGAAGTGAACCGCTTCCACAGGAGGCTGACAGGATGCAGCACTCGCCAGGTGTTGAGCGTATGGGTCACTCCTCCAAGCAGCAGAGCAAACGCTGGGAGGGGTCCACTGATAGCTAACAGTGGAGAGTTTTCTGTTGCTTTCACTTTGCCTCGGAGAAGAAGGAAAACTGTGAAACAATTTGTAGGTGGATCCCACTTTGGGTGAACTTCAAAGAGTCTCCATCAGTAACCACCTGGAAGTTGCTCGTTACAGGTGGCCAAGATGTCTGTCCGTTTGGCCCTCTCTAATCAGCAGCTTCCTGGGGAGGATTCCGTTGTCATTGCTTTCATTCGGTTACAGTTTGTTTCACTCAGCTGTGGTTGCCACTTATAGGAAAGAAAATTATGTAGGAAGTTCAGAGATTCACCTACGCCATTTCTTCCCTGAAGATGCCACAGACACAGAAGTTACTCTGTGTACAGAAAAGAGGCCACACTGCATGGAGAGAAGGGACCTAACTTCGAAAGGCATTTTTGTGTGTGTCATAATCCTGTAACTTCAAATTTTAATCCAGTGCTACAGAAACCAAAAAGCATAAAGACTTTACATTTAGAGAAGCTAAATCCACTTCAAAGATATCCTAATGCTTATTAAATAAAGCAAGCTTGGAGTGTAAAAAATAAACAAATAAGGCCGGGCGCAGTGGCTCACACCTGTAATCCCAGCACTTTGGGAGGCTGAGGTGGGTGGTTCACCTGAGGTCAGGAGTTCAAGACCAGCCTGGCAAACATGGTGAAACCCTGTCTCTACTAAAAATACAAAAAGTTAGCTGGGCATGGTGGCGGGCGCTTGTAATCCCAGCTACTCGGGAGGCTGAAACAGGAGAATCGCCTGAACCCGGGAAGTGGAGGTTGCAGTGAGCCGAGATCGCACCATTGCACGCCAGCCTGTGCAACAAGAGTGAAACTCTGTCTCAAAATAAATAAATAAATAAATAAATAAATAAATATACTTAGTCACTTCTTTGCTAATGAAGGGCAGCACATTTTTTTTTTTTTTTTTGAGACAGTCTTGCTCTGTTGCCAGCCTGGAGTGCAATGGCGCAATCTCGGCTCACTGCAACATCTGCCTCCCAGGTTCAAGTCATTCTCCTGCCTCAGCCTCCCGAGTAGCTGGGACCACAGGCATGCGCCACCACACCCGGCTAATTTTTGTATTTTTATATTTATTTATAAATATAAGATGTAATCCCAAAGTGCTGGGATTATAGGCGTGAGCCACTGCACCTGGCCAGCACACTCTTTTATTTGAGACAGAGTCTCACTCTGTCACCCAGGTGGAGTGCAGTGGCGTGTTCTCGGCTCACTGCGACCTCTGCCTCCAGAGTTCAAGCGATTCCTGTGCCTCAGCCTCCCAAGTAGCTGGGATTATAGGTGCGTGAGACCATACCCAGCTAATTTTTGTATTTTTAACAGAGACAGGGTCTCACCATGTTGGCCAGGCTGGTCTCAAACTCCTGACTTTGGGTGATCCACCTGCCTCGGCCTCCCAAAGTGCTAGGATTACAGGCATGTGCCACCTCACCCAGCCAAGACACTCTTTGTGGGTGCTAACACCATAGTAAGAATATGTACCTGCCACCGCTATGAAAGACACATTCTCTGCCCATTTAAGAAACAGAACTTTATCAGCACTTACCTTGCAAAAGAGGCTTGGGAAGTGGTCTGGAGTCATAGGGGCATAGGACAACTCAGACAGCACATCCACAGCTCGAGGGCCAATCAGATTGAGGGCTAAATGGAAAAGAACAAGAGATGTCCAGCTCTCCTTCTGAACAGCTGAGCCAATGGGAAAGGTCTACTGTAGACTTGCTCAGCTATAGCCAGGCCTGGGTGCAGAGACCAGGAATATGTCCCTTTGCTTAGACACTCCAAGGATGGATGCTAAGCACCCCGATTCTGGCGAATACACCTCTGCCAACAGGGCCTGCTGAACGCAGCAGGGCTGGCCATAACCACCCCACACAATTCCCGTTCTCCTCCTTTTCCCAGCAAGGCTATGTGATGGAAGAAGCCCCAACCCCAAATCAGTACCCGGTGGAGATCTGCCCAACCAAAAAGTATACAGACTTTAAATTCAGAGAAGCTAAATCCACTTCAAACATATCCTAATGCTTACTAGATAAGGAAAGCATTATTCTGGACACCAGTGTTTGTGACATCAGCTTGTGCTAATTACATGTCATCCATCCTAAGACAGGCTAGAACATGACTTTTGTTCAGTAACATTCTGTAGTATCCCAATCCAGGAGCAGGACGTATATCATATTTGCTACTACAAGGAATTGAGAATGAGAGCCTGGGAGAGCAAACGCTGGTGGGGCCAAGGGGCAAGATCAGTTAGGTGGGAAGGTGGGAGGGGTTAAGCCGAGACTGCTGAGAGTGAGAAAATCAGGGAACCAAGTCATCCTTAAAAATTAGGTACTCTCTGGGACTGGGCGTGGTGGCTCATGCCTGTAATCCCAGCACTTTGGGAGGCCGAAGCAGGTGGATCACGAGGTCAAGAGTTCAAGACCAGCCTGGCCAACATGGTGAAACCCCATCTCTACTAAAAATACAGAAATTAGCCCGGCGTGGTGGCGGGCGCCTATAATCCCAGCTACTTGGGAGGCTGAGGCAGAAGAATCGCTTGAACCCGGGAGGTGGAGGTGCAATGGCATGATCTTGGCTCACTGCAACCTCTGCCTCCCAGATTCAAGCGATTCTCCTGCTTCAGCCTCATGAGTAGCTGGGACTACAGGCATGCACCACCATGTCCAGCTAATTTTTGTATTTTTAGTAGAGATGGGGTTTCACCATGTTGGCCAGGCTGGTCTCAAATTCCTGACCTCATGATCCGCCCGCCTCAGCCTCCCAAAGTGCTGGGATTACAGGTGTAAGCCACTGTGTCCAGCCCTCAATTTTCTTTTTTTTTTTGAGATGGAGTCTCACTCGCCTAGGCTGGAGTGCAGTGGTGCAATCTGGGGCTCACTGCAACCTCTGCCTCCTGGGTTCAAGTGATTCTCCTGCCTCAGCCTCCCAAGTAGCTGGGATTACAGGTGTGTGCCACCACGCCCAGCTAATTTTTGTATTTCTAGTAGAGACGGGGTTTCACCATATAGTCCAGGTTGGTCTCGAACTCCTGACCTAGTGATCCTCCAACCTCGGCCTCCAAAAGTGCTGGGATTACAGGTGTCAGCCACCGCATCCCCTAGAGATCAATTTTCTATGACCAGAGAGCCTCTTTTATGCTAACTCTAATGTTCATTTTTGAGAGTCAAATGTAAAGAAGGCAAACGTGGACACATCTGCATCTGCTGGCCTTTTCGACGTGGCAGAGCCCGAACCCCCGTACCTGTGTACTTCCAGGTGACGTCCTCCAGGAGCAGGTTGCTGTCTTTCGGCATGTGTTTCTTAAGCCAGGCCCAACAGTGGACCTGCTGGTCGGTTGGAGAGATCATGAAGAAACTGAAAAGTGAGACCCCAAAATAATCAAAACCAGGTAGCAGCAAAAGGATCAGGAAGCAATCAAATCTTATTTGGTTTCAAAGCAATGAGGCAAATACTAGGAAATGATTTCTTAGCTTTCACAGAAGGCCAGTAGCACCATTCTAGGATACACCACCTAACAACAAAACAAAATTCTGGCTTCCTGTTAATGCCAAGAAATTATACAGATTTACTAACGTTAAGACATCGGCTGGGCACAGTGGCTCACACCTGTAATCCCAGCACTTTGGAGGCCAAGGTGGGCAGATTGCTTGAGCTCAGGTGTTCAAGATCAGCCTGGGCAATGTGGCAAAACCCTATCTCTACAAAATATACAAAAACTGGCTGGGTGTGGTGGCGTGTACCTGTGGTCCCAGCTACCTGGAAAGCTGAGGTGGGAGGATCACTTGAGCCCAGGAGGTCCAGGCTGCAGGGATCCATGATCGCATCACTGCACTCCAGCCTGGGTAACAAAGTGAGACCCTGTCTCAAAAAAAAAAAAAAGAAAAAAGACAAGGCATCTTCTCCCAGTAGGGTACATAATCTGGTGGGCTTTTTTTTCTTTTCCTCCTGGTGATTTCTTTTGTTTAGGACTGCTAATAAACTGGCTTTGATTTCATGTAATGATTCTTAGACTCTGGGATTTATGGTTCCCGGAGAAGCGCCTGAGAGCCTCTGCTACAGCACCCCTAAGGAATCAACATGTTGGAGGGAGCAGAGCGGGACGGCAGCTCATCTCACCTGCGCTTGTTCAGTCGTGCTATGCTGCAGTCATTTTCATACCCTCCACCCTCGTTGAGCATGCCAGTATGCACAATGTGGCCCACAGGCACATCCAGGTCATTGGAGAAGAGGTACTGTAGAACTTCTAATGCCTGATCCCCAGTGGACTGCAGGGTTAGGGAATGAAACAGAGAGAGTGAGCGTGAGAGCACCTGGCTGGGCCACATGGCCCCACCAGCAATGAACCTCATTGAGAAAATTCAATCAGCCAATTCCCATGTGACAACATTTGCAGACCTACTCCACTGCAAGAAGCTCCAGGGAACGCTAGCTATTGATTCTTATGATAAACAGGCCTCTCTAGCAAATTAAAAACCTGAAACAAGGAGCTAAAATTTCAGAAAAATGTTACAATACAGATGAAACACTAAAATATACCAGAATTCTTAAGAAATCAGTGTTTTGTTTTTGTTTTTTGTTTTTTTTTTTGAGATGGAGTCTCACTCTGTTGCCCAGGCTGAGTGCAGTGGCGCAATCTCAGCTCACTGCAACCTCCACCTCATGAGTTCACGCGATTCTCCTGCCTCCCGAGTAGCTGGGATTACAAGTGCCCGCCACCATGCCTGGTTAATTTTTTGTATTTTTGGTAGAGACGGTTTCGCCATGTTGGCCAGGCTGGTCTTGAACTCCTGATCTCAGGTGATCCACCCGTCTCGGCCTCCCAAACTGCTGGGATTACAGGCATGAGCCACCACTCCTGGCCTTAATTTTTGTATTTTTAGTAGAAACGGGGTTTCACCATCTTGGCCAGGCTGGTCTGGAACTCTGACCTCAGGTGATCCACGCCCCCTTGGCCTCCCAAAGTGCTGGGAATACAGGCATGACCCACTGCACCCAGTCAGGAATCAGTTTTGAAGATGAAAAACAAAAGGCATTCAATAAATATGTAAAGTTTCCTAATCTATTACTTTTTGGTTCCCAAATACTTACTGTTATCTCAAACTTTGTGAAAGAGGACATGTCAATGACACACACAGCTTCCTTACAGCACTTGACTTCAGACTCCACGATGTCAAACCAATCTGGCTTATAGAAAGTCTTGCTCTGCTCCAATGCCAGGAGGTCTACGGAATGGAAAAATCACAAGGCCCTGTAGAGTTTAGTGTAGTCCACGTGGTTCTTTTTCTTCTGTGAACACATTCTAGCCTATGCATTTGAAAATATGTTTTATTAATTCCCAGGACAAAAAAAAAAAAAAGAAGCAAAAATGAGAATGTGACTTCTTACCCTTGTCGGGGGGAACAAAGTACTTTGGCCTCTCAAATCCATGTTTCTCCATCCACCTGGCTCCCTGTGCATCCAGCCGGTCGTAGAGAGGAGAGGTGCGTAACTGCCTACCGGTCTGGAAGTCCCAGCGGGGAACCTTCAGATCATACATCAAAGCTAGAAAAGACACGAGTAGTCTATCAAAGCCCAAGACACAGATTCTAGACCTGAGTAGCCCATGTCCACTAGACTCTGGAGTTGTTTCTATTCAAAAGAGCTTTCCAGGCTAACGTAGTTTTTTTTTTTTTTTAAGACGGAGTTTTGCTCTTGTTGTCCAGGCTGGAGTGCAGTGGCACAATCTCGGCTTACTGCAACCTCTGCCTCCTGGGTTTAAGCGATTCTCCTGCCTCAGCCTCCCGAGTAGCTGGGATTACAGGCACGTGTCACCGTGCCACACTAATTTTTGTATTTTTAGTAGAGACAGGGTTTCTCCATGTTGGTCAGGCTGGTCTCAAACTCCTGACCTCAGGTGATCTGCCCGCCCCAGCCTCCCGAAGTGCTGGGATTACAGGCGTGAGCCACTCTGCCCGGCCCAATTTCCAGGCTAATGTAGTCTAATTTTCAAAATTACCCAGTGTATCAGGCATGCTCCAGAAGGAAAAGACAATCCTGCCAAGCTGCTATCGTCCCTCCCTGGAGCTACGTGTCACGGCATGACTCGGCCTGTATTCACATTCAGCATTCCACATTAGTAGGTAGAAATGATGGCAGAAAGGTCAGGGTCCTAAACCTTACCAAGCTTCATAGCAGAGAAGAAGGTTACTAAGTGGGACACAGGTGGTAACAAAATGTGAAAAAATGGCATTCGATTCTTCATTGTGCCTGTGTTAGGATCTCAGACCTGTTACAGACATTTCCTCCCTGATAATTAACTCACTTCTGAAGTGAAAGGGTACATATTGCAGCTTGATTAGGTGGCTCTGAAATCTGAGAAGTTATATTGTATTGTACCAATGACATTATTCACACAACAAAGCTAGGGTCAGAATTCATTTCTCTTAGGCCGGGTGTGGTGGCTCACGTCTGTAAACCCAGCACTGAGAGGTCGAGGTGGGCGGATCACGAGGTCAGGAGTTCAAGATCAGCCTGACCAATGTGGTGAAACCCTGTCTCTACTAAAAATACATAAATTAGCCAGGCATGGTGGCAGGCGCCTGTAATCCCAGCTACTCGGGAGGCTGAGGCAGGAGAATTGTTTGAACCCAGGAGGCAGAGGTTGCAGTGAGCCGAAATCACGCCACGGCACTCCAGCCTGGGCAATAGAGCAAGACTGTCTCGGAAAAAAAAAAAATTCATTTCCCTTAAGGTCTAATCTTCAACAGCAATAAGTAAAAAAAGCCAGAAGAGTGTGATCTGTGGTCCCTGATCTCACACCATCCCAAACAAAAGGCACATCAAGGCTTGGGGAGGTTGGGAGACAGGAGAAGGAAGCCAGGTGGGGTTCTCTGCATGGTGACAATCTCTCCATCTCCTAGTACTTTCGGTTCTATCATCCCCTCCCCCATTTTCTTTTCTATTTTTTTTTTATTTTTTGTTGAGATGGAATCCCTCTCTATCACCCAGGCTAGAGTGCAGTGGTGAGATCTTGGCTCACTGCAACCTCCATCTCCCGGGTTCAAGTGATTGTCCTGCCTCAGCCTGCCAAGTAGCTGGGATCACAGGCACGTACCACCACATCTGGCTAAATTTTTGTATTTTTAGTAGAGACAGGGTTTCGCCATGTTGGTCAGGCCAGACCTCCTGACCTCAAGTGATCCGCCTGCCTCAGCCTCCCAACATGCTGGGATTACAGGCTTGAGCCACTGCGCCTGGCGCCTTCCCCATTTTCTATGTGCCTGCCACTTCTATTTCATGAGAATTGGCTACCAAAAGTGTCATATCACCAAGCAGAAGCTCAAGCTCAATTATGATTTGTACAGGTTCCAAAGTAACTATGGGTAGGGAAATTTAGGCTTATAATAGTTCAACTTTAAAACAAAAAACTTTGATTTTGTATTTTATTTTTTTGAGACAGGGTCTCAGTCCCACTGCCCAGGCTGGAGTACACAGTGGCACCATCATGGCTCACTGCAGCCTCAACTTCCCCAGCTCAGGTGATTCGCCTACCTCAGCCTCCCAAGTAGCTGGGACTTCAGGTGTGTGCCACTAGGCATGGCTAATTTTTTGGTTTTGGTTTTAGTAGAGACAGGGTTTCGCTACGTTGCCTAGGCTGGTCTCAAACTCCTGACCTCAAGTGACCTACCTCCCTCAACGTCCCAAAGTGCTGGGATTACAGGCATGAGCCACCACACCCAGCCAAGTTCAACATTTTAACCAAAATATTTGCTAAAATTAAAGAACCTTAGCAGTTAAACATATTGCTGTTAGGTCCTTCATCTCCATGGATGTACATCCTCTTCCCAGGCCAAAAGTGAGCACTCAGGCATTAAAGGCCATCCAGAGTCCTCACCAACAATGTTGTTCAACTACCAAACTAACAGTTTACTTGCAACCAAGAATGGTGGTCAGAGCCAACACAGAAACTTAGTCCTGAGCATAAGTATGCCCAAAATATTTAGATACCATTTGGCAAAGTCTGAGAACAGCTCCTCAGTACAGGAAAATGAAATTACAACTTGAACCCACGTGGTTTGGTTCAATTCCTGATACAAAAGCTTTCTAAGGGCTTCCTAGAAAATAAATCAGAGATCAAGGTAGAATAACAAATTAAGATGAAGTGGCCAATCCTTCAAAGTTGAAGCAGGGCGAGAACACGGGAGTGAGAGCAGGAATGTATGTTTTGTATTTATATGGGAAGTGGCTCCCAATCTTGCTGCTGTAGGGTGGATTAATGGTGAAAGTCACTCACGGAAGCCTGAAGCTCTGAGAATAACTCGGCAAATTCTCTGACTTGGAAAGAAAAAACTAAGTGGGGAGTGAGAAAGCATTTTCTCAAAAACTAAGTGGGAGTGAGAAAGCATTCACTTCGACACAGGGTCTCTCAAGGCAGACTGCAGAAAGCACGCACTTCGACATACGGTCTCTCAAGGCAGACCGGGAAGAAGGCATTGCTTAGAATATTTATGAAGCTGCTATGTACCAACTGTAACTCCTATTCTATTTTCTTGTTCTCAGAATGAAACAAGGTCCGATGCACTAAAGAAAATGTTACGTATATATCATGAGGAGCATAAAGCCCCTTAACTCAGGCCTGAAACAGTCAAATCAAATGCCCAACTCAAAGCACTTGTTAAAGAACTGAGGAAAACTTTGCTCCTTCTGAATGACAACACGGGCCACCGAGAAGATACCTGCAACTAGGAGCAACTGCGATAAAGCTTCACTTACGCATGACTTCCATGACCCGGTGGCGCAGAAAGGTGCGGCTGCTCTGGAGGGCTCCAAAACGTTTCAGGTCCAATTCCCAAACGTTTTCTGAGGGATAACCATGTACCATCCATTCGGCAAGGTACCTATATAGACAGAGGGCACGTGTTGGGGCTCAGGTGTGAGATTTGAGAAAATTAATATTCTACAAATCGAGAACAAACAGAATCAAAAGATCCTAAATTGCCATAGACCAGCTGAATAGTTTTGGGCACTTTCCTTAACTTTTCTGGAAGAAACGAACATGGGTCTGTGTACTGCTCTCAAAAGACTACTATGAGGATTTTACCCCAGATGATAAGATTCCCTAGGAGGTATTTAACATAGAAGCCAGCCAGACACATTGGCTGATGCCTGTAATCCCAGAACTTTGGGAGGCTGAGGCAGGAGATTGCTTGAAGTCAGGAGTTTGAGACCAGCCTGGGCAACATAGTAAGACCCCGTCTCTACAGAAAAAAAAAAGTTTCAAAGTGAGCCAGGTGGCTCACACCTGTAATCCCAGCACTTTGGGAGGCCGAGGCAGACGGATCACTTGAGGTCAGGAGTTCGAAACAAGCCTGACCAATGTGGAGAAACCCTGTCTCTATTAAAAATACAAAATTAGCCAGTGTGGTGGCACACGCCTGTAATCCCAGCTACTACGGAGGCTGAGGAAGGAGAATTGCTTGAACCTGGGAGGCAGAGGTTGCAGTAAGCCTAGATCACGCCATTGCACTCCAGCCTGGGCAACAAGAGCGAAACCCCAACTCAAAAAAAAAAAAAAAAAAAAAAAAAAAATTAGCCGGCGTGGTGGCACATGCCTGTAATCCCAGCTACTCGGGAGGCTGAGGCAGGAGAATCACCTGAACCCGGGAGGCAGAGGTTGTGGTGAGCCGAGATTGTGCCATTGCACTCCAGCCTGGGCAACAAGAGCAAAACTTCGTTTCAAAAAAAAAAAAAAAAAAAAGAGCTGGGTATGGTGGCACACGCCTGCAGTTAGTTCTAGCTCTTCTGGAGTCTGATGCGGGATGATCCCTTGAGCCCAGGAACTTGCGGCTGCAGTGAGCTATGATGGTGCCACTGCACTCCAGCCTGGGTGAGAGTAAGATCTTGTTTCAAAAAAGTTATAAGCCTCATCTATGAAGAAATAAGACTAAAACACATACAAATATACTCTAAATATCCAATGGGTTTTTTTCTGTCACCTAAAGATTATACAGTTACGTGACCACATCTCCTTTGCTCCAAACATTTTTCTAACTCCTCTTCTGTAACTGTTTTCAGAGCCATTCTACAAATCACTCAAGAGAACTGGTCTCATAAATTTAAAATAAACTTTTCATCGTGGCTACCATCTTACCCATTTGTAAGTATTCAGTTCAGTGGCAGTGGGTACATTCACACTGCGGTGTAACCTTCACCACCATCCATCCTAGAACTCTTTTCCTCTTGCATTTCTGGAACTCTGTGCTCATTCAAGAATAGCTCCCCTCCCCCGCCTCTGGCAACCACCATTGTACTTTCTGTCTCTATGATGTGACAACTCTAGCAACTTCATATAAGTGGAACCACACGGTATTTGTCCTTTTGTGACTGGCTTATTTAATGTTCATTAGTGTCTTATTTTATTTTATTATTATTATTTTTATTGAGATAGAGTCTCGCTCTGTTGCCCAGGCTGGAGTGCAGTGGCGCAATCTCGGCTCACTGCAAGCTCTGCCTCCTGGGTTCACGCCATTCTCCTGTCTCAGCCTCCCGAGTAGCTGGGACCACAAGCACCCGCCACAACGCCCGGCTAATTTTGTTTGTGTATTTTTAGTAGAGATGGGGTTTCACTGTGTTAGCCAGAGTGGTCTCGATCTCATGACCTTGTGATCCGCCCACCTCGGCCTCCCAAAGTGCTGGGATTACAAGCGTGAGCCACTGCGCCCGGCCTAGTGTCTAATTTTTAAATAAAAACTTGTGGCCGGGCACAGTGGCTCATCCTGTAATCCTAGCACTTTGGGAGGCCAAGGTGGGTGGATCACTTGAAGTCAGGAGTTCAAGACCAGCCTGGCTAACATGGTGAAACCCTGTCTCTACTAAAAATAGAAAAATTAGCCAGATGTCTTGGCACACACCTCTAATCCCAGCTACTCGGGAGGCTGAGGTAGGAGAATAGCCTGAACCCAGGAGGTGGAGGTTGCAGTGACCTGAGATCATGTCACTGCATTCCAGCCTGGGTGACAGAGCAAGACTGTCTAAAAAAACAAACAAACCGTGTATTACCTAGTTCAAATACCTACCTCAATCAACATACTTGGCTACCAAACTCAAATACACACTCAAATGACCAATATTTGTTATAACTGAAAAAATATAAAAGAATATCCCACAGGATCTGTGGCTAACTCCAAAAGATGAGTTGCAAAAACATTTTGCCCGATGACATTTCTGGAACATGGGGAGCCTCTCATACTTAGAAGGGGACAACTCCAAAATTACATGTATCTTCTTATTAGTCTTAACATACTAGATTAAATATACCACACGCCATGTTAATAACAAGTAATTCTAGAAGGGAAGAGACCCAGCAAGTTGACTTATGTTCACAGCTGACTTTGAGTGAGAAAGACTTACTTTCCGGCTCCTCCACCAAATGAAAGGCCAGCAGAGTTCATTCCTGCCAGGACAAAGTAGCCCTGCACTGCAGGAGACTCGCCCATGATGCACCTCATGTCTGGTGTGAAGGTCTCTGGGCAGTTCACCAACTTCATGATCTCCAGAGTCTCTAATTCTGGCATCCTCCTCAGAAGGGAACTCAACAGAGGCTCTGAGCAATGACAACAAAACCAAATAGAGTTCTCACCTTTAAGGAATTAAACCACTTTCAACCCCTCTACTTTTTTACACTCTCCCCTTTCAGAAAACCTCTTGATTTTTTTTTTTTTTTTTTTTGAGATGGAGTCTCACTCTGTCGCCCCGGCTGGAGTGTGGTGGCACGATCTCGGCTCACTGCAACCTCTGCCTCCCAGGTTCAAGCTACTCTCTCACCTCAGCCTGCCAATTAGCTCGGATTACAGGCGTGCACCACCATGCCCAGCTAATTTTTTGTATTTTTAGTAGAGATGGGGTTTCACCATGATGGCCACACTAGTTTCGAACTCTTGACCTCAAGTGATCTGCCTGCCTCGGCCTCCCAAAGTGCTAGGATTATAGGTGTGAACCACTGCGTCCGGCTGGAAGAGATTTTTTTAAAGACGAGCCAACTGGGCCATTTATCACAAAGCAGAAACCTTGGTAGAATTACAGGATATAGCTGCAAAATACTTGGTATAAAGACTGAGGAAAAAAGATATTGGTTAGAAAGGAAAGCAGCAGAGAACAGCAAGTAAAACGTATCTACAGATAATAATCTTGAAGGGACCAGTGTGAGTGGAAAAGCTCTTAAATGGCGGCCACAGAGATTTTAATAAAAGGTGATGTTCTGAGCTGGGCATGGTGGCTTGCATTTGTAACCCCGGCACTTTGGGAGGCCAAGGTGGGCGGATCACCTGAGGTCAGGAGTTCAAGAGCATTATGGCCAAAATGGCGAAGCCTCGTCTCTACTAAAAATACAAAAATTAGCCAGTCGTGATGGTGGAAGCCTGTAACCCCAGCTACTCGGGAGGCTGAGGCAGAAAAATCGCTTGAATCTGAGAGGCGGAGGTTGAAGTGAGCAGAGATCGTGACACTGCACTCCAGCCTGGGCAATAGAGTGAAACTCCATCTCAGGAAAAAAAAAAAAAAAGGCAATGTTCTGCATTGGAATAGCTGCAAAAGACAGACTTTCACCCTGCTTTAAAGGAAATCTACCATCAGGACATAATCCAGTGGACAGCAGAAAAAGATGAAACCAGACCAGAGCTGGATAATGGGTACATGGGGGCTCATCATACTACTCTCGCCAGGTTTGTTTAGTAGACACATAGTCTCCAGTCTCGCCATGTTGCCCAGGCTGGTCTTCACTTCCTGGGCTCCAGTGATCCTCCCATCTTGGCCTCCCAAAATGATGGAATTACAGGTGTAAGCCACTGTGCCCAGCTTCTATCCACTTTTAAAAGTTTGAAATTTTCCGTAAGAATTTATTAAAAAAAGAAAGCCCATCAAGGGTCAGAGGGAAATTCTTCATTAGAGACTCTTTCATCTTTTTAAATTTGGAACTAGGTAACTATATTATTATTATTATTTTTTTTTTTTTTGAGATGGAGTCTCGCTCTGTCACCCAGGCTGGAGTGCAGTGGTGCGATCTCAGCCCACTGCAGCCTCTGCCTCCCGGGTTCCAGCAATTCTCCTGCCTCAGCCTCCCACGTAGCTGGCGTTACAGGTGTGCGCCACCACATCCAGCTAATTTTTATATTTAGACGGGTTTTTGCCATGTTGGCCAGGCTGGTCTTGAACTCCTGACCTCAGGCGATCTGCCCGCCTTGGCCTCCCAAAGTGCTGGGATTACAGGCCTTAAAGGCCAGGTGCGGTGGCTCATACCGGTAATCCCAGCACTTTGGGAGGCCGAGGCGGGTGGATCGCTTGAGGTCAGGAGTTCAAGACCAGCCTGGCCAAATAGTGAAACCCCATCTCTACTAAAAACACAAAAACTGGCTCTGCGTTGTGGTGGGCGCCTGTAATTCCAGCTACCTGGGAG
Source organism: Homo sapiens (assembly GCF_000001405.40). Lineage (NCBI taxonomy): Eukaryota > Metazoa > Chordata > Mammalia > Primates > Hominidae > Homo > Homo sapiens. Next base: position 70,134,345 of record NC_000016.10, on the reverse strand, counting down.
GCTGAGGCAGGAGAATTGCTTGAATCCAGGAGGCGGAGGATGCAGTGAGCTAAGATCGCACCACTGCACTCCAGCCTGGGCAACAGAGCAAGACTCCATCTCAAAATGAATGAATGGATACATAAATAAATAAAATTATTTTAAAATTTAATAAAATACTACACTAACAAAACAATTCTGAAAAACAAAACAAAACAAAACAATTCTGTTTTCTAAAGAACTCTTCAATTTTATATGAAGTCCTACTGAAAGAAGTCTCCTCCTAAAACCTAAAATCTGAGCAATAATTTTAGGTGAATAAAGAATAAGCAGGGGCCGGGCATGGTGGCTCACGTCTGTAATCCCAGCACTTTGGGAGGCCAAGGCGGGCAGATCTCCTGAGGTCAGGAGTTCGAAACCAGCCTGACCAACATGGAGAAACCCTGTCTCTACTAAAAATACAAAATTAGCCAGGCGTGGTGGCGCATGTCTGTAATCCCAGCTACTCAGGAGGCTGAGGCAGGAGAATCACTTGAACCCGGGAGGCAGACGTTGCGGTGAGCCGAGATCGCACCATTGCACTTGAGCCTGGGCAACAAGAGTGAAACTCCATCTCAAAAAAAAACAAAAAAACAAAAAAAAGAAGCAGAGCTGGGCACAGTGGCTCACACCTTTACTCCCAGCACTTTGGGAGACCAAGGCAGGCAGATCACTTGAGGCCAGGATTTCAAGACCAGCCTGGCCAACGTGGTAAAATCCTGTCTCTACTAAAAATACATAAACTAGCTGGACATGTTGATGCATGCCTGTAATCCCAGCTACTCAGGAGGCTGAGGCATGAGAATCACTTGAACCTAGGAGGTGGAGGTTGGAGTGAGCCGAGATTGTGCCACTGCACTCCAGTCTGGGCGACAGAGCAAGACTCTTATCTCAAAAAAAAAAAAAGGCCAGACGCAGTGGCTCATGCCTGTAATCCCAGCACTTTGGGAGGCTGAGGCAGGCGGATCACCTGAGGTCAGGAGTTCAAGACCAGCCTGATCAACATGGTGAAACCCTGTCTCTACTAAAAACACAAAAATTAGTCGGGAGTGGTGGCAGGCGCTTGTAATCCCACCTACCACCTACTCTGGAGGCTGAGGCAGGAGAATCACTTGAACCGGGGAGGCAGAGGTTGCAGTGAGCCGAGATCACACCACTGCACTCCAGCCTGGGCAACAGAGCGAGACTTCATCTCAAAAAAAAAAAAAAAAAAAAAGCAGCTGGGTATCATGGCTCATGCCCGTAATCACAGCACTTTGGGAAGCTGAGGCAGGATTGACTGAGCCCAAGAGTTCGAGACCAGCCTGGGCAACACAGCGAGACCCCATCTCAACAAAAAATTTAAACATTAGCTAGGCATGGTGGCAAGCACCTGTAATCCCAGCTACTTGGGAGGCTGATGTGGCAGGATTGCTTGAGCTCACGAATTTGAGGCTACAGTGAGCTATGATCATGCCACTGCACTCCAGCCTAGGTGACAGGGCAAGACGCCATCTCACACACACACAAAATGATAGAGATGACTAAACACACACAAAGGGCTAGGTACAGTGGCTCACATCTGTAATCTTAGCACTTTGGGAGGCCAAGGTGAAAGGGATCACTTGAGCCTTGGAGTTCGAGATCAACCTGGGCAACATGGCGAGACCATGTCTCTACCAAAAAGAAGAAAAAAAAAAAGCTATGAGACCAGGAGTTCGGGGCTGCAGTGAGCTATAATTGTGCAACTGCACTCCAGTCTGAGCACGGAGCAAGGCTCCGTCTCAAGAAATAAAAAAAAAAAAGTAAAACTAAGAATAAAATTAAAAAAGAATAAGGCAAATGTCTATTAACTAAGATTTTAGTCCCCTGAATCTGCTACCTAGTAACTCCATCCTCAGACCAGGCAAACTCACCCTCTGTAACCACTGTTGTACCTCATGGCGATGTTATAAACATTAAACAAGGAACTATTCTTCAAAATACTTTGAAAAATATAACATCTTAAACAAATATAAGGCACTACGGTTATAATGCAGTTCACATACCAAAGTGATCCCAGTCTTCCTGTAGATTCTGAATCTCCAGCTGGTTCTTGCCCTCAGTGAAAATTGGTTTCGGGTTCTTCTCAAAGCCCCCAGACAGGATGCCACCCTGCCAGTTCCGAATATAAATTCTTCCATCAGCATCCACAATAGCTGAGGTGGAGAAATGACATGGAGTGGGGAGTGGAAGAAAAAACAAGGGTTTAGAGGCAAGTCAGCTTTCTAAATGGACAGAACAACCAAACAAAAACACCCATTAATGGCTTTATTAATGAAAGAACATTCAATGAACACAGGCATTCATTAGCTTTAAAATACCTTTTGAGGTCACGGGGGAAGATCCTCCCATTTAGCCTTTCAGTGGAGACTGTTTCTCTGATTATCCCTTACCTAGAAGCTTTGACTAGTCCCCACAAGCAAACCACGTAACTCCCACTGTGCCAAGCGAAAGTTTAACAGAGAGGGGGGTTGCAGAGCCCATTCTAGGCATGAAGACCGTCAAAAGGATGTGAGAACCCTCTCCTACAGTGCTTGGAACCACGAACCCACCTAAGTCTATTGTTTACCTATGACATTTCTACTATCCATAGCATTCAAGTTAAAAAGTCAACAAGACAGTCCAAATATTCTCAATGACCTCTGTTTAGGACTAAAATTAGCTTGCAAAACAAACAAAAACAAAAAAATGTATTAATGGAAATTTTGGCCATCCTTTCATAAAGAGTTAATAAAGAAAAGTCAGAATTGGGTCCACCTCCCTGTAACATGCTCTAGAAATGAAAGACTCTTTCAGACACAGGCTGTCCTTAGCAGAAAGTTTTCCTTTTCAGAGGACAGGATACTGGCAAAGAAACAAGATTTTTTAAAAAAGTGCAAGTCCTCACTTGGTGTGCTGCTCTGCAGAGGGGTCTCCAAGGGGCGAGTCAGGAGGTAGAAGTGTTCGCAGGCATGTAGCGGGATACTAACCGGCTCCTCGTTGGACAGACCCAGCTCGTATGCCCACTACAAATGGACAGGTTGATTTGTGGGTGGGAAGAGGAACAGAAATAAAAATGAGCAAGTTCAGCCTCTTGAGATTAATTCCAAGTGGCTTATGTGTGCTCTTGCTACAGTGTCAGGTGTGGGAAGTCAGCCTGCTTTAGTTCAATTATTTGGATGGGGAGCAATACTACATTTTTTAAGACATAAAAATTACTTTGAGATCAAAGGAAGAGATATTTACCAGCTAGTCAAAGGAGCTCATGGGAACCAAAGGAGGTCCTTTTGATAAAACGCCTGGGCTCAGCTACAAACCCCAAATAGCAATCACTAAATGAACTTCACATGGCAAAAGTATTTCTTAGTTCACTTCGGGATCATAGCATGGAAGGCAAGAGCCAATCTGCTTTAAAAGAAGCAGTGTCCTGGAAATTAGTGTCCACATTCCTGACACAATAAAATAGCCTAATATGTTATTTGCTAGGTTATAGAATGAAATGTAACATCAAGACCCAGTGCCAAGGATTCACGTCAATGCCTGACCATTTGCTGGCCTTCCTGACCAGGATAGCACCCATCAACCCAGTGTGGAGGAAGGACAAGGTCACACAGGCTTCTATTTGCAGACTAAGTGTAGGTTTCTGATTTAGAATACCCTACAAGAAACAGCGTAGTTACTGATATCTGTATAACCAATCACAATACTAATCTTACTTCTCTACACCAAAAAAATCTTGGAGACAAACGTTAAATAAGAACAGCAGTGTTGGTGCTGACCTACCTGGCCAGCACAGTTGACAAAATACTGGCATTCAATCTGTCCTTTATCGGTCTCCACTCCAGTAACTTGACCTTTTTTGACCATTACATGAAGAACAGATGTCCGGTCATAGATCTGAACACCTGTTCCAAGGTAAAGAAAGAGTTGGTGTTTCATCTGATGTTCCAGAATGAAGGCATGTGCAGCAGGTTCTCCACCCAGAAGAAACACTGACAAAGTCAAGTCAATGCTTTAATTTATTTTTTTATTTTATTTTTGAGATGGAGTCTTGCTTTGTCGCCAAGGGTGGAGTGTAGTCGTGCGATCTTGGCTCGCTCTCTGCCTCCTGGGTTCAAGCAATTCTCCTGCCTCAGCCTCTCAAGTAGCTGGGATTACAGGCATGCACCACCATGCCCGGCTAATTTTAGTATTTTTAATAGAGATGGGGTTTTACCATGTTGGTCAGCCTGGTCTTGAACTCCTGGCCTCAGGTGATCCGCCTGCCTTGGCCTCCCAAAGTGCTGGGATTACAGGCATGAGACACCACGCCCGGCTCAATGCTTTCATTTAAAAAAAACACAAAACCCTAGAATCACATCCTGAGACTATGTAAATGGGCCTTGTTCAAGATTGAAAATAGCAACTCAGTTTAAAAACAGACTTTGGAACACAATAATTAAATTCCTGGAATCATAAACTATGGAGCAGAGAGGAGAGGATGTAAATAGTGCGCCTTAAGTGCTAACCTGCTCATACCATGGATATGATACCCTGGACGCTAGTTAAGTCTTCCCCTCATTCAATGCAACTGGGCTCATGATTTCAGGTGTGGATTAAACTTCCAAGGTGTGTTTTCACCTTGAGCTTCTCAAGTCCTGTGGCGGAAAATATTACCTTAAGTCCAAAGGGCATTAATTGGCAGGGCACAGTGGCTCACGCCTGTAATCCCAGCACTTAGGGAGGCCGAGGCAGGTGGATCATCTGAGGTCAGGAGTTCAAGACCAGCCTGGCCAATATGGCGAAACCCCGTCTCTACTAAAAATACACAAAAAAATTAGCCGGGTGTAGTGGGGCACGCCTGTAGTCCCACCTACTCGGGAGGCTGAAGCAGGAGGATCACATGAACCCAGGAGGCGAAGGTTGCAGTGAGCCAAGATTGTGCCATTGCACTCCAGCCTGGGCGAAAAGAGTGAAGCTCTGTCTCCAAAAAAGGGGCATTAATTAGCACTAAAAGCAGTTCTTTAGAACTTTAAAAATGTGGCCCTGAGGGAAAACACTCATTAACAGATAAATAAAATTATAAGTGTTCAAAATGGAGGCTGAGTACCCCAAAGAGGATAATCTTTCCAAACTTGAGTTGGTGTCACTTCCTATTGTGAGACACTTCCTTAGGTAATGTCTTCCCTGCTAACCTATCTTAAGAAAATGCAAAAACCTGCTCACCATTTTGGGAGGCAGCACTTGCCAGGGCAAGAGCCACGTCAGCGGAAGACACCACTGCATCCTCGGGAACATGCATGGCCCCCACCAGGTCGTGCACGTTGAGGAGATGGTGAAGCTCGGCCACTTTCTTGGGGGAGATGATCTCAGAAGGGATACCTATAACACTGCCACAGAACACAAGGGACAATGACATTCACAGGCTCTTTGGCAGAGGCCAGTGTGGTAAAGTCAGGACACGCTTCTAGACTCTTACGTACTTCAGCCCTGCGTTGATGCGCTTCAGGGAGATCAGTCGGTCCTGAGTTTGGGCCAGAAAGATTGAGCCTGTCCTTGTGTAACCTGTAAGAAAAATGAGCCCAAATGAGACAGATCAGACCAAATGTAGGACAGGAGAGTGGAAAATCCACTAGATTATAGGTTAGAAGACCTGTGATGAATCCTGGGACTGCCACTCAATATCCTTGGGCAGGTAAATCAGCTTCTCTGAGCTTCTATGCAAAATTTTAAGAACTTCAGATGCACTAAGGCTCCATGCCCTGACCAAACATTCTCAGCTCACAGTTTTGTGAGGTTGTGAGGATCAAATGAGATTCTAGGCCAGGTGTAGTGGCTCATGCTTGTAATCGCAGCACTTTGGGAGGCTGAGGGGGGCGGATCATCTGAGGTCAGTAGTTTGAGACCAGCCTGGCCAGCATGGTGAAACCCTGTCTCTACTAAAAATATAAAAATTAGCCAGGTGTGGTGGTGCACGCCTGTAATCCCAGCTACCGGGAAGGCTGAGGCAGGAGAATTGCTTGAACCCAGGAGGTGGAGGTTGCAGTGGGTCAAAATTGCACCACTGCACTCTAGCCTGGGTAACAGAGTGAGACTTTGTCTTTAAAAAAAAGAAAAAAAAAAAAGACAGTTTTGGGCAGGGATTCGACCATCCCTATTCTTCCCACCTTTTAGGCAGTTTCACCCTTTCTCCTCCTAGTCTTGGGGGAGTGTAATCCCTGGCAAAGGCCACTCACAATAACATCAGCTACCAAGGGTCGGATTCTCCCTTCTTCTTCCCCAGTATAGCCAAACAGTGGGCATGTGACCTAAGCTTATCCAATCAGACCCTCCTGGAAGAGTCAGTCTTGAGCACGTAGGTGAATGACTAGAGGTCACCATCTCAAGGGCAGCATCAGCCACGCCAGGCTGCTCCTGTTCTCGCTGAGGGACTGCCTGCGGTGCAGTCCCCACATCCTGGCTTCCAGGCTGCCTCCAGCTGGCAGCCTCCTGCCAACTCCACAGGCCCAAGCTCCTCCCAACAAGCTCCAAGTTGGCCAGAGCCAATTCCTGTTGTCTGTAATCAACACACCTGATATAGAACCATAATTACACTTGGGCCAATGACAATTCTCCTAAAATGCAATGACTCTTAATTCTTATGAAGAAAGAGTTGAAGCAATTTGGTATCTTATTTTCAAAAGAAGTACAGTAAGGATAATTTACATATTTTCTTAATTTCTTAGTAGAGACGGGGTTTCACCATGTTAGCCAGGATGGTCTCGATCTCCTGACCTCGTGATCCGCCTGCCTCGGCCTCCCAAAGTGCTGGGATTACAGGCGTGAGCCACCATGCCCGGCCAACCCAAGTTTTAATTACCAAAGCAGCAGGCACACCTGGCAGAGGACCAAATACAGAAATGAATATAACAATCTCAGGGACAGGCAAAGCAATAAATGGAAGACACTTGCTTACCTGTTTGGATCCCTGTTTCTTGCTCTAACTGATAGTAGAGTTTGTTTGAGTAGTCTGCCATCTTCTGCTCAATGGTCAAGTGCCTGGCAGTGCTCAGGATGCCAGCACAGAACCTGGTAGAGCCAGCAGCCAGCCTGCAGGATGGATGCAAAATGCTATTAGGTAGATTGACGTCATCTGTGAATACGAGGTCAGGGTTTCTCATTTAATACTGTTTCTAACACCAAAAGATGGAAACAAGCTGGGCACAGTGGCTCACACTTATAATCCCAGCACTTTAGGAGGCCAAGGTAGGAGGACTGAGGACTGCTTGAGGACAGGGGTTTACGACCAGCCTGGTCAACACAGGGAGAACCCATCTCTACCAACAACAACAACAAAATTAGCCAGGCATGGTAGCACATGCCTGCAGTCCCAGCTACTTGGGAGGCTAAGGCCAGAGGAGCGCTTGAGTTCAAAAGGTAGAGGTTGCAGTGAGCTGTGATCACATCTCTGCACTCCAGCTTGGGCAACAGGGTGAGAAAAATGTTCAATGACATGGGACAGATTTAAAATTCTGGATAGTTTAGGCCAGGCACAGTGGCTCATGCCTGTAATCCCAGCACTTTGACAGGCTGAGGTAGCAGGTTCACTGGAGGCCAGGAGTTCAAGACTGGCCTGGGCAACATAGCCAGACTGTGTCTCTACCAAAAAAAGATAAAAATAAAAATAAATAAACAAATAAAAATAAAGGCTGAGTGCGGTGGCTCACGCCTGTAATCCCAGCACTTTGGGAGGCTGAGGTGGGCGGATCACAAGGTCAGGAGATCGAAACCATCTTGGCTAACACAGTGAAACCCCGTCTCTACAAAAAATACAAAAAATTAGCCAGGCATTGTGGCAGGCGCCTGTAGTCCCAGCTACTCGGGAGGCTGAGGAAGGAGAATGGCATGAACCCGGGAGGTGGAGCTTGCAGTGAGTCAAGACTGTGCCACGGCGTTCCAGCCTGGGTGACAGAGCGAGACTCCGCCTCAAAAAAAAGTAAAAAAAATAAAGATAAAAGTTAGCCAGGCTACTTGGGAAGCTGAGGCAAGAAGATCCCTTGATCCCAAAAGTTTGCGGCTGCAGTGAGCTAGCATTGTGCCACTACACTTCAGACTAAGCAATAGAGCAAGACCCCATCTCTAAAATAAAATAAAATTTTGGAATTCATCTATACAATGGAATATTATGCAGCTATAAAAAAGAATGAAAAGGTCTTTATGTACCAAAATGGAACAATCATAATGAAAAAGCAAGGTGAAGAACAGTGTGTAAGGTATGCTCCCACTTATATAAAAAAGAGAAAAAATATAATAAATGAATATCCATACACATATACACAAACCTACCAACACATAATTGCTTATAGAAGTAGAGAATATAACTAGAACTTAACTTCCCTCCAGAGAGAAAGCTTTTTGTTAGAAGTGAAGATTGAGGGCTGGGTGCAGTGGTTCACATCTATAATCCCAGCACTTTGGGAGGCTGAGGCAGGCAGATCACTTGAGGTCAGGCGTTCGAGACCAGCCTGGCCAACATGGCGAAACCCCATCTCTACTAAAAATACAAAAATCAGCCGGGCATGGTGGCAGGCGTCTGTAATCCCAGCTATTCAGAAGGCTGAGGCAGGAGGATCGCCTGAACCCAGGAGGCAGAGGTTGCAGGAGCTGAGGCTGCACCACTGCACTACAGCCTGGGTGACAGAGCAAGACTCCATCTTAAAAAAAAAAAGAAAGAAAAGGAAAGAACATTGGGGAGTCTTTTTCCTGTATACTCTTTTACATATATATATATATACTTTTTTTTTTTTTTTTTTTTTTGAGACGCAGTTTCCCTTGTCACCCAGGCTGGAGTGCAATGGCACAATCTCGGCTTACTGCAACCTCTGCCTCCTGGGTTCAAGCTATTCTCCTGCCTCAGTCTCCCGAGTAGCAGGGATTACAGGTGTGTGTCACCATGCCCAGCTAATTTTTGTTTTTTTGTTTGTTTGTTTTTTTAGAGACGGAGTTTTGCTCGTCACTCAGATTGGAGTGCAATGGCACAATCTCGGCTCACCGCAACCTCCACCTCCCAGGTTCAAGCAATTCTCTTGCCTCAACCTCCCAAGTAGCTAGGATTACAGGTGTGCACCACCATGCCTGGCTAAATTTGTATTTTTAGTAGAGATGGGGTTTTGCCATGTTGGCCAGGCTGGTTTCGAATTCCTGACCTTAGATGATCCACCCGCCTCAGCCTCCCAAAGTGCTGGGATTACCGGCATAAGCCACTGCACCCAGCTTCTTTTACATATTTTCAATTTTGAATCATATAAATACATTGCCTATTCAAAAGTACATAAACTTTACATTGAAAAAAATGTTCTCTAATTTGTGGTAGCAACAGAATATAAAGGCTACAGTAATGCTAGGGCCCAAAGACCCAGTTTTGCAAGGGACCCATATGTCAAGAAAGCAGGTGGGGGGTTCTAAGGTCATTTTCCCCAAATTATTTATCACTCAGTAAATAAACTAACATCTGTGTCAGCATGCCTGTCACTTGAGTTTACTGTATTTACTCTAATAATTATATTTTCCACATAAGATTGTCAGCTCCCTAAAGAGATTTTTCTATCATCTTTGTAACTGTGTGGAGCTCCACCCCAGGTGGGAGTTCCATTAACTGGCTGGTGGTCAGCACCTATAGCTCTGGTGACGTCTCTGCTGGGATAGCACTCCTTGAGCAGCTTTGACAGTGGCTCTCGCCCTTGGAGGTACATTAGAGTCCCCGGGGAAGCTTTTAAAAATATTGATGCCTGGCCTCACCCCTAGAGATTCTGGTTTGTTCTGGGGAGAGGTCTGGGCACTGGTAATTGTTAAAAGCTCCCCAGCTGATTCTAATGTGCAGACAGATTTAAGACCCATTGATCTATGAGAACAATAGTGAAGATGGACAAGAGGAATAATTATACATAAAGGGCAGTATAAAACCATTTCACAAGCCACGGATAAGGCATAATAATAACTATTATTTTTTGAGACAGTCTCACTCTGTTGCCCAGGCTGGAGGGCAGTGGCACAAACTTGGCTCACTGCAATCTCTGCCTCCCAGGTTCAAGCAATTCTCCTGCCTCAGCCTCCTGAGTAGCTACAATTACAGGCTTATGCCACCACGCCCAGCTAATTTTTGCATTTTTAGTAGAGACGGGGTTTCCCCATGTTGGGCAGGCTGGTCTTGAACTCCCGACCTCAGGTGATCCACCCACCTTGGCCTCCCAAAGTCGTGGGATAACAGGCATGAGCCACTGCACTTGGCCGAGGCATAATTTTTTTTTTTTTTTTTGAGACTGAGTCTTGCTCTGTCGCCCAGGCTGGGGTGCAATGGTGCGATCTTGGCTCACTGCATCCTCCGCCTCCTGGATTCAAGTGATTTTCCTACCTCAGCCTCCCGAGTAGCTGAGATTAACAGACGCGAATAACCACTCCCAGTTAATTTCTGTATTTTTTAGTAGAGACGGCGTTTCACCATGTTGGCCAAGCTGGTCTCGAACTCCTGATCTCCGGTGATCCACTCACCTTGGCCTCCCAAAGTCCTGGGATTACAGGTGTGAGCGATCGTGCCTGGCTGGCGTAATTATTTTTAAGTGTGAGGTTTAAATAGTCTGCCTTATATCAATTCTAAGGTATTATATAATCTTGAAGCAACAAATTAAACCAAAAATGAACCTCCCTAGGGTCTCCCACTTAGAAACATTTACACTGCGATTAGTTTATCACTTTTTGTGGAAATACCTGATAATTAAATTTAAAAGGATTTCAAAAAATAGGAGAAAGACTTTGACATCAAGGAAGCATTATGAGGCCAAGTGTGGCGGCCCACACCTGTAACCCCAGTACTTTGGGAGGTTGAGGTGGGCGGATCACTTGAGCCCAGGAGTTTGAGGCCAGCCTGGACAACAAGGTGAAATCACGTCTCTACCAAAAAAACAAAAAATTAGCCAGGCATGGTAGTGCATGCCTGTAGTCCCAGCTACTCAGGAGGCTGTGGTGGGAGGATCACTTGAGCCCAGGAGGCAGAGGTTGTAGTGAGCTGAGATTGAACCACTGCACTCCAGCCTGAGTGACAGCGTGAGACTCTGTCTCAAAAACATTAACAAAAACAAAACCCACTTTTGCTCTTAAAAGTATCCACTGCGGGCCGGGCACGGTGGCTCATGCCTGTAATCCCAGCACTTTGGGAGGCTGAGGCGGGTGGATCAGCTGAGGTCAGGAGTTCAAGACCTGCCTGGCCAACATGGTGAAACCCCATCTATACTAAAAATACAAGAATTAGCCAGGTGTGGTGGCATGCAACTATTAATCCCAGCTACTTGGGAGCCTGGGGCAGGAGAATCACTGGAATCCGGGAGGCACAGGTTGCAGTGAGCCGAGATCACGTCACTGCACTCCAGCCTGGGTGACAAAGCAAGACTCTGTCTCAAAAAAAAAACTATCCACTGCATAAAATAGAAATCCATGAGTCTAAACTGGTGTGTGTGTGTGTATGTGTGTATACAGATATATAACTGAGTAAATAAATGGGGGAGAAGGAAATCTCTTCCTGACAGTAATATGCCAACTATAATAAATGTAGAAGTATGATCAAAAAATCACCATTTGTCAACCATCACGGTGGTGGCTGACTCAGGCAACAGTTGTCAATGGATGCTAAGCCCGGTAGGTGGAGGTCTCATATGAACAGGATATTGGCATAATCTCAGAATCCATCTCTCCTCAAAGGGCACTGGCCCATTACAAGGGGAGAAAACAGGGTCTCTGTGCTAGAGATGCTTGGAGGACACCAATGTAACTGAGTGACCAGGTTTATCACCACCAGAAGTGAGACAGGACAGCCATACACCTCCTGATGTGGTGCACTGCTGAGAGTCCAGCCTAATTTCTGTGGTCTTACTGCCAAAAATGTATGACCTGGTTATGATGATGGATGCACAACTCTGTAAACAGATTTCAGCACTTAACAAGGATGAGTGGCATGGTATGCAAATTGTATCTCAATACAGTGATGGTTATAAAAGTCTCTAACCCAAGTCTGATCACAAGACAACAGCCTAGGCCAGGTGTGGTGGCTCGCGCCTGTAATCCCAGTACTTTGGGAGGCCAAGGTGGGTAGATCACTGGAGGTCAGGAGTCCAAGACCAGCCTGGCTAACACGGTGAAATCCTGTCTCTACTAAAAAAACAGAAATTAGCCGGGCATGGTGGTGGGTGCCTGTAATCCCAGCAACTCGGGAGGCTGAGGCAGGAGAATTGCTTGAACCCAGGAGGCGGAGGTTGCAGTGAGCAGAAATTGCACCACTGCACTCCAGCCTGGGTGACAGAGCCAGACTCCATTTCAAAAAAAAAAGAAAGAAAAGAAAACAGCCTAGGCAACACAGGGAGATCCCATCTCTACAGAAAAATACAACAACCAGCCAGATGTGGTGGTGCATGTCAGTAGTCCCAGCTACTTGGAAGGCTATGGCAGAAGGACTGCTTGAATCCACGAGGTCAAGGCTACAGTCAGCTGTGATAGTGTGACTGCACTCCAGCTTGGGTGACACAGCAAGACCCCATCTTAAAAAAAAAAAAAAAAGGGAATAAGAAAACATTAGCTAAACACAGGTTGAGAATTATCAGAGTCAAAGGCCTGTATTCTTTTTTTTTTTTTTTGAGACAGTCTCGCTCTGTCACCCAGGCTAGCGTGCAGTGGCATGATCTCTGCTCACTGCCACCTCCGCCTCACGGATTCAAGCGATTCTCCTGCCTCAGCCTGCTGAGTAGCTGGGATTACAGGTGCACACCACCACGCCCAGCTAATTTTTGTATGTTTAGCAGAGACAGGTTTTCACCATGTTGGCCAGGCTGGTCTAGAACTCCTGACCTGAGGTGATCTGCCCACCTCAGCCTCCCAGAGTGCTGGGATTACAAGTGTGAGCCACCATGCCCGGCCAATATTGTTGTATGAATCTAACATTACTTGTATAGTGGTATAATATTAATTAATGATGGATTATAAGAATCCATTCTGTAATCTCTGTAACTATTACAAATTAATATAAAGGGACTTAGCTTACAAGCCAATAAAGCAGAAAATACTTGACCTAAAAGAAGGCGAGCACAGAGAAACTAAGCCTATAGAGCATATTTCTCTTGGGGAATGAGAACAATATTAAGAACCTAGCAATTAAGCAAACACAAGCAGTTGTCTACTTTGCTTAAATGCAATCCACATTATTTACAAACGCAAATTTTTGTCAAAGTCTAAAATGTTGCTGGGTACAGTGGGTCATGCCTGTAGTCCCAGCACTTTGGGAGGCCAAGGTGGGAGGACTGCTTGAGGCCAGGAATTCAAGCTCAGCCTGGGTAAGAAAGCGAGATCCTGTCTACCAAAACACCACCACCAAAAAAAAAAAAAAAAAAAAAAAAAAGGAAAACGAAATTTGCCAACTCTCTAAAAACCAGAGAACATGAGCATTATTAGTCATCCTTAAACAAAATTCAGGAGATTCCACCTTGCTTCTTCTCATGCTACTTAGCAACATTTAGATTAGCTACTGGTGGGGCAGTATCTCTGAAAGGAGAGGGAATCTTATACGATTAGTGCAGCACAGCCATGAGCCAAATGCAGTCTGATCCTTACCTGCCCTGCTCCAAAAGGACAATATCCTTCCACCCCATTTTGGAGAGGTGATAGGCCACAGAAGTGCCCGTGATTCCACCTCCACAGATGACCACCTGTGCCTGGGTGGGCAGGGCCATGGAACGCGCCTCGGCAGCTGACGTGCTGTTTCTTGCAGAGGACCAGTTCTGCCATCCTGGGCTGGCTCTTTGTCTTCCAACAATCGACAGCAACCGGTAGAACATCATGTCTCTCACCAACTAGATCTCAGGAACTCAAACTAGACAGAGAAACCAAACATATTTCATGCCATTCTACTCAGTGCATGGGATTAATGAGAAAGGGATTTGACAAAGAACGATAGCCATTCATTCAGCAAATATTTGAGGGTGGCTGGGCATGGTGCCTCACACCTGTAATCCCAGCACTCTGGGAGGCCAAGGCGGGCGGATCACGAGGTCAGGAGATCGAGACCATCCTGGCTAACACAGTGAAACCCCGTCTCTACTAAAAATTCAAAAACTTAGGCTGGGCGCAGTGGCTCACACCTGTAATCCCAGCACTTTGGGAGGCCGCGGCGAGTGGATAACGAGGTCAGGGGTTCGAGACCAGTCTTACCAACATGGTGAAACCCTGTCTCTACTAAAAACACAAAAATTAGCTGGGCATGGTGGCAGGTGCCTGTAATCCCAGCTACTCAGGAGGCTGAGGCAGGAGAATTGCTTGAACCCGGGAGGCGGAGGCTGCAGCGAGCAGAGATCGCGCCACCGCACTCCAGCCTGGGCGACAGAGCGAGACTCCGTCTCAAAAAAAAAACAAACAAACAAACAAAAAAAAAACAAAAAAAGAAATATTTGAGGGCATTCTGAGTTTCAGATATTCTGCTAGCAGTGAACAAGAATGGGGAAGTCCCTGTCTTTATGAAATTTACATTTGAGAGTTTGCGTGTGTGAATGAGGAGAACACCAATCAATATACAAATAAACATACAAATAAAACAGTAAATAAAGCTAACATGATAGAGTAACTAGGGGCATATTTAAAACAGGATGGTCAGAAACAGCCTCCAAGGAAGTGACATTTGGAAACAGACCTGAAGGATAAGGAACGAGCTATACATTTGGCAGACACTGAGACGAGCATGTGCAAAAGCCCTGAGGTAAGACAGACCAAGAACAAAAAGGAGGCCGGCATGTACACGACACGGGGAGTGTGGGGAGATGATCTAAGACAATGCTGGAGAGGCAGGCGGAAGCCAGTTACACACAGCCCTTGGGTGCCATCAGCAGGAGTTGGAATTTTATTCAAAGTACAAAGGAAAATCACTCATGCGGGAGTATCACTAGCAGGGGAATGAAATGATCTGGGATGTTTTTCTTTTCTTTGTTTTTTTTGGCGGTGGGGGGTTGGGGGATGTTTTCCAAAGGTCAGTCTGGCTCCATGGTGGAGAGCGGATGGTAGAATTATAAGAAAAACAGAGTTGACTTCCTAGGCTCAAGTGATCCTCCCACCTTGGTCTCCCAAAGTGTTGAGATTACAGGCATGAACCACTGCCCTTGGACAAGGCAGGGTTTTAACAAACTTAATCTATCAGCAAAACAGATGACTGTTCAAGTTTCAAGAAACTGAAGAAGAAAGCACCTACTGGCTGTCCATGCAGTCATGTGTACAGGAGGATGAGGACTTTGAGACGAGAGGCGGTAGACAAGGGGGCCTTAGGGTAGCTCACTGCTAGTCATCTCCTTACCGCCTCCACTGCCAGCCACAGGACCCACAGATGCTCCACAGTCAGCACAAATTGTCCAAGGCCAAGGTATCTATGTCCATCCATCAGAGATGACTCTCAGAATTGCAACCAATGCAAGCACAGACTGTGTCCAGGCAGACATCCCATCCAACTGGAGACAAATTGTCTTGGCCACCTTGTGGTTGCCACCATGCCTCTCATCCCTGGTCCCTGTTAAGCACCATCTCAAAACAGAAGCTTCTCTACCCGGCTAGTCTTTCCATAATCTCATCTCCACGTGACCAATTTATTTCCCGTGGCCCAAGCTCTCTTTGCTTTCCTCTCCTTCAAGCCCCTCTACTGCACCCTCCAGAATACCTTTCCCAAAGGTAAACACCCACCCCTTTGCTGACATTCTCTCTACCCTCTGTCCCAATGGCAACACAGCTCTCCTGGGGAACTGCTGCTGCCAAATGGCCAGCCCCGTCCCATTGACCTCACTGTCAACCTCCTGGCTTCTGACCCGTGACCACTCGGTTATACTTGAAAACTGTCCTGCTCCTTGGTGGCTTAGGCTAGCACATGTTAAGCCACAGGCAGACCTCTGTCTGTATTCAGGTTCAGAGCCCAGCTATTCCTCTCTCAACCTTCAATTTCACCTCCTTTCTTCCCTCATTCTAAGCAGATAACCTGGCTCATCTCATTCCCTGAAACCCTTCCTATAGACCCACTTGCATCTGCAACCATCTCTTCCTTCCTTCTTTTATCCACTGGAAAGTTAATCTCCCCCAAGGGCCCTGGATCCCACTTCCTCCTCTCTTCTCTTGACCCTAGCTCCATCAACTGCTATCTCTCTTTCATGTACCTGCAACGTTTCCCTCCCTTTTTGCTGCTTTTCCTCAGCAATTTTTTTTTTTTTTTTGAGACAGAGTCTCACTCTGTCGCCCAGCTGGGAGTGCAGCGGTGTGATCTCGGCTCACTGCAACCTCTGCATCCCAGGTTCAAGCAATTCTCCTGCCTCGGCCTCCTGAACAGCTGGAACTACAAGCACGCGCCACCACGCCCAGTTACTTTTTGTATTTTTAGTACAGACAGGGTTTCACCATGTTGATTAGGCTGGTCTTGAACTCCTGACCTCAGGTGATCCACTGGCCTTGGCCTCCCAAAGTGCTGGGATTATAGGCGTGAACCACCACACCCACCTTAATGACTTTCTGATGCCCTCAGGAAAAAGGCAAAACTCTTTTCATATCAAGTGCAAGATCCTTCACACTCTGGTTCTTATCTGTGGTCTCATTTCTCCTTTCCTCACACTCTGACCAAACCAGACTGAACAACCTGTAATTCGTCAAACATATCAGGTGAGGCGTGAGTGTTCTATTCGGCTCCAGGTTCTGTGCATGCTGTTCCCTCCTGGCATGGTTCCTGCCACCTCTCCCCCAAATACAGGTAATCTCCTCAGGTCACAGCCTCTTTGACATCTTATTTATTTTTTTTGAGATGGAGTCTCGCTCTGTCGCCCAGGCTGGAGTGCAGTGGTGCGATCTCAGCTCACTGCAAGCTCTGCCTCCTGGGTTGATGCCATTCTCCTGCCTCAGCCTCCTGAGTAGCTGGGACTACAGGCACCCACCACCATGCCTGGCTAATTTTTTTTTTTAATTTTTAGGAGAGACGGGGTTTCACCATGTTAGCCAGGATGGTCTCAATCTCCCGACCTCGTGATCCGCCTGCCTTGGCCTCCCAAAGTGCTGGGATTACAGGCATGAGCCACTGTGACCGGCAAATAATTTTTAAAGCTAATATTTTTATAAGTAGTTACAATGCACCAGATACTGCCTATATATATAACTAATTTAATCCTCACAACCTTATGAGGTAGATACTAGCATTTCTATTCTACACTTGAGGAAACAGGCACAGATAAGTGGAAGTGACTCACCCAAGGTCCTACCAAACTGTTGAGTAGCAGAACCCTGCCAATTTGGCATTAGTGGCCGGCTATTTAATCATGACTCCACGCTACCTTTCAAATAAAAGCAGATGGTAAGGAAAGGACAGCTGTGAGGACTGAACCATTAAGCACATTCCCCTAACAGAGAAAGGGAATTGCAAAGGTGGCAGAACAAACACAGTAACAGATGAGTTTTAAGGTGGAATTAAAAAAAAAACTTTAGGCCGGGCGCCATGTCTCACGCCTGTTATCTCAGCACTTTGGGAGGCCGAGGCGGGTAGATCATTTGAGGTCGGAAGTTGGAGACCAGCCTGGCAAACATGGTGAAACCCCGTCTCTACCAAAGATACAAAAAATTAGCTGGGTGTGGTGGCACGCACCTGTGGTCCCAGGTACTCATGGTGCGGCCACCATTGCATCTTGGGCCTCACTAACCAGTTCCCGTTTGTTGGATTCAATACTCTCTCACCACACAGGCCAATCTTGTGTTTTATTAATTTTTTTAATTTTTTTTTTTTTTTTGTAGAGAGGGGCTCACTATGTTGCCCAGGCTGGTCCTGAACTCCTGAGGTAGGAGGATCGCTTGAGCCTGGGAGACAGAGGTTGCAGTGAGCCGAGATTATGCTACTGCACTCCTGCCTGGGTGACACAGTGAGACTCTGTCTTAAACAAAACAAAACAAAGAAAGGCCAGGCGCAGGGGCTCACACCTGTAATCCTAGCACTTTGGGAGGCCAAGGTGGGTGGATTATTTGAGGTCAGGAGTTTGAGACCAGCCTGATCAGCATGGTGAAACCCCGTCTCTACTAAAAACAGAAAAATTAGCCAGGTGTCGTGGCTTGCACCTGTAGTCCCAGCTACTCAGGAGGCTGAGACAGGAAAATTGCTTCAACCAGGGAGATGGAGGCTGCAGTGGGCAGATTCGCGCCACTGCCTGGGTGACACAGTGAGACTCCATCTCAAAAAAGCCCAGGGTGCTTGGCGCCAAAAAAGGGATCTCTGACCTTGTGTTCATTATGACCTTCAAAAGAGTGAAGTGGTGAGGGCATGAGGGCAGAGGAAAAGAAGGGCTTAAGACAACGAAGGAAAAGAAGGCACCAGAGTCTAGTGCCTTTGCCGCCAAACCTAAACCTATAAGGTTGGCAGCAAAACCAAAGCACAAACTGATAACAAAGGAGGTAAAGCCAGGGGAGAAGAAACTGAAGACGTCAAAGACAGAAATGAAGCACATCATCTGGTTTAAAACAAATGATAGAGTTTTTACAGTTCTGGAAAATGACCGTATAATATTCTCTGCTAAGAAGAATAACTTCTGCTAAACAACCATAAGACTGCAGCTGGCTCTACTCAGATCTGCTTATTCCAACAAGACCAAGGTGCTAGTTCTAACTTCGAGTTGTCCCTCTGTATGGCTGCAGCGTTGCGCACAGTGGACTGCCGGTCACAAGGAAGACTGGATGAGCGTGGGTTCACACAACATTTCCCACACTTGCCTCAGCAAAAGAACCACCTGGGACACTTGTTTAAAAATGACAGATTCCCACGGTCCACCTCGGCAGATTCTGATCCTGCCACTCCAGGGAGCTGTATTTTTCAACAAGTACACCAGGTGATCACGCAAGTTTAAGAAATTAACACAAGTTGGCCGAGCGCAGTGGCTCACGCCTGTAATCCCAGCACTTTGGGAGGCTGAGGCGGGAGAATCACGAGGTCAGGAGTTCGAGACCAGCCTGGCCAACATAGTGAAACCCCGTCTCTACTAAAAACACAAAAATTAGCCGGGCGTGGTGGCGCACACCTGTATTCCCAGCTACTTGGGAGGCTGAGGCAGGAGAATTGCTTGAACCCAGGAGGCAGAGGTTGCAGTGAGCCGAGATCGCGCCACTGCACTCCCGCCTGGGCGACAGAGTGAAACTCTGTCTCGGAAAAAAGAAAAAAAAAGAAAAAAGAAATTAACACAAGTCCCTGCCACTGGAAAAGCTTATCCGTCAGGCTGGCTCCTCCTCCACCACCAGACCCCATCCCGGTACATCACGTTTACATGCATGCGGAAAATGGGCTTGGAGATTCTTGATTCAAATCCGAGGTATCACACATCGGCCCCCAAAGGTCAAACATTAAGAAGGAAGCTTACTGCCCTGTCCCAGATTTTTCTAGGTGACTTCTTCCTCCGGACTCTGCAGCAGTCTTTAGTTCTAAAAGCACAAGCGGACCGCACGTCTCAACGCGGGAAAACAGTTCCATCTGCAGGGATGGAGGACCGGGCTAGACAAGCTGGAGTTGGCTCTGCGCCGCAGGGGTGTGCAAGCCCGAGACGGGGGAGCCCGAGGTCACCCCGGCCGCCCTGGCATCGGGGCTGAAGTGCAGGCTCCTGGAGGAGCGGTGCGCACGCCCAGGGGTAGCCGAGAACACAAGCCAAGGCACGAGCGGACAACCTTACGGGGACGAGTACTGGCGCCCGGACGCGACTTCGCGAGAGGCCAGGCGGAACCCACTGGAAGCGTGAGCTAGCGGGGACCACCCCCGGGCGAAACCAAAGGAGAAAGAGGGGAACCCAGGGGTCCCGGGGCGCTTAGGCCCGCGCGGACGGGGAGGCCAGAGTTGCCCCGAAGCTATCTCCTTACCTCACCGGTCCCCACGGGCTCCGCGCTCAGCTACAGCCCGGCGGGAGCAATGCGGCAGCCACAACAGTTGCCTGGGGTCGCCGCGGGCCGGAAAGCGGGGTTCGGGGATGGGAAGGGGGCGGGGCGAAGCGAGCAAAAAGTTCCGGGGAAGCCGAGACCGCGACCTTCCGCGCTTTACGGCCCCCGGGCAAGGGTACTGCCGGCGCGTGACCTCAGCAGCGCACGAGCGCGCCGTGACGCCTTCGCGGAGCCCCGCCCCTGCCACGTGGGCTTGTTTGGGTCTCGCGAGGCACCGCCCCCGCGGCCTCTTTGCCACCCTCAGAGGCGAGCTGTGGAAGCCTTGACTCTTAGGGCCGTTTTAGAACCGGGGCCTCGGACCGGCGGGGTTTCTGCACGTGGAACCGGAACATCTGAGATGATCGCAGGCCCTGTGGAGTGTGGGGAGCGCGGGAGTTCTTTCTTCCCTCGAGGCCCGTGCCAGGGCTTACTCCAAAGCCAGTGGGTCCCCAGTCCTAAGCCAAGCAGTCCCGGGGGAAAACGCTTCTCATCGCCGTGGGAGCGCGGATCTTGGAAGTGGCTCTGGGCTTTCTTGGGCGAGGCTCTCACAGAGTAGATCGGAAATCCATTCTGCTGGCCCGCCCCACCTCGGAGGACGGACTAACGGACCTGAGTTCCCGGCCCTATCTTACTCTTCTCAGCTTCTCAGCTTGGCTCAGCTCAGAGGAAGAGGAATCACTGAAGTCTCAGAGAAGTCTCCACTCATCCCTTCCTCACTGTCACATCAGCCTTTTCTTTCCTTCTAGAACTCATCACTGACTCAAGGATATAAGTTTGATGACTGTCTTTTCCACTGGTGTGACACGATCTCTGTCGACAGAACCTTAGTCTTATGCATAGCTTTATTCTCAGCACCCAGAACAGTGCCTGGCACCTCTTCCACTGAATATTATATGCATAAGGGTCTCATGCTGC
The DNA here is from genome assembly GCF_000001405.40 of Homo sapiens. Taxonomy (NCBI): domain Eukaryota; kingdom Metazoa; phylum Chordata; class Mammalia; order Primates; family Hominidae; genus Homo; species Homo sapiens. The sequence continues at coordinate 70,113,468 of NC_000016.10, read as the reverse complement.
AGCCACCATTGCATCTTGGGCCACACTATCCAGTTCCCGTTTGTTGGATTCAATACTGTCTCACCACACAAACCAATCTTGTGTTTTATTAATTTAAAAAAAATTTTTTTTTTGTAGAGATAGGCTCACTATGTTGCCTAGGCTGGGCCTGAACTCCTGGCCTCAAGTGATCCTTCCATCTCAGCCTCCCAAAGTCCTGGGATTACAGGCGTGAGCCACTGTGCCTGCCCCAATCTTGTGTTTTATTGCTGGCCACCTGTAGCCAGGCACTGTGCAGGATGATGGGATCCAGCAATGTACAAGAAAGAGGCGGTTTCTGCTCTTAGGGAGTGGCAGTCAAGTTCCAGGGACCCCTCTGTCACAAGGCCAGGCCACAGCCTACATAGTTTATACCCCATTTACTGGCCAGTCAAATCACACAAAGACAGCCCAGATGAGGTCTGCCAGACAGTGGACTGAAACTATGCCATAGGCTCCTGTGCTAGATAAATACTTCCATATTTTAGCTAGGATTGAATGCTTGGGGACACCTACCTGTCTAAAAAAAGAGAAAACGGCTGACCAATTTGAGACATTCTCGGGGAAGGCTTTCCTGATGCCCAGATGTGGCGATTTCATGAAAAATATCACAGGTTTTCCTCATGAACCATTTGGTTCAAGCCATTTCCAGGCACATGAATTTGGGAGAAACCTGGTTGTCTGCAGGAGATGGTGGATGAAATCAAGTGAAATACTTAATGTGTTGATTTCATTCTGTTTACGTGCAGTAAATAGCAAACAAATGGTGTAGATCTGTCCCTGATTTCCTTCTCCATCACCATGATCGGCCTCCACTCCAAAATGCTAAGTCAGGCTGGGTGCGGTGGCTCATGCCTGTAATGCCAGCACTTTGGGAGGCCAAGGCAGTTGGATCACGTGAGGTCAGAAGTTCGAGACCAGCCTGATCAATATGGTGAAACCCCATCTCTACTAAAAAATACAAAAATTAGCTGGGCGTGGTGGCACATGCCTGTAATCCCAGCTACTTTGGGAGGCTGGGACAGGAGAATTGCTTAAACCCAGGAGGCGGAGGTTGCAGTGAGCCAAGATTGTGTCACTGCACTCTAGCCTAGGCGACAGAGCGAGACTGTCTCAAAAAAAAAAAAAAAAGGGAAGTAAGTCCTAAGGCCCCTTTCATTGTCAAAGATGGGTCTTGTCCTTAGTAGGTTCTCATAACCACTGATGCACTATTTTTTCTAGGGGATTGAGTGTTTTTATTTTATTATTATTTTTTAGATGGAGGCTCACTCTGTTGCCCAGGCTGGAGTGCAATGGTGTGGTCTCGGTTCACTGCAACCTCTGCCTCCCAGGTTCAGGGGATTCTCCTACCTCAGCCTCCCCAGTAGCTGGGACTGTACAGGCGTGCGCCACCACGCTGGGCTAATTTTTGTATTTTTATTAGAGACAGGGTTTCGCTATGTTGGCCAGGCTGGTCTCAAACTCCTGACCTCGTGATCTGCCCACCTAGGCCTCCCAAAGTGCTGGAATTACAGGCGTGAGCCACCGCGTCCAGCCTATTTTTATTTTTTGAGATTAGCTCTCACCCTGTCACCCAGGCTGGAGCACAGTGGTGCAATCACGGCTCACTGCAGTCTTAACTTCCTGGGCTCTAGCGATTCTCCCACCTCAGCCTCCCGAATAGCTGAGACCTCAGGCGCGTGCCACCGTCCCCAGCTAACTTTTGTATTTTTTGGTAGAGGTGGGGTTTCACTATGTTGCTGAGGCTGGCATTAAACTCCTGACCTCAAGAGATCCACCTGCCTTGGCCTCCCAATGTGCTGGGATTAGAGGCATGAGCCACCATGTCTTGCCCTAAACAGACGTTTTAATTACGCTTGTCAAGTCCTCTTGTGAAATCTTCATCTGCAGTGACTTGGTAAATGTATTTGCTACCACACAGGATAAACAGTGTACAGACAAACATTTGACATACCTATGTTACCACAGTGTAAGAATGAATTTGGATCTGAGGTCGCTAAGATGCAGGCGTTTATCTTACCTCCCTGCAGCACCGGCATGGCTGTGGGGAAGGCCTCCCTCCTCCCTCTGAAGTTCTTGTCCCCATCAGTAGACTGGACATCTGCCTACAACCGACTTCACAGAAAGGACCTGACACCTGGCATGCTTCTCGTGTGCTTGAGAGCCTGTGTTTGTGTGGAAAGCAGGGATGTTCTCATTCACACCATGGGAAGAGAAGAATGTTGCGAGTAGCAATCAGTACTCTTTTTTTTTTTTTTTTTTTTTTTTTTTTTGTGAGACGGAGTCTTGCTTTGTCACCCAGGCTGGAGTACAGTGGCGCGATCTCAGCTCACTGCAAGCTCTGCCTCCCGGGTTCACGCCATTCTCCTGCATCAGCCTCCTGAGCAGCTGGGACTACAGGCACATGCCACCATGCCCAGCTAATTTTTGTATTTTTAGTAGAGACGGGGTTTCACCATGTTGGCCAGGATGGTCTCGATCTCTTGATCCACTGCGCCCAGCCAGGAACTTCTTTTTTTTTTTTTTTTTTGAGACGGAGTCTTACTGTGTCGCCAGGCTAGACTGCTGTGGTGCGATCTCGGCTCACTGCAACCTCCAACTCCCTGGTTCAAGGGATTCTCCTGCCTCTGCCTCCTGAGCAGCTGGGATTACAGGCGTGTGCCACCACACCCAGCTAAATTTTGTATTTTTAATAGAGATGGGGTTTCACTATGTTGGCCAGGATGGTCTCGATCTCCTGACCTTGTGATCCGCTCGCCTCGGCCTCCCAGAGTGTTGGGATTACAGGCGTGAGCCACTACACCCGGCCTGGAACTTCTCTCTCTTTTTTTTTTTTTTGAGACGGAGTCTCGCTCAGTCACCCAGGCTGGAGTGCAGTGGCACCATCTCGGCTCGCTGCAAGCTCCGTCTCCTGGGTTCACGCCATTCTCCTGCCTCAGCCTCCCGAGTAGCTGGGGCTACAGGCGCCCACCACTATGCCCGGCTAATTTTTTTGTATTTTTAGTAGAGATGGGGTTTCACCATGTTGGCCAGGCTGGTCTTGAACTCCTGACCTCAAGTGATCCGCCTGCCTTGGCCTCCCAAAGTGCTGGGATTAGAGGCATAAGCCACCACACCCAGCCTCACTAGTTTTATTATCCACTGACTCGACTTGCTTGAGACGATTTTACTATGGTGGTTATCAAATGGTAACTTTCTAATTCTGTAATTCCTTCTGTGTTTATTAGCTCAAGGTCTATGGGATGCAGTGTTGATAGGGTTCTGTCTACTTCACTTGCCTCTGTTCCCAGGGCCTAGCTCTCCAAGTCTTTCAACTGAAATCCCGTAGTATACCCCAGGTTCCCTCCTTTTGAGAGATCTTGAAAACTGTCTACTCAGCTCATTGCAACCTCTGCCTCCCAGGCTCAAGCGATTCTCCTTCTTCAGCCTCCTGAGCTGGGATTACAGGCACACGCCACCATGCCTGGCTAATTTTTGTATTTTTAGCAGAGATGGGGTTTCTCCATGTTGGCCAGGTTGGTCTTGAACTCCTAACCTCAAGTGATCCACCCACCTTGGCCTCCCAAAGTGCTGGAATTACTGATTTCTTTCTTTCTTTTTTTTTTTTGAGACAGGGTTTCACTCTGCCGCCCAGGCTGGAATGCAGTGACGCAATCTCAGCTCACTGCAGTGACGCGATCTCAGCTCACTGCGGTGAAGCGATTTGAGCTCACTGCAGCCTCTGTCTCCTCAGTTCTAGCGATTCTCGTGCCGCAGCCTCTCGAGTAGCTGGGATTACAGGCACCCGCCACCATTCCTGGGTAATTTTTTTACTCAGCACTGTGACTCTGCAAAATTCCGCTCTGCTTTAGAGAGGTCTAAGCTTAGTGTTTCAGGTTTGCATCTTGTGTATTCAGATTTCACCAGATGGCTTGAGACCTAGCCATCTATTCGAGGCCATTCAAGCCTCCAAATTTTGTCACTCCGGCTGGTGAGACTATAAAAACATAAAAAACCTGGATCCTCAGCCTCTGGCCAGAGTTGGCAAATGCAAGTGGCTGCAGGCTGTCAGCTCTCCTCTCTACAATCCTGACCCTTTAGTTACTGTTGCCTCTGCAACTCACTTAAACCAAAACCTCACCTCTGGCTTTCATTTTCCTTTGTAAATCTCCATCTTAAGGACTTCACAGGCCGGGCGAGGTGGCTCACGCGTGTAATCTCAGCACTTTGGGAGGCCAAGGAGGGAGGATCACCTGAGGTCAATAGTTCAAGACCAGCCTGGCCAACATGGCAAAACCCCGTCTCTACTAAAAATATAAAAATTACCCAGGAATGGTGGCGGGTGCCTGTAATCCCAGCTACTCGAGAGGCTGAGGCAGGAGAATCGCTAGAAGAACCTCAGGAGGTTGCAGTGAGCTGAGATCGCATCACTGCACTCCACCCTGGGCGGCAGAGTGAAACCCTGTCTCAAAAAGAAACCAGTAATTCCAGCATTTTGGGAGGCCAAGGCGGGTGGATCACTTGAGGTTAGGAGTTCAAGACCAACCTGGCCAACATGGAGAAACCCCATCTCTACTAAAAATACAAAAATTAGCCGGGCATGGTGGCATGTGCCTGTAATCCCAGCTCAGGAGGCTGAAGGAGGAGAATCGCTTGAGCCTGGGAGGCAGAGGTTGCAATGAGCTAAGATTGCACCACTGTATTCCAGCCTGGGCGACAGAGTGAGACTGTCTCAAAAAAAAAGAAAAGAAAAAAAGAAAAACATCTGGGAAAGTATTAGACTCAGTCTCTGGTTCTGTCCCCAACTCTCTGGGGCCCCTTGGGTGAGTCTTTTACCTTCTCTGGGCCTCAGATCCACCCGCCTACCTATTACACCCAGTTCTGAGGCTACAGAGTGAACAGAAAAGAAAACCACTGCTGTCCTTACAGAACTGAAGCCTAACTTTTCCATCTATAAAATGGGTATACTACAACCTCCCTGAGAGTAAGTGAGCCAGAGAGCTTGCTCTTTGGGAGGTGGCAGTGGCAGACAGGAAAAGCCCATGGAAACACAATGTCAGAGGTCAGCCCAACCTTTCACCTGGGCCTGTGTGCCCTGCAGTGAAACTTGAACAGATCTTCACTGCTGTCACCTACTGCTACCTGGGGCTGTTGGGTGCAGCTCAGTTCTATGGCCTGATCCTGGTTGTTCTCTGAAGAAATCCCTGCTATTTGGCCCACCCTAAGGGGTCTCCCAGCCAAATGGGTCAAGGAGCAGTCCCTGGCTCCAAGACCCAGGCAGGAGAAAGGCATAGTCCTGCCAGGGCCCTGGAGTATGACAGCCAAGAACTAGCAACTGCCTAGTCCTCAGAAGAGCTGCCTGTGCTCCAGCCTCTACCTCCTCGTTTGAGCCAGCTTCCTCCTAGTCTGCTGCCCCTATTGCCCCTCTCCTCCTGGCTTTTCTCTTCCACATCGTCCAAATGTCTCCCCAAGTACAGAGTGTTTGAGAAGACACTGTTCTGCTGTGGGTTGTTGTGGGCAAGTGAGGTAGGGATTTAGGGCCGAGGCCGAGAGCTCCCAGGGAAGGCGTGTCTGGGGAGTCTGCAGCATCCTGCATTGGGGATGTTCCTATCTTCTCCTACAACCCGATGGAAGCTGGGGTTTTAGTTTGGTCATTCAGGTCCCCAAGCTAATCTGGCCAGTGAGAGGGACAGTGCCTGGTGGGGCAGGCATTCCTGGGCACTGCTGATCAGCTGTCTGAGAAGGGCCTCCCCTCTCTGCACCTCACTTTTTCATCAAGTGAGAATTGGGTGTCTAAGGTTCTCCTCATTTTGGCTAAAACTCTTTAATTCCTAGCCCCTTTTGAGGACAAATGCCAAATGCCTCTGAGGATTACGTTGGCCAAGGATTTTTTACCAGAAACATCTTCACACATAAAATGTGAGGGTGGGGGCGATACATTCAGACTATTAAGGCTTCAGCTGGGCAGCTGTCTCCATCACCGCCAGGGCCTCTGGGGCTGTGGCGTCCACTTATGGGGCAGGGTGGAGCTGGGGTAGGTGAACCAAAATCTCCCTTGTAGGGTGCACTGGTGACAAGGAGCCTGAACCATGGACCCCACCTTCCTAAGCTTAGATCAAAGCAGGCAGCCTCTCCAAGACGCTCACGGACAGGCTTCCCACATGCAGAGACTGATGGCTGCCTTGGGCTCCCTGGACAGAGCAAGATCTGCAGTGACGGCTCACAAGGACCCCAAGTCCCTCCTTCTTCTTCCTCCTCTACTCTTCACCTTCTCCCGGTCTCTCCTCTATGTCCGGGCCCACAGCCTCCTAGGTGACAACTGCCTATGATCATACCACCGTGCCTGGCTACATTTTTAAAATTCTTCTTTGCAGAGATAGGGGGTCTCCGTATGTTGCCCAGGTTGGTCTTGAACTCCTGGCCTCAAACTATCCTCCGGTATTAACTTTCCAAACTGCTGGGATTAAAGGTATGAGCCACCCCACCCAGCCCTGCATTTCCTTAATGACAATGATGTTGAGCATCTTTTCATGTGTAACTGGCTATCTGTATATTTTCTTCTGAGAAATGCCTATTCAAATCCATTGCCCGTTTTAAAATTTGCTTTTTATTCTAGAGTTGGAAGAGTTTTTGTATGATCTCAATACTAGACCCTTTATCAGGTATATGATTTGTAAGTATTTTCTCTCATTGTATAGGCTGCCATTCAACTTTCTTGATAGTGTCTGATGCACAAAAGTTTTTAATTGTGATGAAGTTCAAGTTATCTGGTCAGGCGCAGTGGCTCATGCTGTAATCCCAGCACTTTGGGAAGCTGAGGCAGGCAGATCACTTGAGGCCAGGAAATGGAGACCAGCCTGGGCCACAGAGCAAGACCCCCATCTCTACAAAATAGAGACAGAGCAAGACTCCATCTCAAAAATAAATAAATAAATAGAAGTTATTCAGGCTGGCCAGATACCCAAACAATTTTCCGAGAGAGAAGTATCAATTGAAAGATGAAAATAGTATATAAGTAACAAACAATTTTAAAGTAAAATATAACTTGTACATAAAATATAACATAATGGAAGGTCATTGTACTCTCCAAGGGAGAAAGAGAAGACTTGAGAGTTGGTGATGGTTGGTAAAGGCAGGGTATGAGGGAATCATTCTCTGGAAAGTAATGTAAAATCAGATGACTGACTATGAGGCAGGCATTCAGTATCAGTATGAAGACATATTTTATGGTAATTCTTTTCCTTAGAACTTTGGCACTTAGAAAAAACTGATGTGGAAAGATTCATGACATTACCTGTAGATGAATCTTTGAGATTTAAAAAATACACTTTGGGCCGGGTATAGCAGCTTACACCTGTAGTCCTAACACTTTGTGAGGCTGAGAAGGTTGGATTGCTTGAGCCCAGAAGTTAGAGGTCAGCCTGGGCAACAAAGTGAAACCCCATCTCTACAAAAAATACAAAAATTAGCAGGGCATGGTGGTGTGCATCTGTAGTCCCAGCTACTCAGGAGGCTGAGGTGGGAGGATCACTTGAGCCCGGGAGATTGAGGCTGGAGTGAGCCGTGATCACACAACTACACTCCAGCCTGCGTGACAGACCAAGACCTTGTCTCAAAAAGCAAAACAAAACCAACACCAAAAACCACTTTTTGACATGGAGAAATACTGTATGTGCAAGACACACTGAAGAGGAACAGAAGATGCTAATTGATCACTTCCTGCTATCACTCCTTTAGCACTCCTAACTATGAGGTAGAATTCAAATTTGTTCCATGTGATAGTCTGACTAGTGCTGAGTAAGTCGCTACACGCAAATTTGCTTAAAACAATAATGTCTCAGGGAATATTCTGTGTTTTGGGTAAAGTGCTATCAACTTGTAAGGGTCATGATGGCTAAATACCATTAACTGAACAATCATTATGTGAAACAAATCTGTATCCTGATTATACATCCTTAACTTGGTCACAGTCCAAATTGAATTGATATTATGCTACCTCATATACAATATAAGAATATTCCAAAGTAACATTATATTTTTATTCCTACCCACCCTTTGTGCTACTGTTGTCATATATTTTATTCTACATGTTATAATCTGAAAGTATACTGTTATTGTTTTGGCTTAAGTCAGTTCTTTATTTTTTTTTATTTATTTATTTTTTTTTTTTTGAGATGGAGTTTTGCTCTTTTTGCCCAGGCTGGAGTGCAATGGTGCTATCTCGGCTCACTGCAACCTCTACCTCCCAGATTCAAGTGATTCTCACGCCTTGGCCTCCTGAGTAGCTGGGATTACTGGTGTGCACCACCACACCCAGCTAATTTTTATATTTTTAGTGGAGATGGGGTTTCACCATGTTGGCCAGGCTGGTCTCGAACTCCTGACCTGAGGTGATCCACCCACCTCGGCCTCCCAAAGTGCTGGGATTACAGGCATGAGCCACCACGCCTGGCCAAGTCAGTTATCTTAAATAATGAAAGAATAATAGTCATATGTATCAATTATTTTTCTCTTCTAGTGCTCCTACTTCTCTGCTTCAATTTGTGATCCTTTTACCTTCAATAATTTAGGATTTCTCACAGTGTGCAAATGTGGGAGATGAATATTCTCAGCTTTTGCTTGTCTGATAACACCTATTTTATTTTTTTTGAGATAGAGTCTTGCTCTGTCGGCCAGGGGTGAGTGCCGTGGCAGGATCTCAGCTCACTGCAACCTCTTCCTCCCCAGTTCAAGTGATTCTTATGCCTCAGCCTCCCAAGTAGATGGGATTACAGGTGCGGTGGTTAATTTTTTTTTTTTTTTTGAGATGGAGTCTCGTTCTGTCACCCAGGCTGAAGTGCAGTGGTGCGGTCTTGGCTCACTGCCAGCTCCGCCTCCCAGGGTCACACCATTCTCCTGCCTCAGCCTCCCGAGCAGCTGGGACTACAGACGCCCACCACCACACCTGGCTAACTTTTTTGTATTTTTAGTAGAGACGGGGTTTCACCGTGTTAGCCAGGATGGTCTTGATCTCCTGACCTAGTGATCTGCCTGCTGGGTTTACAGGCGTGAGCCACCAAACCTGGCCATTTTTGTATTTTTAATAGAAACGGGATTTCACCATGTTGGCCAGGCTGGTCTTCAACTCCTAGCCTCAAGCGATCTGCCTGCCTCTACCTCCCAAAATGCTGGGATTACAGGGGTGAGCCATGGTGCCTGGCCTATTTTCATTTTTTAAAGGGGTATTTTTTGCTGGATATAGAATTCCATGTTGGCATTTTCTCTCAGCATTTTACATTTATTGTTTCATTTGTCTCTAGTTTCTACTGCTTGCTTTGTTGAGAAGCCAGCTGTCATTTTCCTTCCCTCAAGAGAATGTCTCTTTTTCTCTGCCTGCTTGTTGAATTTTCTTTTTACCTTTTCGTTTTGGCAGATTGTTAATAATGTGTCTAGGCTGGGCGTGGTGGCTCACACCTATAATCCCAGTACTTTGGCAAGTCGAGGCGGGTGGATCACCTGAGGTCAGGAGTTCGAGACCAGCCTGACCAACATGGTGAAACCCTGTCCCTACTAAAAATACAAAAGTTAGCTGGGCATGGTTGTGGGCACCTGTAATCCCAGCTACTCAGGAGGCTGAGGCAGGAGAATCACTTCAACCCCAGAGGTGGAAGTTTCAGTGAGCCGAGATCACACCATTGCACTGCAGCCTCAGTGACAGAGCGAGATTCTGTCTCAAAAAAAAAAAAAAAATTGTTAGGTGAGTATGGATTTCTCTTGAGGTTCACTAAGTTTGTTGAATTTGTGGGTTAAAGCCTCTCATTAGATTTGGAGAACATCTTGGCCATTATTTCTTAAAATACTGCTTCTATCCCATTCTGTCTGCCTTTTTTTTTTTTTTTTGAGACAGAATCTCACTCTGTTGCCCAGGCTGGAGTGCAGTGGTACGATATTGGTTCACTGCAACCTCCACCTCCCAGATTCAAGCAATTCTCCCGCCTCAGTCTCTTGAGTAGCTGGGATTACAGGCACCTGCCACCACACCCAGCTGATTTTGTAATTTTTAGTAGATATGGGGTTTTTTACCGTGTTGAACAGGCTGGTCTCGAACTCCTGACCTCAAGTAATCCGCCTGTCTCGATCTCCCAAGGTGCTGGGATTACAGGCGTGAACCACTGCACCTGGCCATGAATCTGTTATGTCCACTAAAGCTGTCTTTTAAAACTACCCATAAGTTCTTAATTTCTGAAATTATATTTAGTCCAAAAATGTCTAATTGATTTTCTTAATAAAGACTAATTCTCTGTTGAAATACTTCATATTTTCATCCATTTTAATTTTCCTTTATTTTATTTATAGGAAAATATTTTATTTTCCTCTATTTTATTTATAGGAAAATATTTTATTTTCCTCTGTTTTATTAGTTATTTGAAGTCCTTGTCTGCTATTAATAATTCCAATATATGAATTACCTCTTCTCTGGATCTCTCTCTGTTGGCTACTTTATCTCTTGATATCTTCCTGCTTCTTTTCATATCCAGCCATTTCTGATAGCATGCGGGACATTATGAATGCTATATTATAGAATTTCTGGGTTATATAATTGTTCTCTAAAGAGTCCTGACTGCTTCTTACATAGACCTTCCACCAAATCTCCTGTTTTTTGGATACTATTTGTCCCCCATTTTCAGCAGTATCGTATCCTTCCTATTCCTTGGCTCTTTGAGAATTTTTGTTTGTTTGTTTGTTTGTTTGTTTTTTGAGACGGAGTCTCACTCTGTCACCCAGACTGGAGGGCAGTGGCATGATCTCACTGCAACTTCTATCTCCCCGGTTCAAGTGATTTTCCTGTTTCAGACTCCCGAGTAGCCAGGATTACAGGGGTGTGCCACGACGCCTGGCTAATTTTTTTATTTTTAGTAGAGGGGTTTCACTATGTTGGCCAGGCTGGTCTCAAACTCCCGACCTCAGGTGATCCACCCAGCCTTCCAAAATTCTGGGATTACAGGTGTGGACCACTGCGCCCAGCTGGCTCTTTGAGAGTTCCAAGGCACACATCAACTTTTTTCTGGGTTTCTCTTCTGTCAGATTCAGTCTATTGATGGATTTTGAGGTTTTCCCCTAATCCTTTGCTTTATAAATAATGCCACAACAAATATCCTTTTATAGACACATCTCTATCCATTCTTTTAAATATAACTATCCATAAATTCATAGAAGTAGAAATGCTGGGTCAAAACATATGCGTTTTAGGTTGACTGTTTTATAGCTTGTTTTTATTCCCATACATAGGCTTGAACAGGGTTCAGCAAACTCCTTCTGCAGAGGGCCAGAAAGTAACAGTTCTCAGGGAACTGTGGTCACTGTTGCAGTTACTCAACTTTGCCATCCTAGTGTGAAAAGCAGCCACTGGCAATACATAAATAAATGGTGTGGCTGTTTCAATAAAATTTTATGTATAAAAACAGGTAGTAGACTGGATTTGGCCTAAGTGTTGTAGTTTTTTTATCTATAGGCTAGAGAATGCTTAAATACACACATCCTTATCAATACTGTGTATTTATCCTTTTTTTTTCTTGTTAAGAGATGGGGGTCTCACTTTGTTACCCAGGCTGCAGTGCAGTTTTGTGATCATAGGTCACTGCTACCTCGAACTCCTGGCTCAAGGGGTCCTCCAGCCTCAGCCTCCCGAGTAGTTGGGAGTACAGGTGCGTACCCGTTTATCAAATTTTTGATATTTGCTAATCAAATGGATGACAACAGTGCACTCATTTTTTGCTGAATGTTTATGTTGATTCTGAGGGAGAATAAACTTTTTACTGTTTATTGGACACCTTTTTCTTTTCCTGTGAACCTTCTATTCATGTCTGTTTATTAATAGCATTTTCTATTAACAAATATAGTCCTTTTCATCTGCATTGTGAATACTTTTTTACAAAACATTTTTTGGAGAGAAAGCTTTTAATGTAATCAGATATAGATGCAGATATATATTTTTAAAACATCTTTTGGGGTTGTGTCATATTTAGAAAAGCCTTCCCTCTAATCTTCTAGTACTCTTCTAGTTTTATTTTGTACTTGACTTACCTAGGTTTTCATAAGAGTAAGTAGTTAACCTAAATAGCCAATCTGTCTCTGCTTATACAGCCTCCGGTCCCATCTACCTTCTATAATGTGATAGAGTGACTTTTGCCACATATAGATGCCTCTTCTAAGACCCAGATCAAGTGTCACCTCTTTTATTTATTGATTTATTTAAGACAAAGTCTTGCTCTGTCGCCCAGGCTGGAGTGCAGTGGCACCATCTTGGCTCAGTGAAACCTCCGCCTCTTGGGTTCAAGCGATTCTCCTGCCTCAGCCTCCAGAGTAGCTGGGATTACAGGCATGCACCGCCATGCCCAGCTAATTTTTGTTTTTTGTTTTTTTTTATTGGATTCTCCATGTTGGTTGGGCTGGTCTCAAACTCCTGGTCTCAAGTGATCTACCTGCCTCAGCCTCCCAAACAGGTGGGATTACAGGCATGAACCACCATGCCCGGCCTCATCTCCATTATTAAGCCTTTCCTGACATCAACTCACCTGGACAAAATTCATTTTTGTATCTCCAATGTCTTCTGTATAGACTTCTACCAAAGCACCCAATACTTTTTGCACAGAGTTGATTTCACATCAGTCTCCTTTTAATGTGCTGCTATAGCATTTGGCAAAAAGAAGATGACTGTGTGATAAGTAAATGAGAGAACTTTAAAACAGGAAATTCTAAAGTTGTAAACTTGATAAGCAGAGAATTATTTTCACATGGTAGCTGTAACTGAAGAAAAATTTAAGTACGTAAATATTATTTGGGAGAACCTGCAGGCTTCTACAATGAAGGGTTATTTGTTCATTTTACCAGGGTCCTTAAAGTTTGTCATCCTTTTAAGATTAAGACTGTAAGAAAACATAGCACTTCCCAGAACAACAGGAAGAGCATCCCGAAATCTGTCATCGTATCTATAAAGCACATATGGCGCATCACAGAAAATCCATACTTACATGATTGCAATCTGAAGAAATTTCATTTTCAAGCTAGAAGAGAAAAAAAAGAAGAGATGATGTAAAAATATATATATATATATATATATATATATATATATATATATAGAACCTTTCAAGTTTTCAAACACCACCAAAATAAACTCAAAACAAGAAATCTGAATATTCAACCAAATATGCTTCTTCAACATAAGGAGTAAAATGGAGCTTGCATATCTTTTAGGCTGTTGGGGAGAAATGTACCAGAAAGGTACATGAGACTTAACCCCTTCCCGATGGTACAATGTGAAGATGGGGAGAATGGAGAATATGCTAAAGCAATAAATAAAGCAACAATGACATAAGGACTCCTACAGGACACTTTATAATTCACTTATTATAGAGTGCAGAGAAAGTCGCTCAATTTTTATTTATTTATTTTTTATTTTTTTTTTGAGACAGGGTCTCACTCTGTCACCCAGGCTGCCACGCAGTGGCACAATCATGGCTCATGGCAGCCTCAACCTCCCAGGCTCAGGTGATCCTCTGGCCTCAGCCTCCCGAGTAGCTGGGACTACAGGCGCAATGTCACCAAGCCCAGCTAATTTTTTTGGTATTATTTATAGAGATGGGGTTTCACTATGTTGCCCAGGCTGGTGTAGAACTCTTGGCTCAAGTGATCCACCCACCTGAGCTTCCCAAACAGCTGGGATTACAGGTGTGAGTTGCCGTTCCCAGCCCCCATCAATGATTTTTAAATTGGCCTAATGTTGCCATTGGGGGAAGCTACGTGATGGGTACATAAGATCTCTAGGTACTGTTTTTGAAACTTCCTGTGAGTCTATAATTCATAACAAAAAGTTTTTTTAAAAAAACATTTGGAAATATATTCCTATGGATACATTTGCTTTGTAAAGCCAGATACACATACCAGAGATAAAATGAACTTTCAGGCGGGGCACGGTGGCTCACGCCTGTAATCCCAGCACTTTGGGAGGCCGAGGTGGGCGGATCACAAGGTCAGGAGATCGAGACCATCCTGGCTAACACAGTGAAACCCTGTCTCTACTAAAAATACAAAAAAATTAGCCGGGCGTGGTGGCAGGCGCCTGTAGTCCCAGCTACTCTGGAGGCAGAGGCAGGAGAATCGCAGGAACCCGGGAGGCGGAGCTTGCAGTGAACCGAGATCGCACCACTGCACTCCGGCCTGGGCCACAGAGCGAGACTCCGTCTCAAAAAACAAAAAACAAAACAAAACAAAACTTTCAATTCCATGACAGAAAAAAAGTGTGGACTAGGTTTCACGTAATATTACATAGCTTTGCAATACATATCTCCTTTAGTTTCCTTGTTCGTGCCTTCAAAGGAGACACAACTGCAATAAAACACACCATAAGGTGGCACCATTTCCTGGGCGAGTGCAGTGGCTCACACCTGTAATCCCAGCACTTTGGGAGGCCGAGGCAGGCAGATCACTTGAGGTCAGGGGTTCAAGACTAGCCTGGCCAACATGATGAAACCCCGTCTCCAGTAAAAATACAAAAATTAGCCAGGCGTGGTGGCACGCGCCTATAGTCCCACCTACTCAGGAGGCTGAAGTGGAAGAATTGCTTGAACCCAGGAAACAGAGATTGCAGTGATCTGAGATTGTGTCATTGCACTCCAGCCTGGGCAACAGAGCGAGATTCCGTCTCAAAAAAAAAGCACAATTTATTTTGAGTTTCCATAGTATTCTAATCTGTTTATATAAAGTGAATTCTGTGTGCCTATAACTTAAATATTATCAATTTAGGTAGCAAAACATGCTAGTTTTAAAATAAACAGATGTTTTCTATTCAAGGATAAAGATAAGGCAATAAAGAAAATAGAACACATCAAGTAGCCACACCTAGCATTATTTCAAGAAGAAAAAGGTTTCCCTATGGAATTATTAATTCCACTGCAGAATTCAGTAGGCATTAGCAACATACAAACTCATTTTTATACTTACAACATATATTAAAATTGACTTTAATTAGGTTGCTAGGTAATCATAAGATTCTATTATATAGCACAGTACTTTTGAACTTTCTCCCTACTTGTCTAATAGCAGATACTTTAATGCCTTTTTAAGGTGCCTTTCTCAGTCTCAGAAATCAGCCTCCATGCTGAGTCAACCTAGCTTAACTCTGTTCCCACCACCTCAATCTGAAGTTTAACTTATATCTCTGAATAGTTTATTTACAAGAATGCTTTTTCTTAGGCAGTTTTCTACACTATCCTTTTAAAATCTATCCTTTAAGTTTTCCCAATCAATTAGCAATTCTAACTCTTTCTCAAACAAGGGATGGAAGGCAATTAATATCACAATCTTCTCTACTTATTTCTACTAAACAACAAATTTGGATTAAAGGTGCATTCTTGAAAGAAATTTAGAGCATTGGAGAATTTTCAAAATAATGTCAAATAAGATGTAAGCTCCCCATAGAAAGAAATGTATTGTCATGTTTAGAGTCCACAGGACTATATTAGCAAATTAATTACTGTTTTAATGACTTGCTTCCCTACAGCGGGAGACTGGATTATTTCTCCCAATTTTTCACTTGCATAGGATTTTACATCCAGATCCTCTGTTTTGTAAGTCTGTACCGCCTCCTGCTATAAACTGAGTATACACCCGGCTCCGCTGACGTTGAGCAAATCAAGATAGCAAAAGAGATGAAAAGCAAGCACTGCAGTCCACGTTTGCAGTTAATTGAGTCTCCACGGATGATGTCATTCCTTCCTAAGAGGTGCAGTACTGTGTGCTTAGTAATACTGTTTTTTTTTTGTTTGTTTGTTTGTTTTTTTGTTTTTTTTTTTGAGACGGAGTCTTGCTCTGTCGCCCAGGCTGGAGTGCAGTGGCGGGATCTCGGCTCACTGCAAGCTCCGCCTCCCGGGTTCACGCCATTCTCCTGCCTCAGCCTCCCAAGTAGCTGGGACTACAGGCGCCCGCCACTACGCCCGGCTAATTTTTTGTATTTTTAGTAGAGACGGGGTTTCACCGTTTTAGCCGGGATGGTCTCGATCTCCTGACCTCGTGATCCGCCCGCCTCGGCCTCCCAAAGTGCTGGGATTACAGGCGTGAGCCACCGCGCCCGGCCTGTAATACTGTTAATGTAACATAATATAATATAGGCCACTGACATGCTCAGGCCAATGGAGTTTTAGAAGATACAATATGAACAGAGGATTTAAATGTGCCTGGGTAGTTTGGCCTGTATTCCTGCACCCCTGCCATTCCCCATGAGAACATGGTAGTACAAAGAAAAGAGACATGTGGAGCAGACCTGAACTTAACCCTCAACCTGTAGCCTGAAGCAAAGCCATCTCTAATAACCCATGGGCAAGAAAAACAAGCCTCAAGTTAAGCCCATGAAAGTTTGAGGGTGTCTGTTATGAAGAAAAAATGACTAATATATCTATCAAACAAATAAAATAAAAATATCAAAGCCTTTAAATTAGAACCTGTAACAGCTATGATCTAAAATTAGTGAATTATATTGGAAAGCACAGAGCACTACTGTACCTTTCATGAAGAAATGACATAATCCATGGAGACACGAAAGTGCAAATCTGGACACCAGTGCTTGCTTTTCATCTCTTTTGCTATCTTGATTTGCAACTGACTATAAATGGGTCTTATTTTTGCATTCATTCATTCATTTAGTTTTGAGATAGAGTCTTGTTCTGTTGCCAGGCTGAAGGGCAGTGGCACCATTATGGCTCAATACAGCATCCACCTCTTGAGCTTAACTGATCCTCCTGCCTCAGCCTCCCTAGTAGCTGAGACTAAAGGTATGTGCCATGATAGCTGGTTAATTTTTTAAAATTTTATTGTACAGACCGGGTCTCGCTATGTTGCCTAGGCTGATCTCAACTTCTGGTCTCAAGTGATCTTCCTGCCTCACCTGCCCAAAGTGCTGGGACTGCAGGCATGAGCCAGTATGCCCAGCTTTTTCCTAGGTTTAGTTTCTCTACGCAGAAAGAAAAGATGACAGAATAGGAATGCCGTAAAAACAAGGTTATGATGTTAGGTCTTTGAGATTCGTGGAACCAAATCGCTATGAAGAATTGTTAAGCATAATTGTGACAACTAATTTCAG
The DNA here is from genome assembly GCF_000001405.40 of Homo sapiens. Taxonomy (NCBI): domain Eukaryota; kingdom Metazoa; phylum Chordata; class Mammalia; order Primates; family Hominidae; genus Homo; species Homo sapiens. The sequence goes on along the minus strand of NC_000016.10, from coordinate 70,096,358 downwards.
AAATTTAGAAGGGTGTTTAGAATCCAAGAACACAGTGGTGATTTAGAGGAAGAGAAGAGAGAGTACGAAATATAAAATACAAAGGAGTATTTTATACTACCCTGGGAATGGTGGGTGCATCAATAATGTCAGAATAAATGAACTCGAGATAGTAAATAAAAATAATAAATAAATAAAAAGAAAACACTATGCTTCAGCACTCAGTCATGTGATAAAGAACCAATGAACAGAAATCTCAAGGAACGAAAACAGATGCGGGTGCTGATTCGGGTTTGGTTCTCACACTGCACCATTCTCATTATGTCCCAATTAAACCACTTCATCAGATATAGTACATCTATTTCCACAAAACTTTAAGTGCAGACAGGCTCACTTGTCTCTAATCCTAGAAGATGAATAGCATGAGGAATAACACCCAGAATTACTAAAATAAGATAAAATTGAGGATTTTTTTTCTTCCTCTTTGGTAATAATTAGTGAAATAATGCTCTGAGATGATCCCAAGAAATTAGCCAACAAGTATATATTGAATAATGATGATGAACTCAAAATTGTGCTAGGCATTGTTGCAGGATACAAAGACAACATTCTATCTGGTCTCTAATCTCAAGTTGTTTACAATACAGTTATACAGTTAAAATAGCGAAATCAAACAAGCAAGAGGAGGGACTTGAGATAGGCCTAAAGAATTAGAAGAGTGGTCTCCAAAAAGGAGTGGAGTGATTCCTCAAGGAAGAAGTTACATGATCCCTTGGGGGTCAGGAAGAAAATAACAGAGCTTCTGTTTTTAAAAAAGCTTATCCTTTAATTTATGTTTTAACGTATTTTTATAATGCATATAACATGGGTGTAACTAATATTTTATGAGTATGTATCTACTGGGGGAATGGTTACTGATTTTTCAAATGATAGGAAGAACATGACCAAGATAGAGGAAAAAAACTTCTTATCATCATTAAGATTCCTACCTCTACCTGCATTCTTCAAACCAGGGGCAAAGTGCTGGCTCCTAGCCTGTGGAGGCATCAAATTAGAAGCTGAGCTATGTCACATTATCAGCTACTCCTTATTCTGGAGATAGAAGTCTGGGCTTCAAAAAGAAGGATCTCTTACATCAAGTGTTTACTCATTGGAAATAAAACTGTCCTCTTACTATGGAAAACTGTAAGAAAAAAAGTCATGAAAAGTATAATAAATAGCTGCTAATTTAATGACCAAATATGAGAGAAGTGATTCCTGACATTGCATATATTAGTATCAATAAGTAAACTATTATAAATGGAAGAATGAGAAAATGAAGAGATTTAGCACATCCCCATCCCAATGCATCAGTGACTAAAACAGAGAAGGAACTTGGGTAATGCTGTATAAATGATACAGCAAAGGCAGTAAAGGGAAAAGCACCAAGTACTTGGAGACACCTGCTTGACTTCAATAAAGAACATGATGAGTGTATCAGGAAATGGTTAAAAAACAAAACAAAACAAAACAAAAAACCTCACAAAAAACAGAAAACAAAAAAGAACCCTGCCACTTTTCTATAGTAGTTAGCAATAGAAGTGTGTGACTTTAGGTACATCACTTAACTTCTCTAAACCCCTAACAACAGGCTTTGAACTAGAGTGGGAATCCATGAACAGGCTTTGGGAGTCTGAGATGTCTTGAAATTGAATGCAAGCATTTGTGTGTATGTATATTTTTCTGAGAAGAATATCCACAACAGCTATCACCATCTCAAAAAGATCCACGAGACAAGAAAAAATTAAGAAATACTGGTCAAACATTGGTTGCGGTTCTTTCCAGCTTTATGAGTCCATAAAATCTGAGATGTGGAATTTAAAAATGTACTTATTGAATTTCAAGTTTTTTTAATGTAGATAATTTGTATATTATGATGGTTACTACTGTTTCACCTTAATCTCTCCTAGTCAAAGTCACAACAAACAGGTTTCAGAATAAACTACTGAAAAGCTTGAGTCTGAATGTTCTCAAATCAACTACCGCATTCACTTAGGAGGAAGGTTTTTACAGAAAGTCTTGGAACTATGATTTCCCCAAGGTGAATAGGCTGAGTTAATGAGTCTGGCAGGAGAAATTAAAGGATTCATAAAGCTATCTTGGAAGGTGTCCCAGTTTCTGAAACAGAAATGCTTGGGAGTTGGATGTTGTCTAAAATATGGAACATTCTACAGTTTCCACTGAAGCTGAACTACATCAGATCACATAAAGGAATAGGGTCCTTTTTCTAAGATACCTGGTACTAAATTAAGTGACAACCGACTTTGTTTTTGAATCCCTCAGGAGAAAACAAACAAAAGATGCCAACAGTATCAGTGCTTTTACAGCCTTAGAAAAATTTGAAGTCACGCGATAACCTAATGCCTCCTTTCAATTGGAGACACTCTGCTGCAGTATTAAGTCAAGTCTTCTGGGAGTTTATTCATTAAGAACCCAGTAACTTCCCATCACACGAACACTTCATTTATTAACCTTGTCCAAAGCCCCAGTGACAATGAAGATAATGTAGCTGGTCTCTAACAAAATAAACCCAATCTTTTACCCCCGGGAAACTCTCCTGAGCAAGTCTAAATGCAATCTCAATCCTCAGGTTTAGAACTGCTTTCCTCTTAGTGCCTTATTCTGGCTCTATCAGAATTTATTTTTCTTATTTTACCCAGGGATAGTGGTTGAGTATTGTTTTTCCAAAAGGACAGTGATCAGCACAGGCTTTACGCCTTCCAACAATGTTCTGATTCACTAAAGAGTTGTAGCTGCTTTTATTTAAGTCTTTAACATTCAACTACCTTTTCAAAAAGGAGTTACTGTACAGGTCCAACGGGAGATTTTGAGATTTTTTTTTTTTTTTTTTTTCTTAAAAAGACATGAGATACAGAAGCTGGCTCTCAAGTGCATATCTAATCATCATACAAGGCTGAATGTGGAGTTTTTAGGGGGAAAGGAGGACTTGATATTTTAAAGAAGGAAGAAAGCACCACTAACCCTATGAGATGAGTATGGCAATAAAGTCAGTCAGAGAAAGTTTCATGGAGGGTACATTTGAATTAAGTCTTATAGGCGGTTGTGGTTTGGTTAAGGATGCTGTGTGCAGGTTGAGGCAGATGAGAGGTAGGCTGTGAAAGGTGGAGCACTAGGCTGTGGGTGGCATTGAAAAGGCACATTCTGTGCCGATGGCTGAGAAAGTGAGGGACCCCATGACAATCACTCCTAGGCTTATTCATTTGGCATCTCCTAATACGTGCTAGGACAACTACAAGTCTTTAGTAAAAATCCAACATTGGTCCAATAATGGTTTCTCATAGTTCAAATTAAGATGTCATGCTAAACACAGTGTCATAATTTGATTTACTTTTATTACTTGTGTGCTTCCCAAGTGGACGGTGGGATAACAGTTGTCAAATATTATATAGTTACTCCTATAGGAACACGTTAAGTTTTAAAGATAGACGGGGCAAGACCCTCACAGACAAATTAGAGCCCATTTATCCCTGGTTCTTAAAAGGTCTCACATAAATATAGAACAGTGAGTGGGCTATGTTGACGTTAAAACTTGTCTTGTACCTTTAAAATGAAAAATCTCCTCAAAGCCCTTTAATTCTAATAAAATAAAAGGGTATACGTATTTTACAGTGGGAATTAGCAGAATGACTCAGAGAGCATACTTACGCATAGGTATAAATATACTGACAGGACTTTTAGCTTTGTCAAGTACTAATTATGTCATCTTCAGTGAGGTTATATCCCTATTCTGAAAATATGAAAACACACAGCAATCGCTAATTACTCAAAACCACTGCTTTGGACCTAATGGTTGACCTCCCTCCATCTCCCAAAAAAGACTGAGTAACTCCTGACTCCCTGACAGAAAGATCCATCTCTCTAGAGAAGATGCTCTGCCCCAAACTTTACTTTGAGAAGTCAAATTATATCTTAGTTTTAAGAAAACTCTAACACTAGTTAAACTGACCAAGTGGAAACACTCAAATTAGTATAATTTCTCATCTTCTATGCCCAAAGCAGGAAATAAAAAATAACAAATAAGAATATAGTTCATGGTTGACCTGTGAGTGAAAAAATAAACAAATACAAATATATATATATTTTATATATATATATTTTATATATATATATTTTATATATATATATTTTATATATATATATTATATATATATATTTTATATATATATATTATATATATATATTTTATATATATATATATTTTATATATATATATTTTATATATATATTTTATATATATATATTTTATATATATATATTTTATATATATATATTTTATATATATATATTTTATATATATATATATATATATAGCAATTTAGTTACTGAAGAAAAACTGAATCATTACATTATGGCAAATGTAATGACTTTTACATTGGATTATAATATTTATTAATCCATGAATATAAAATTAAATACATAAATTTTATAAAGTATTAAATGTAAATTTTGTAAGTATAAACTGTAAATTTTATAAAATGTAAATTACAAAAACATGTAATTTTTTTCTACCGTGTATAAAAAAATGTAAATTCTTTCCTTATATTTCCCATTTATTTTACTAACAGGAATTAGAAACAAGGTGCTCATAAACTATAGGAGATAGGCCATCCCTTCAGGGGAACATTTAGAGATATTTCTTTTCATATACAGAGCTCAACCAATCTTTTCATCAAATTCCCATCTGGGACTGCCTAACATTTAAGAAACGTAAGGATTGTCTTGCAATGACAAGAGTTTTTAAGTCTGCTGGGACTAAAAATCATCCCCATGACAGTCTACTATCTGAAAATTTTTTCCTCCCACCACTCATTTTTTCTCCCTAGGAGATGACTTAGAAATCTAGAATACAGTTTGGTGCTGGTGTTAACCATTTTTACCTAAATTATGGGGGAAGGAAACAGAGTCAGGCACTCTATCAAATGCTTGTTCAGATTCCACTTTGGCATCGAGGGGAAGAACCTTGGACAGGTTTATCCCTTTGGCTCCTAGCCATGGCAGGCACACAGCTATCAAGAGATAAAAGGCCTTGTTTTCACTGCTCGGCTGCCTGAATAAAGTCAGTTATGGTATCCACATGTAATGAAAGTGGCACTAATGTTTATAAACTGCTTTGTAGGAAATACATCAAAAAGGTCATATTTCTGAACTGTGAGGTTGTAACTACCACACTACTGCTACCGAAATACAGTATAAAAATTCTTCTGCCGGGTGTGGTGGCTCACATCTGTAATCCCTGCACTTTGGGAGGCTGAGGCGGGCAGATCACAAGGTCAGGTGTTCGAGACCAGCCTGGCCAATATGGTGAAACCCTGTCTCTACTAAAAATACAAAGATTAGCCAGGCGTGGTGGTGCGTGCCTGTAGTCCCAGCTACTCGGGAGGCTGAGGCAGAAGAATCACTTGAACCTGGGAGGCGGAGTTGCAGTGAGCCAAGATCACACCACCACACTCCAGGCTAGGTGGCAGAGCAAGGCTCTGTCTCAAAAAAAAAAAAAAAAAAAAAAAAGTCTAAAATTAGCTACTCATGGTATTTTTCACATCTCATAAAAGAAGATACAAGATAACGGATCCCCTCAAGCTATCATGTTTGAGAGGCAAAATGGAAACAAGAATTCTGGAATAACAGCCAAAGACTTGGGTTTTGATTCCAGTTCCACTGCACATTTATCGCATAACATTCTTTAAGCTTCAAATTTTGTGTAGATAAAAGAGGTAAATCCTGCTTTACCTACCTCATGGGGCTGTTATAAGCATCAGGAGAAAAGTTATGTAGAAGGCCTTCAAATATTATAGAAGGCTTTGCAAATATATGTGACTACTGGCCTTTCATCCTCTGTATAAAATCTAACCATTTTAAACAACAAAAACGTTCCTGCTCTCCAAGAGGCCATGCTTCATACAGGCAAAGAATAAGAATTCAAAATACATGACACACATGTTTTATTGTATGTGTATAGATTATTTCTGAAAGGATACCTAAAAAGGCTTATTTTTACTACATACTCTTTGCACTTTAAAATTTTTATACCATGTGTAAAAAAAGAAAAAAAAAGGTCATTCCAGTTTAGGATATACATAGACACCTCAGAAAATATTTAGAATACATCTTCATGACTGGGAAAGCAGGGGAGTTTAATGATACACTTTCCCAGTTCATATTTTCCTATTTTTCCCCCTTCCACTGTCTATTTCAAAGGGGTGGTGGCAGGGAGGAAATATATATTTACATCCTCTGGGACACAGCAGGTAGCAATCTGCCCTCTTAGAGTCCTAGACTGACAGTTCTACTCTAAGAAAAGCACATTAACCATCTGATGATCTGGTTTGAATAGTATAGCTAACTTTTACATGGGAGTTTTAGAATGCAGGGTGAAAAAAATTATCTGAAGGGCACTGTATGAATAATGAACAGAATTATCAACTTTGATATGGCATCCTTTTATATTCTTTCTTTGCCCTGTCACATGATTTGGAACAGCTGAACAAAGGTACAAATTTGTCAAATCAGTAGCTACTATAGCCAAATGCAAAGAAAACTAGACTAGGCCGGGCGCGGTGGCTCACGCCTGTAATTCCAGCACTTTGGGAGGCCGAGGCGGGCGGATCACCCTGAGGTCAGGAGTTCCAAGACCAGCGTGGCCAACATGGTGAAACCCCATCTCTACTAAAAATACAAAAAAATTAGCTGGGCATGGTAGCAGGTACCTGTAATCCCAGCTACTTTGGGAGGCTGAGGCAGGAGAATCGCTTGAACCCAGAAGGCGGAAGTTGCAGTGAGCCGAGATTGCATCATTGCACTCCAGCCTGGGTGACAAAAGCGAAACTCTGTCAAAAAAAAAAAAGGGAAGGGAAGGAGGGAAGGAGGGAGGGAGGAAGGGAAGAAGGGAAGGAAGGAAGGACGGAAGGAAGGAAGGAAAGAAGGAAGGAAGGAAGGAAAAACTAGACTAAAAGAAAAAATTTCCAGACATCTGACAATACCATTAATGTTTACAACCAGTAAATCTGGAATGATTCTGTCAATGCAGCTCATACCACCAATCCAACTATGTTACTTCTATAATTTTGAAAACAAAATACAAATGAGGGATGTAAGATTACATGATGCAAAAAAGTCCTGAAATTAAATATAATTTCTCACACCCCAGACCCGAGTACCTGCACATGCCACAACTCTTCCATACTGACCCGTGGTGAGTGCATTGTTTACTTGAACTGGCCTAAGCAAGAGCAAATAGGGCTGAGCTGCCAGAATGTGCTGAACTCTTTCTGTATAACCCAGTGCAAATTACTGGTGCTTCTGAAGAGTACAGCTTGGATTCAGGAAGTGGACTTCCATCTGAATTAAGACAGCACACTTCACTGCACAATTCTGAAAGACGCGTAGCTCAAAGAAAGAGACCAGGCTAAATTGGGAAAAAAATTTAATATATTTTAAAAACAGAATCAGGCCAGGCTCAGTGGCACATGCCTGCAGTCTCAGCTACTTGGGAGGCTGAGGTGGACAGCTTTCTTGAGACCAGGAGTTGGAGGCAGTATTGTGTTATGTTAGAGCCTGTGAATAGCTACTGCACTCCAGCCTGGACAACACAGTGAGAACTTACCTCCAAAAAAACAGACAAAAAACTGAAATCTTCTGGGTTTGCAAATGTTAGTAATGTGCATAAAAATCTGATAAAATCCTCAAAAAGTCCCTACATTTCTTCTTGCTTAGATAACATCATTCTACAGTTGGTAGAAAAAAGGTATACATCAATAATTACCACTATATCAAACTATATTATAGTTTGGGAAATACTGATAAACTAATGTAAATATTAACAAAGATGCAATCTAAAAATTACCCATAATCTCCAAATCACATCTGTGCCTTTTAAAGTGCTCATTTTCTGTTATGAAATTAACTGATTTTGAAAACAAAGTACAAAGTACAAAAGACCGGGAGAATCCTGCTGATGGTACTCCACCTGAGCCAGTGATCACCACACGACCTGAACAAATTCTAATTCCCTGTGCTTCAGTGAGAATAGGGGGGAGATGGGATAAAAAGCAAGACAGCTTGACTCCAGTTGATTGCAAATCTAATATGATTCCAGAAAAACAGATGACTACCTTTCCAAGGAAGGGAAAATATTGTTATAGAAATGGCTTGTAGAAGTGAAAGGAGATGGGCAGAACAGATGCAGATCCTTTTAGAATTACTGTTTTAAAACATCTCATAGGTATGTCAATGGTTGAAAATGTATTACCTCCCTAATAAGGAATGTTCATCTCCATTAATGGAAAAACAAAGACGACTCCTAAGTATTTCTAAGCATTCATTACTACACAATCTATAGGTTTGGCTATGCAGCATAAATTTTGGAAAGAGATCTGGGAACAAATTTGGGCTCTTCCAGGTACTAGCTGCAAGATCTTGGAAAAATTATTTAACACGTATTTGTTTTGTTTTGTTTTGTTGTTTTGAGACAGAGTTTCACTCTTGTTGCCCAGGCTGGACTGCAATGGCACAATCTCGGCTCACCACAACCTCCGCCTCCCAGGTTCACGCGATTCTCCTGCTTCAGGCATGCGCCACCACGCCTGGCTAATTTTGTTTTTTGTTGTTGTTTGGTTGGTTGGTTTTTTGAAATGGAGTCTCACTGTGTCGCCCAGGCTGGAGTGCAATAGCTTGATCACGGCTCACTGCAACCTCTGCCTCCCAGGTTTAAGCGACCCTCTTGCCTTACTTAGTCTTACGATTACAGGCACGTGCCACCACGCCCAGCTAATTTTTGTACTTTATAGTAGAGACAGGGTTTCGACATTTGGGCCAGGATGGTCTCAATCTCTTGAACTTGTGACCCTCCCACCTCGGCCTCCCAAAGTGCAGGGATTACAGGTGTGAGCCACAGCGCCCGGCCATTATTTAACATTTGTAAGCCTAAGTGGAGCAAAATACTTAAAGCACCTAGCACAATGCTAGTAGTAAGTATGTAATAAATATAATCTATAATTGTAATAATAATTATTGCATACTTCTAGAAGAGTGTTAATTCTGCATTGCCCCAATCCCAAAATAAATCAATCTCAAAAATAAGAAAAAAATACAAAAGAAGTGTTCTATTAAAGCCTCAACTTCAGGAATAAGTTTGCAGATATGTAGATTCTTGGCTACAGGAAGGCAACTTCAGTTTAAATTAGTTCATTCACATTAGGATAAACTAGAAAAAAGGAATAAATTCAGGAAATTCTGGTGGAAAGATCTAATCCTAATGGAAAAACAGGATTTAAATCACTCCACCAAGTATTCTTGTTTTTCTTGAGACAGGGTCTCGCTCTGTCACCCAGGCTAGAGTGCAGTGGTACAATCTCAGTTCACTGAAGCCTCAACCTCCCAGCCTCAAGTGACCCTCTCACCTCAGCCTCCCTAGTAGTTGGGACTACAGGTGCATGCCACTACACCTGGTTAATTTTTGTGTATTTTGTAGAGACGGGGTTTCACCATGTTGCCCAGGCTGGTCTCGCACTCCTAGGCTCAAGGGATCCACACACCTCAGCCTCCCAAAGTGCTGGGATTACCAGCATGAGCCACACCATGCCAGGCCCACTCCACCAAGTTTTCCAAGCCCAGAAAAGTATGTGTGGAATTTCTGTCTGTTCCAGACCCTAGTCTTTCAATCTAATGTTTATACACAAATCTAGATTCAGATATCTATTTTGAATTTCATTTAGGTTTTTGTTTCTAAGTAAACATCAGAGGATTAGTTTGGGTTTTGTTCACCCATGTCTTTTAAAGTTCTAAAGAACCTTTGTATCTAAGCTCAACTTTATATTTAAGTTCAACTGCTCAGATGCAGACATCTTTTAACATGCAAACAAACCAAGACGGTATTGGTTAACTAAGGTCTCTTTTCTAAGTTTTACTTAGGAAATGCTTCATGCCTACCACTTCCAGTCAATATAATTCTCTCATCACATCAAACTCATGTTGATTAATTTTGTAAAAGTAAATGTTTGTTACCAACCGGTCAACTTTAATAAAGCAATATCAATGACTTCAATAACTCAGTTTAAATGTCATGCATTTGTCTGAGTTTGTTACTGAAGTCACCTGACAGTCACCTGTGAACAGGTAGTACAAAGCAGTATAAAAGGAAGTCCTGGCCGGGCGCGGTGGCTCACGCCTGTAATCCCAGCACTTTGGGAGGCCGAGGCGGGTGGATCATGAGGTCAGGAGATCGAGACCATCCTGGCTAACAAGGTGAAACCCCGTCTCTACTAAAAATACAAAAAATTAGCCGGGCGCGGTGGCGGGCGCCTGTAGTCCCAGCTACTCGGGAGGCTGAGGCAGGAGAATGGCGTGAACCCGGGAAGCGGAGCTTGCAGTGAGCCGAGATTGCGCCACTGCAGTCCGCAGTCTGGCCTGGGCGACAGAGCGAGACTCCGTCTCAAAAAAAAAAAAAAAAAAAAAAAAAAAAAGGAAGTCCTGAGCTACATTACTGTAATTCTTTCAAAGACGATCAGATCTTACCATAGTATCTTTGAAATTTTCATAATCATAATTACTGTTCTTCAGAAGAGTACTGGGAAATCTAATGTCTAAAACACAAGGCTTTGTAGCTCACGCCTGTAATCTCAGCACTCTGGGAGGCTGAGGTGGGCAGACTGCTTGAGCCCAGGAATTCCAGACCATCCTGAGCAACATGGTGAAACCCTGTCTCTACAAAAAATACAAAAGTTAGCCAGGTGTGGTGGCATGTGCCTGTAGTCCCAGCTCCTTGGGCGGGGGGGTGCTGAGGTGGAAGGATCGCTTGAGCCCAGGAGATAGAGATTGCAGTAAGCAGAGATCGCACCACAGCACTGCAGCCTGGGTCACAAAGTAAGACTCTGTCTTAACAAATTAATTAATTAAATAAAATACAAGGCTTTGACTTAAGACTTCTGAAACTTTAGTGTAGGCCATAAACAAAGATAAGAATTTATGATTAGAAGGATCCCTGACTAGGCCGGGCGTGGTGGCTCACACCTGTAACCCCAGCACTTTGGGAGGCCAAGGCAGGCGGATCACCTCAGGTCAGGAGTTTGAGACCAGCTTGGCCAACATAGTGAAACCCCGTCTCTACTAAAAATACAAAAGTTAGCCAGGCGTGGTGGCAGGCACCTGTAATCCCCGCTACTTGGGAGGCTGAGGCAGGAGAATCACTTGAACCTGGGAGGCGGAGGTTGCAGTGAGCTGAGATCGTGCCACTGCACTCCATCCTGGGCGACAGAGTGAGACTCCATCTCAAAAAAAAAAAAAGGATCCCTGACTAGAAGTGAGTAACGTGATAATTTGGACCCACCATTTTAATGAAGTTTGAAAAGTGAGAGAAGCCTTCCTTCCCCAAAGGCTTATCACTGAGCAAAGGATCACAACACTAGACCTAGCAAAATAATTTACTCAACTGGTTGCTAGAACTGCCCCCGCTTCCAGAACAACGAAATGGTGCATAAGAATAGGAAGTTGACTTCGCTGGTTTAAGACAGTCTTTTATTATATCATTTTGGGGCCATAACAAATTCCTAAACTTTTCTGGTTTTGTTGTGTTCCCTTGCCTCCAAGGGGGATGTAGAGGTAGTGCCTCAATTAAACAAAAACAATTTCTATAAATGTAAATCACCTCATCGATCTTTTCCTTACTTTACCAATAACTTATTTAATACAATTATACATCCTGTCCTTAAAGCTCAGAAAAACAAAAACAGAAAAAATGAAGAGTAGATCCTTTTTCCAAAGATGACTAATCACATTTCGCTTTAGAATTTAAGATTAAGCAGATCTAGCTTACATAAGTAATTGCCTCCAAAATAGATCAGACACAACAAAAGTGTCTTGCATCTGTGTATTGGCTTAAGGCTCAGTTTCTATTTATGACAAAGTATATTTTTTTCACATTTAGCATTCTTTTGGAATAGTGAGGAAACAACTCACAGGGTAAGACTATGGAATTGTTCATTCTAATTCCTGTTCTACCAGTTAATTTGTGCTATGTTTTGGAAGAAGCCAATCATTAATTGCATGAAAATGCTTTGAATGAAAGTGATTTGAATTTGAGCTATGATGAAGAGAGAAAAAATACATTTTTTTCAACCTTTCTCCCATAAAAATTAGAGTCCTATCTTTCCAAACCCCTCTGACAAACTCTGATAGCGTAATCACCAACTCACAACGTTGACATCTGTGAAAAATTTCCACTTCCATAGAGGGATCATTTCAACTGTCTCTGATACCAAAAGCTGTATCCTTTTGATATAAAGTATTCATTTAATCCACTGATGATGGCTTAAAACAGTATTTTCAGAACAGAAGAATTCAGAAATAAAAAATCCAAAGTTGTTTGTTTGTTTTGAGATGGAGTCTCGCTCTGTCGCCCAGGCTGGAGCAGAGTGGCTCAATCGCGGCTCACTGCAACTTCCACCTCTGCGTTCAAACGATTCTCCTGCCTCAGCCTCCCGAGTAGCTGGGATAATAGGCGTGCGCCACCAAGCCCAGCTATTTTTTTTTTGTAAAGACAATAGTCAATAGTCAATATCTATTTCTGGGTAAGAACCTGACTCACAACGAGCACTTTAGCTGCTCTGCATTCTAAAAATATCTGCCATAGGACACCAGAAAATAAGTATTCTGAACCTGTGTTCCAATTCTTACTTGGTACAACCATAACATCACAAAGCAGGCAACGGCATAAATGATTTTGCTGGCATAAATCTGGCTCCAAATTATAGCTATCTTTAAATTCTTCCCAAAAATATCTGAATTCAAATGAAAAATCCTTGGTTGATCACAAAACCTCTGTAGCCTCTGGCAGAAGTTTTCTTCTTAAGATAACAGTCCAGACACTTATATTTAAGAAAGTTCTTTGAAGGCAGTAACCACAGCTTGGCCTACCACACAATTCTAGGCATTCACTGGCATTCCATATGTTATCTGGTTGACAGAAATCTGACATCTAGGCTTCCAAAGACAGCTTACTGGGGTCAAATTGACATCAACAGCTTCTCCCAAACAACTTCCTTCGTGGACAATTTTTCAGGACTTTTAGCCTCAATTTAAATCTCAATTCTCTAAAAATTCCCATAAGACTATTAGATGATCAATTCTTAGAAATAATACCAAACAGGGCCAGGTACAGTAGTTTAGGCCTGTAATCCCAGCATTTTGTGGGGCCGAGACAAGCGGATCACATGAGGTCAGGAGTTCAAGACCAGCCTGGCCAATATGGTGAAACCTCGTCTCTACTAAAAATAGAAAAATTAGCTGGGCGTGGTGGCAGGCACCTGTAATCCCAGCTATTCAGGAGGCTGAGGCAGGAGAATCACTTGAACCCAGGAGGTGGAGGTTGCAGTGAGCTGAGATCACCTCACTGCACTCCAGCCAGGGTGACAGAGACTCCATCACCAAAAAAAAAAATATTAATAATACCAAACAACACTTAATTTTTCAGTCATTTGCCAATTAGCAAATGAACCAATGTTGGTTCAATGAATCAATCTTATACATTCCTCTCTGAGCTTTAAGCATTTCTTGATGGATCAGGCAATAACACTAATAAGCACTTCTGCAAAAATTTAATATTTTCCTTTTGAGTCTTTGGAAAGTTTAATTTTATGAGTCACTTCAAGATATGACCATAGTATGCTTTCTATCTGTCTAATAAAGTAGTGTACTGTATTATAACCTGTTTACATGTTCCTTGCAGGTGGAATTTTGTCTTCTCCATCTTTTTTTTTGATATGGAGTCTTGCTCTGTTGCCCAGGCTGAAGTGCAGTGATGCAATCTCAGCTCACTGTAAGCTCCGCCTCCTGGGTTCACGCCATTCTCCTGCCTCAGCCTCCTGAGGACTACAGGCGCCCGCCACCACGCCCAGCTAACTTCTTGTATTTTTAGTAGAGACGAGGTTTCACTGTGTTAGCCAGGATGGTCTTGATCTCCTGACCTCGTGATCCGCCCCCCTCGGCTTCCCAAGGTGCCGAGATTACAGGCGTGAGCCGCCGCGCCTGGCCAGTCTTCTCCATCTTTTTATACATAGTGCCTAGCACAGCTAGCATAGCACGTTCAATATTTGCTCCAAGTATGACTAGACAAAGCTGGTGAACAAAATCTGTACACCTTTTATTTTCAGGAGAATTTGCTAATTTTATATTAAAAAGCCTTAATAGTAATTTTATAACCTTGAGAAAAGTTTGGATGAAGTCCACAATGAACTAAATGACTGTTCTATAAAATGGAAAATAAACAACAGGAAAAGGGGCTGAGCGTGGTGGCTCACGCCTGTAATCCCACCACTGTAGGAGGCTAAGGCAGGGGGATCACTCAAGCCCAGGTGTTCAAGACCAGCCTGGGCAACATAGCAAAATCCCATCTGTGCCAAAAAGAAAAAAAAAAGAAAAAAAAAGTTAGCCAGGCGTGGTGGTGAGCACCCGTATTCCCAGCTACTTGGGAGGTTGAGAGGAAAAGACTGCTTGAACTGGGGAAAGTTGAGGCTGCAATGAGCCATGATCACACCATTGCACTCCAGCCTGAGCAACAGAGCAAGATCTCTAAAATAAAAATAATATAAAAAGAAAGGGCACAGTGGTGGACGGGTGCTAGAACTTAAGGGGCACTAAAATACTTATTGATTGTGCTTTCCTTTCTTGCAGCTGTCATTCAAAAGCTTCTTCCTGAAGTTGAGTAAGAGAGTCCGTGATGTTCAGAACATGTGTTTTCATTATGTGGCCAAATGTTAAAGCTGTTGGAGAAAGAGCTCGAAGTCTCAATTGATAGAAGACCATGATGTACTGGAATCCTAATATATCCTGGTCAATATGTTGGCTTACAAAGATAAGCATATGAGAGCAGCGCCTCAGCTTCATGCCTGGCAATGTCTCCGCCGTGTGTGGGTTTCCTAAAGTAACAGCAGTCATACCATATGGTGTGGCTTTCATTGGCATGGGCAGGCGAGAAGATGCCAAAAACTCAATGTGCTATTTTGGGCCATGAAACGTGATAAGCTCTAAATTTGAAACATAATTTTTTAACTTAAAAAGAGTATTTTTTAATTGTAAGATGTTTTTATACTGGATTTTATAATCTTAAGACTCAATTAGGTAACTGTTCTCAGTGTGTGAAATAAGACAAAGACTCAAAAGTCAAGAGGGGGACAAGCTTGGCAGCAATCTTCTGAAAAAAAAAATTTAGAGATTTAAATGAAATCTTTTTTTAGTGATACTATAAATATAAAGGTGAACTATACAGAAACAGCTTTTGGAATACTACGTTTTGATAATGCCGAACAAGGGCAGTAGATATGAGAAGCTGAGAGACAGTATCAGTGGGATGGAATCTCTTATTCCTCTCGAGCCACCATTCCAAATTTTGTACAATAACACACCTCCAGCCTATCAAATAAGCTGATCTAATGTCTGAAGTTAGAGCAACCCTGGAAATATTCATGTTGAATCTAACGGACAACTTGTTTAACCCTTACAAACTCAGCCCTAGATGTGAGCAACTAGGTTCAAGAATTCTAATAACAATTTCAAATGCTATACTGGGGCTGGTAATAGTAATCTCAGGAGAGCAATTTTTGAGCTTCCTTGTCTCAGTGCTAGCCTTTCCCGTAAGTCTGCTTCTTTTTCCTAAATTAGGTTAATTATACGTAATAAAAATAGTTTTTCATTAGTCCTGAGCTGGCAAAATGGGTTTTATGAACTGCTTCATATAAAGCAAGTGCTATATCTTATTTTATTTATTTATTTTTTGAGACAAGTTCTCGTTCTGTCACCCAGGGTGGAGTGCAGTGGTGTGATTTCGGCTCACTGCAACCTTAGCCCCAACCCCCACCTCAGCTCAAGCAATCCTCCTCTCTCAGCCTCCTAAATAGCTGGGGACCACAGGCGCACACCACCATGTCTGGCTATTTTTTTTTTTTTTTAATTTTTAGTAGAGACGGGCGTCTTGCCATGTTGGCCATGCTGGTCTCGAACTCCTGAGCTCAAGCAATCTGTCCACCTCGGCCTCCCGAAGTGCTGGAATGAGCCACCATGCCCAGCCTTTTTTTTTTTTTTTTAAATAAAAGAAAATACAACTTTAAAGTGTCAGTTGGCTAATTTGGGAACAGGTGTGGGTGTCAGTGTATGGGGGGAGGGGGACCTGCCTTTAGGTGTCATTTCCAAAGGCTATGATGATGTTATACAGCCCATTTCAAATGTACAAGGAGAATTACTGGGGAGAAGAAAGAGAAGGGAAGTGGGGAAGCTATCTTTTTAGGATACTTTTTGCACCTGCAAATCCTTAAACATCTTCCCCATTAGTCCAAGTAGATACAACAGAAGGTAGTCTAGAATAGGGAGTTAATTATAAACGGAAGAAAACGGCAAATATCTTTCTAGTTTTCCTTTTCCTACCAGTCCTTCACCTTTCCTACCGAAGAGTTAAGTTTAATCTAAAAAGTTTGAAGTTTGCATACCCTTTAAGCCCCACTGCTATGATCTAGTTTGGGAGATGTGGAAAATAGGTTATATAAAAATTTTTCTGAGTAATCAAAAGCACATCCAACATTTACTAGAGACACAATATTGTCTTCTACGGGATGGATTAGCATCTCTTCCTTCAAATGTCTTGACTTGGAAGATGCGATCTCTGTTAAGTTGCAGGTCTCTCCAGCCCCGGAACTGGGCCCTGCAGCCACCAAGATGCTGATGCCTAAGAAGAACGGGATTGCCATCTATGAACTCCTTTTTAAGGAGGGAGTCATGGTGGCCAAGAAGGATGTCCACCTTCCTAAGTACCCAGACCTGGCAGAAGACAAGAATGTGCCCAACCTTTACATCATGAAGGCCATGCAGTCTCTCAAGTCTTAAGGCTACGTGAAGGAACGGTTTGTCTGGAGACATTTCTACTGGTACCTTACCAACGACGGTATCCAGTATCTCTGATTACCTCCATCTGCCCCGTGAGACTGTGCCTTCCACCCTATACCACAGGCATCCAGAGACTGGCAGGCTTTGGCCTAAAGGTCTGGAGGGTGAGCAACCCGCAAAGCTCACAAAAGGGGAAGCCAAAAGACACCCACAGACAGAGTGCTGTGTCCCCTGGTCCGATGAGAAAGCCGAGGCCGGGGTTGGGTCAGCAACCAAATTCCAGTTTAGAAGCAGATTTGGTTGTGGGTGTGGTCAGTGACCTCAGTAAAACTGGAGAGGATTATTTTGCATTGAATAAACTTATAGACAGAAAAAAAAATGCAGGTCCTTCTGCTTAAGCCGGTGTTTAACCTGTGGTTTGATTCTGAATGTCTTCCCTAGTTTTGGAAACAATTTATATTGAAGTTCAGTTGTGTCACAGGCCCTTATTTTACTTTTTTTTAAAAAAACTTGTTTTTGGCCAGGCGCAGTGGCTCACGCTTGTAATCCCTGCACTTTGGGAGGCAGAGGCGAGCAGATCACCTGAGGTCAGAAGTTTGAGACCAGCCTGGCCAACATGATGAAACCCTGCCTTTACTAAAAATACAAAAAATTAGTCGGGTGTGGCGGCAGGCGCCTGTAATCTCAGCTACTCGGGAGGCTGAGGCAGAAGAATCACTTGAACCTGGGAGGCGGAGGTTGCAGTGAGCTGAGATCACGCCACTGCACTCCAACCTGGGCAACAAGAGCTAACTCTGTCTCAAAAAAAAAAAAAAGTTTTTAAAGACAGGGTCTCGCTATGTTGCCCATGCTGGTCTTGAATTCCTGGGGTCAAGTGATGCTTCTGCTTTAACCTCCCAAGGAGCTGGAATCATGGGTGCCCACCACCATGCTCGGCTACTATTTTCTTCAAAATTCAACTATTCTGACAGATTCTAGCTTAACAGTACATATTAGATAAATAAATGGCAATTTTCTGGAACACTCTTTTTTTGGTTTTGTTTTGGTTTTTTTTTTTTTTTTTGAAACGGAGTCTCGCTCTGTCGCCCAGGCTGGAGTGCAGTGGCTCCATCTCGGCTCACTGCCAGCTCCGCTTCCCGGGTTCACGCCATTCTCCTGCCTCAGTCTGCCGAGTAGCTACCACTACAGGTGCCTGCCACCACGCCCGGCTAATTTTTCTGTACTTTTAGTAGAGACGGGGTTTCACCGTGTTAGCCAGGATGGTCTCGATCTCCTGACCTCGTGATCCACCCGCCTCGGCCTCCCAAAGTGCTGGGATTACAGGCTTGAGCCACCGCGCCAGGCCATGGAACATTCTTTAAAATAGTATAGACTTCATAGCAGTTGCAACTTCAGTTATTGTATTCTGCTATCATTTTGGTCTTCTTGTGGCTTCTAAAAGCTGAATTTTCACTGCATATCCAAACTCCATAACTTGGTAATCAGCTCTTTAATAGAAGTAGCTATCTGACAATAGCACAACTCACATATACAAAAATACAATTTGTCAATCTAGATTTATGAGATCATTTAAAATTCTCAACCAAAGCGTAAGCTTTCAACATTCTCAACCATGGCCTAAGTAAATCTCAGTGACTGAGTATTTAAGAACCAAGTACAACACAACATATAGTCATCTATGGGAGATAACTAGGGAATTACCTTTCGCACAAAATCAGTCAGGAAAAAAAAATACAATGTGTACAATTCCTCAGAATTATTTATTTAAACCCTACTTTGTTACAAAATGATTTAAGACAGGATTTCCTCAATAAATGGGAGGAGAGCCAGGCGCCGTGACTCACGCCTGTAATCTCAGAACTTTGGGGGGCCGAGGCGGACGGATCACTTGAAGTCAGGAGATCCAGACCAGCCTGGTCAACATAGTGAAACCCCATCTCTACTAAAAATACAAAAATTAGCTAGGCGCGGTAGTGGGCGCCTGTAACCCCAGGTACTCGGGAGGCTGAGGCAGGACAATCACTTCATCCCAGGAAGCAGAGGTTGCAGTGAGCAGATTGCACCACTGCACTCCAGCCTGGGTGACAGAAAAAGACTCCATCTCAAAAAAGAAAAATAAAAAAATGAGAGGGATTCCAGCACTTTTCTCAGTATATTCTGGCTAAATGTAAGATGGTCACTTAAATTGAGCAGATGGGACTTCATTAAATCACGATGAAAATGAACAGCCAAGAAAAGAACTATTGTATAGGAAGGAACTTTGGTAAAGTGCATGAATAAAATTACATTTTGGTGGATATATCTAATTAATATTCATTTCCTCAACTTGCAAAGCAAATGACATCATTGTTTGTCACTTTAACTAGTTCTCTGTTCAACAGTGGACCTACTGACAGATGCCCAAATAAAGATCACACACTAACATAAAAAGATGTAACTGCAGCCAAACATGGCGGCATGCACGTATAGTCCCAGTGCTTTAGGAGACTGAGGTGTGAGGATTGCCAGAACCCAGGAGTTTGAGGCTGCAATGAGCTATAATCTCACCACTGCCCTCCAGCCTGAGCGACTGAGCAAAACCCTGTGTCTAAAATAAATAAACAATAAAAACATATAATTGCCTTCAGTTTATAAGACTTTGTGATAAAACGGGAAAAAAGAAAAAACAGTTGTAACTGTGCTTGGAGATACCCACCAGATGGGCCATTCTCACAAACTGATCAAATGATCACTATGGTGGTGTTAAAAATAAGTTTACAAATTGTAACTTTTCCTTCACTGAAAACTGATCAAGAAAGCCAACTCCCCAAATTATAATCTTGTCTTATCTAGTGGTCTGTCCTAGATTGACAAAACATAAAATTGGGCAATTATTCATGTTGTGAAAGGATCCACTATACAAAAAACAAAATTTAAAAATTAACGCAAGTTTCCTTGACATTGTCAACTCCATCAGTACATTTAAAATGGGATTCCAGGCTGGGTGCGGTGGCTCACACCTATAATCCCAGCATTTTGGGAGGCTGAGGCAAGACGACTGCTTGAGCCCAGGAGTTCAAGACCAGCCTGGGCAACACAGAGAGACCTCATCTCTACAAAAAAAAATTAAAAGATTGGCCAGGTGTGGTGGTGTGTGCCTGTAGTCCTAGCTGCTTGGGAGGCTGGGGCAGGAGGATCACTTAAGCCAGGAGTTCAAGGCTACAGTGAGCTGTGACTCCTCCATTGTGCTCCAGCCTGGGCAACAGAGAGAGATCCCTGTCTCTAAAGAAAAGAAGAAAAAGGAAAGAAAGAAAAGAAACATGCTGGATTTCAGGAACAATTAGCCTAAGATTTAAAAGATTTCTGTGGAAAAATCAAGTCACTAAGTCATACAAAGACAATCATAGCTGGTGATAATTCATCTTTTTTTTTTTTTTCTTTTGAGACAGGGTCTTGGTCTCGCTGTATCACCCAGGCTGAAGTGCAGTGGCACGATCACGGCTCGCTGCAGCCTCACTCTTCTGGGCTCAAGCAATCCTCCCGCCTCAGCCTCCTGAATCCCTGGGACTACAGGCACATGCCATCGCACGAGGCCAATTTTTAATTTTTTTGTAGAGAAGGGTCTCACTATGTTGCCTGAGCTAGTCTCCAACTCCTGGGCTCAAGCAATGCTCCCACCTTAGCCTCTCAAAGTGCTGGGATTACAGGCATGAGCCACTGGTAAGAATAAATCACCTACTTTATATTACAGTTAACAGTTAATTACAAATTCCTAAATCACAAAATGTCCCTCTTACTCTTACTATAACAAAGTAAAATAGTCCTACAGGAAAAATCCATTACAATAAGATATAATAAGGCATGAGTCACCGGGCCCGGCCGAGAATACTTACTTCCATCTACACTAACACGGGATGTTATTTTATTTTATTTTATTTTATTTATGTTTTATTTTATTTGTTATTTTATTTATTTTATTTATTTATGTTATTTATTTTATTTTATTTTTTGAGACAAAGTCTCGCTCTGTCGCCCAGGCTGGAGTTCATTGGCACGATCTCCACTCACTGCAACCTCCGCCTCCCGGGTTCAAGCAATTCTCCTGCCTCAGCCTCCTGAGTAGCTGGGACTACAAGGCATGCGTCACCATGCCCGGCCAATTTTTGTATTTTTAGTAGAGATGGGGTTTCACTATGTTGGTCAGGCTGGTCTCGAACCCCTGACCTCACGTGATCCGCCTGCCTCGGCTTCCCAATGTGCTGGGAGTACAGGTGTGAGCCACCATGCCCAGCCGGATGTTATTATTTTTTTAAAAAACTTTGCTAATTATAGGCAAAAATGCTATTTGATCCATTTCTGCATTTTTTTGGTTACTAGTAATGTTGAACTTTTTGTCATGTTGACTATTTGCATGTTTTTCCTTTTTATATTGTCTGTTAATGTCTTTGCCCATTTGCCTTCTGGGCACACAGTTTTAGAGAAGCCTGTTCACTTTCATGAAATGTAAATAAATCTGAAACAAATTAAACATCAATTATAGTTTAAAATGCTAATAAAAATTCTTATTTTCAGCCAGGTGTGGTGGCTTATGCCTGTAATCCCAGCACTTTGGGAGGCCAAGGTGAACGGATGCTTGAGCTCAGGAGTTTGAGACCAGCCTGGACAACATGGTGAAACCCCATCTCTACCAAAAATACAAAAATTAGCCAGGGGTGGTTGTGTCCTAGCCACTGTGGAGGCTGAGGTGGGAGGATGGCTTGAGCCCATGAGGCAGAGGTTGCAGTTAGCTGAAACACCACTGCACTCCAGCGTGAGAGACAGGAGTGAGAGCCTAGCTCAAAAAAACAAAAACAAAAACAAAAACAAAAAGGTCCTTTGAGTACCAGAAAAATTGTCAATGGGAATACTTTCCTCAAGGTCTTGAAAATTAATAATAAATCAACAAATCATTGATGGTAGTGGCTGGTGTTGCTTTCTTCTATATCTAGCTAGTTATCACTGAGCAAACATTCTCTAAAACATTTTCGATGTTTCAGAGCAGAGATTTCAAATTGACGACCAAGGGATGGATTCATGCATAATTTACTCTCTTTTATTTTGCTTTATTTTTCTTATGGTATTTACAAGTAATTAACATACATTATATAGCTACTTATCTCTCTGTTACAATAGGATATAAGATCCACAAAAATAGCCAGGCACAATGGCTCACGCCTGTAATCCCAGCACTTTGGGAGGCCAGGGCAGGAGGATCACTTGAACCCAGGTGCTCAAAGACCAGCCAGAGCAACATAGGGAGACCCCACCTCTTCAAAAATTAAAAAATTAGCTGGGCGTGGTGGTGCATTCCTGTAGTCCCAGCAGTTTGGGAGGCTGAGGTAGAAGGATCACTTGAACACTGAAGGTTGAGGCTGCAGTGAGCCAGGATCATGCCACTGCATTCCAGCCTGGAGGACAAAGTGAGACCTACCTCAAGTTAAAAAAAAAAAATAATCCACAAAAGGCAAAGACTTAATCTCTTTTAATGATTATTGTATCTCCAATTTCTAAAATACTGTGTGGTATATAATGCACCTTCAGAAAATATTTGTTGAATTCATGTATTTAGTAATTATTTATTGAACTCCCACTGCATCCTAGGCACTGGATTAGCTAGACTTGGGAGGTAAATACCTCTGCCTCCATGTAGTGTCTTTAAAATATGATTCTCGGCCGGGCATGGTGGCTCACACCTGTAATCCCAGAGCTTTCAGAGGCTGAGGCGGGCAGATCACCTGAGGTCACAAGTTCAAGACCAGCCTGGCCAACATGGTCAAACCCGGTCTCTAATAAAACTCCAAAAATTAGCCAGGCATGGTGGTGGGCACCTGTAATCCCAGCTACTCAGGAGGCTGAGGCAGGAGAATTGCTCAAACCCAGGAGGCAGAGGTTGCAGTGAGCTGAAATCAAGCCACTGCACTCCAGCCTGGGTGACAGAACAAGACTCGGTATCAAAAAATAAATAAATAAAATAAAATATGATGCTCATTAAAACCAGATTGAAAACATTGGAAATGTTTTGGAAATAAAATATACACACTGTGCCAGTATGTGGATTCATTACTCATTAATTCTATGACTATTTTTTGAGAGCTTATTTGCAGTCACTTGGGGACACAATAATATTAAAGACAGATTCTGTCCCTGCAGATATGGCATTGATAATCTATCAAGGGAGGTAGACATTAAGCAACTAATTAATTGTGATTGTGCCAAGTACATAAAGGAGAAAGACAGGTGCCTATAAGCACTCATGAGATTTCCCTGAGAAAATGATACTTACACTTCTACCAAAGGGATTAGAAGTTACACAAGACAAAAGGGAAGGGGAAAAAAGAACAGTCTCATCGAAGAAAACGGCTTGTCAGGAAAGATCTTGCTGTACAGAAAGACCAAGGGGGGCACTGTGGCTCGCGCCTGTAATCCCAGCACTTTGGGAGGCCGAGGCAGGTGGATCATTTGCACTCAGGAGTTGGAGACCAGCCTGGGCAACATGGTGAAACACACAAAAATACAAAAAAATTCGCCAGGCATGATGGTGTACACCTGTGGTCCCAGCTACTCGGGAGGCTGAGGTGGGAGGATCACTTGAGCCTGGGAAGTCGAGGTTGCAGTGAGCTGTGTTCACGCCACTGCACTCCAGCCTGGGTAACCAAGTGAGACCCTGTCTCAAAACAAAAACAAAAAGAAACAACAACAACAACAACAAAAAGACCAAGAGAATAATCAAGGGAATAATGACAGCCAGAGACCAAAGAGGTAGGCAGGGGCCATATTATATACTCATGGGCCAAGTGAAGGATGCTCGCTTTATTCCATGGATAGCTGAAGGCCTGTAAGCAGATGATCTGATTTCTACATTTAACAGATGACTCTGGTTTCTGTATTGAGAATGGTTTGGCTACAGAGACTGCTTAGATATGGCAGTAGTCAAGGCGGTAGCAACGGAAATAGAGATGCAGACAGCTTTGAGAGATATTTAGGAGGTGGAAGTGGCAACACTGATTGGAAGGGGTTAGGGAAGGGAAAGTGTGAGAGAGAGGAAGACACCCTGGTTCCTGGCGTGAACAGCTGGGTGGATGATGGGGAGCTTTTATGGGATGTGGAGTGTGAGAATCCCTGGTTTAGGGTGGAAGAGGAGTCCAGTGCAATCAAGGCACAGCTATAAATGTGTACAACTGAGGCAGAAGTTTCAGAAGCAATGAGTACCCTTACTACCATAGAAGATGCTCTGATTTTTTTTCTTTTTTCTTTTTTTTTAAGAAATTTTTGGCTAGGCATGGTGGCTCACACCTGTAATCCCAGCACTCTGGGAGGCTGAGTTGGATCATTTGAGGTCAGGAGCTTGAGACCAGTCTGGCCAACATGGTGAAACCCTGTCTCTACTAAAAATACAAAAATTAGTTGGGCATAGTGGCTCACACCTGTAGTCCCAGCTACCTGGGAGGCTGAGGCATAAGAATCGCTTGAACCTGGGAGGCAGACGTTGCAGTGAGCTGAGATCACACCACTGCACTCCAGCCTGGGCAACAGAGTGAGACTCGGTCTCAAAAAAAAAAAAGAAAAGAATTTTTTTACCCAATAGTAAATAACCAACCAATGCTCTGATATTTTTTAATCAACTTTGTTGAAGTATGTTTTACATAATAGATTTTCATGTTTTACATAATATAATAAAATTCACCCGTATTACATGTACAGTTCAACAGGTTTTGACAAATGTATATACCTGTGTAACCACCACGATTAAAATACAGAGCTCTTCTGTCATTTCCAAAAATTCCCCAGCACCCCTTGGCAGTCAATTCCCCCTCCATCTCAGCCCCAGGCTTTCTGTCATTATAGTTTGCATTTTCTAGAATTCCATATAAATGAAACCATAGAGCATATATACAGTATACATATGAAATAGGTATTCACTTGTATCTGGCTTTTTTATTTCCTTGGAGACAGGGTCTTGCTGTGTCACCCAGGCTAGAGTGCAGTGGTGCAATCACAGCTCACTGCAGCCTCAACCTCCCAGGCTTGAGAAATCCTCCATTCCCAGCTAATTTTTTTTTTTTTGGTAGAGACTGGGTCTCTCTATGTTGCCTAGGCTGGCCTCAAATTCCTGGGCTCAAGCGAACCTCACACCTCGGCCTCCCAAAGTACTGGGATTACAGGCTCCAGGCCATGTATCTGGCTTCTTTCACTCGGCATAATGTTTTTAAGATTCATCTATGACAGGGACCAGCAAACTAGGGCCTGTGGGCCAAATCTGGCCCACTACCTGATTATGCAAAGGCCTAAGAGCTCAGTATGACTTTATACTTTTAAGTGATTGAAAAAAAACTCAAAGAAGAATATTTTGTGACACATGTAAATTAAATGAAATCCAAAATTCAATGTCTATAAATAAAGCTTTATTGGAACACAGCGACGCTCACTTGTTTACATACCATCTATGGCTGTTTCCATGCTACAGAATCAAATACTTGAGACCGAGATCGCAAGAACCTAAACTACAGCTTGCAAAGCCTGAAATATTTACAACCAGGCCCTTTACAGAAAAACTCTGCCAACTCCTAATCTGTGGTGTCCCATGGATCAATAATGTACTCCCTTTACTTGCAGTACAGTACTCCATTCCATTGTAGGGATAGGCCACAAGTTGTTTATCTGTTTGTCTGTTGATGGACATTTGGGTTACTGCCCAATTATCCTTAATCCACGTGATGTGCTCTGATGTTTTGCATCCTATTTCATTTTTTAAAAAATTGCCACTCATGACCCAATGGTTGATATCACAACCCACTGATGAAGTACTCTCAGTTTGATATAGATGTTAATTGAAATAATGGAGGATGAAATTATGTAGAAGAAGAAATCAAAAGGACTTTCCAGGCCGGGCACAGTGGCTCACGCCTGTAATCCCAGCACTTTGGGAGGCTGAGGTGGGTAGATCACCTAAGGTCAGGAGTTCCAGACCAGCCTGACCGATATGATGAAACCCCGTCTCTATTAAAAATACAAAAATTAGCTGGGCATGGTGGCACGTGCCTGTAATCCCAGCTACTCGGGAGTCTGAGGCAGGAAAATCGCTTGAACCTGGGAGGTGGAGGTTGCAGTGAGTCAAGATACACCACTGCCCTCCAGCATGGGCAACAGAGCGAGACTCTGTCTCAAAAAAAAAAAAAAAAGGCTTGCCAGCTGAGTGCTGAGGAAATCCAACAATTAAACATTGGGTGGAGAAGGAAGAAACTCCAAAAGACATTGAGAAGGAACAGGCAGAAAGGGAAGGTGACGATCCGGAGAATTTGATATTGTGGGAAGCATGGAAAGTCAGTTTCAAGAAGAAAGTGATCATCTGGTTCTAGGGCTGCTGAGAGGTCAGGTGTGATGGACTGAGATGGTTTTAGTGACACTGGTTTGGGTGGAGGGAACAAAGCCGAAGCTAGATTGAGATGAGTTGGTGGTGCTTGTGTGATGAGAAAATTGAGACCATTAGGTGTAACCAGAAGGGGATGTGGATGAAGATAAGGAGTTTTTATTTGCTTGTTTTTTGATCATAAGAATGTTTAACAAACACTAAAAGGCAAGCATAACCAGAATTTTACAGATGAGGAAACTAATATACCAAGAGGTTAAGTAACTTGCCCAAGTAGTTTTCACTTATACAGCTTAAAAAAAAAAAAAAGAAAGAATCCAGTTCTACTTGTAGCCTCAGTCTGAACTCTAACCAATGGGCTATACTATCGACAAGGGAAAAAACTGGCCCAGACATAATCCAATTTTTGTACCTTTGAGTTAAAAGTCTACAGTTGAGGCTGGGCCTGGTGTCTCACGCCTGTAATCCCAGCACTTTGGGAGGCCAAGGTGGGTGGATCACCTGAGGTCAGGAGTTGGAGACTAGCCTGTCCAACTAGTGAAACCCCGTCTCTACTAAAAACACAAAAATTAGCCAGGCTTGGTGGCACGCACCTGTAATCCCAGCTACTCAGGAGGCTGAGGCAGGAGAATTGCTTGAACCCGGGAGGCGGAGCTTGCAGTGAGCAGAGATGGTGCCACTGCACTCCAGCCTGGCGACAGAACGAGACTCCATCTCAAAAAAAAGAAAAAAAGAGAAGTGTTTGAGGCCAGGCTCGGTGGCTCAGGCCTGAAATCTAAACACTTTGGGAGGCCGAGGCAGGAGGATCACTTGAGGTTGGGAGTTTGAGACCAGCCTGGCCAACATGGTAAAACCCTGTCTCTACTAAAAATACAGTGTGTGCGATGGCGCACGCCTCTAGTCGAAGCTACTCAGGGAGGCTGAGGCAGGAGAATCGCTTGAACCGGGGAGGCAGAGGTTGCAGTGAGCCGAGACTGCACCATTACACTTCAGCCTGGACAACAGAGTGAGGCTCGTCTGGAAAAAGAAAAAGAAAGAAAAAGACAGGTCTGTTAGCAGCACATAAAGCCATGTCAGTAGAGATTAAACCTCCCCACAATTGATGGCTTCGTGCTCCAAACTGTACAATATTCTGCTTATCTCTCTTCACTAGTCCATAGAATGTTGCATTATAATGTATCAGTTTTCCTATCTGTGCATCCACAAGCCAAATGGTTTCAACATTTTTTTTTTCGGGGATGGGGGGAATCACAGACTTGAGTATATAATGAAGACAATGGATGTTTTCCCCAGAAAAATGCACCCACTCACACACAAAATGTTGAGTATAGTTTCAGAGACCTCCATCTGCATCCCAAAGTAAAAACTTCTACCCAAAATAGTGTTTTTCTTCAGGGCAGAGAGCTTGTCTTTGTTGTGTGTGTGTGTGTGTGTGTGTGTGTGTGTGTGTGTGTGTGTGTGGAGACGGAGTCTTGCTCTTGTCGTCCAAGCTGGAATGCAGTGGTGCAATCTTGGCTCACTGCAACCTCTGCCTCCCAGGTTGAAGCGATTCTGCTGCCTCAGCCTCCCGAGTAGCTGGGATTACAGGCGCACACCACCACACCCACTAATTTTTCTATTTTTAGTACCGACGAGGGTTTCACCTTGTTGGCCACGCTGTTCTCCAACTCCTGACCTCAGGTGATCCGCCCACCTCGGCCTCTCAAAGTGCTGGGATTACAGGCATGAGCCACCGCGCCCAGCCTTTTTAAAATTTTTAAATTTTTTTATTTTATTTTGCTTTTGAGACAGAGTCTCGCTTTGTCGCCCAGGCTGGAGTGCAGCGGTGCGATCTCTGCTCACTGCAAGCTCCGCCTCCCGGGTTCACGCCATTCTCCTGCCTCAGCCTCCAGAATAGCTGGGACTACAGGCGCCCGCCACCATGCCCGGCTAATTTCTTTTCGTATTTTTGGTAGAGACGGGGTTTCACCGTGTTAGCCAGGATGGTCTCGATCTCCTGACCTCGTGATCCGCCCGCCTCGGCCTCCCAAAGTGCTGGGATTACAGGCGTGAGCCACCGCGCCCAGCCCAGCCTCTTATTTGTATTTTTATTGTTTTTTGAGATGGAGTCTCGCCTTATTGCCCAGGCTGGAGTGCAGTGGCGCAATCTCGGCTCACTGCAACCTCTGCCCCCGGGGGTTCAAGTGATTCCCCTGCCTCAGCCTCCCAGGTAGCTGGGATTACAGGTGTTTGCCACCACGCCCAGCTAATTTTTTGTATTTTTAGTAGAGACGGAGTTTCACTATGTTGGCCAGGCTGGTCTTGAACCAGCCTCTTATTCTTTTACATACTATTTCCAGCACAACTGTCCGAGATGGCAGTCAATAAATGTTTGGCTAAATATAATAAATAATACGGTTGATTATTTCCACTTTTTCATGTTGGGTTTTCAAAGACTACTTTTAAAACAGTAAAGTTAACTTTTCTCTCTAGTATTTGTTTTGTAGAATCTATTATACTTTGTAATGTAATCCACAGAAACTTGGAGGTGACTTTAGTAAAATGTACTAGTTTTGAATGATACCCATACTGAGGTGCTCAGAGGTGAAATGTACTAACATATATCGATGGATGGATATATGGATGCATATGTGATTAAAGCAAATATAGGGAAAATTAACTGTAGAATCTAGGTAGTGGGTATATGGTTGTTCACTGTACAATTGTTTAAACTTTTCTACCTTTGAAAAATTTCAAAACACGTTGGAAAAGTGACTTGTTTTGCTCAAGCAGGGGTACATTCAATCTTCAATTCTTGAAAGACATAAATCTATCATTCCTTCTGTTTGGAAAGCTCTTTAGAGAGTCAGAATAATTCCCACAGTACAGTCTAAACCAGCACACAAGGGTTTTTTGGTAGAAAATAATTTTATTAACATAACCAGGCAATTTACCAAATACAACGTAGATAGCTCAAAACATGGAGTTACTGCGCTGAAAATGTGACCCTGTTTACACAGATTTCGGGACGAAGAGTATAAAACAGGAGAGAAAAGGAGTAAGATTGTGGTTGCAGCGTCCTCGCAGAGGTGAAGTGTTCCATTGATTGCCACTGTGGTAGTCTACATCAGTTTCCCACATTAAGGTGGGAGGAATCTACTAAGCAAATGTACGCCCTCCCCATTCGTTCGAAACACATTGCAGTAAAATTGCAAAAGTGGCCGGGCGTGGTAGCTCACGCCTGTAATCCCAGCACTTGGGGAAGCTGAGACGGGAAGATCGCCTGAGGCCAGGAGTTTGAAGCCAGCTTGGGTAACATAGTGAGACACCCCCACCTTCTCTATTAAAATGAGATTTTAATTTTTTTTCTCTTCAGTTCATCGGTTAACAAGATAAAAAAATTAATAAAAAATTAACTTTTTAAAACATTTAAAGTAACGTAGGAGTGGAAGCAGTATGTGGACTCATGGGGCTTGGGTCTGAATCCTACCTAGATCGGCACTGCGAAATGGGGATAATGATCTCCTAGAGCTGCTGAAATAGGAAAATGGAAGAACAGCAGCTGATGTATTAATATTATCATTATTACTACTACCCATTACCTGACAAGTCATAATTGTGACATGCAAGAGGCTGGACCAGTTGTTTCAACAATTTTTTCCGTCTAGAATTCGGCGGTAGGGTCTGAGACAACACCTCAGCTTAGATCAGTGCCTTCTCTGAACAGCGTTCACTAAGCAGCCCCCAACCCCAAAACCCCCAAGTCCCCGGGCGCCGAGGACGCTGCGAGTCCTGCGCATGCGCAAGGTTGCTCTCTCGCTCACCGCCTCCTTGGCGAATGGCCTGTTCCATTCTCGAGGGATGCCGGCGGGAGGTGAGGCGGGAGACTTGGAAGCCTGGGCCCGGAAGTGAGGTGCGTCACTAGTATTTCCAGCCTTTCACTCCATGAATAGTACTTTGTGATTATTATACTTCTACCTAGATGATTGCAACAGGCTGCTGGAAAGAGTTTGGTGAACAATCCACCGGGCATCCTCCCCCCTTCACCTGCGCACGTTAGGGAGGGCCGGCGTGGCGCCCAGGTACGGAATCCCAGAGGGCTCCGCCCACCATTACAGGGCCCCGCCCCGCCGCCCCGCCGCCCCTCAACCATCAGGTTCGGCAGCCGGCGGCGCCGCCTGGCAGCTCCTCCTCTTCTCCGCCCCGCTGGCCGCGGGCGCGGGGGACGTCAGCGCTGCCAGCGTGGAAAGAGCTGCGGGGCGCGGGAGGAGGAAGTAGAGCCCGGGACCGCCGGGCCACCACCGGCCGCCTCAGCCATGGACGCGTCCCTGGAGAAGGTGCGTGCCGGGAGGGGGCGATGGGGACGGTGCTGCGGCCCGGGGCTCCCGCTTCCGAGGCAACTATTTCCCAGTCGCGAGCTGCCATTGTGACCCGGACAGGGGGACGCGGGCTGACAGGCCTCGCCTGAGGAGGCCTCGCCGGGAGGGCGGCTGGGGCCCGGGCGCGTCACGGGGCCGGGTGTCTCTTGGGTCCCCGTGGGCCGAAGAGGCTGGGCGGGGTTCCGTGGGGGCCGCGAGGGGCCCGGAGCCCAGGACTGGGACCGCGGGGCCGACCTTGGGCCCTGCCGAGGTTCCGCGAGTGGCCGGCCTGAGCTCGGCTGGCCCTTTCGGAGGACCGGGAGCTCTCCGTTGGCGGCCCCAGATGCTCCCGGAAAGAAGCCGCAGTTATTTCAGAGCCAGCTGCAAACCTGTGGGTTTTTCTTGGTCTCCGAGTTAGGAATGAAAATTGCTAAAGCAGTGGTTTTCCAACTTCAGCCTGAGTGGGAATCACCTGGGGCCTTTGGTAAAATGCGGAGATTCAGTCCCGGGGTCAGAACCTCTGGGGGCGGGACCGGGAACTGCGTGTTTAACAGCCACCGCCCCCCTCCCACTCCGCCCCACGCAGGTGATTCTGATGCTGAGCCTGCGATCACTGGGCGAGAACCTCTGAGTTCCAGAAAGGGGTGGGTGTTGCGTAGATTGCGAATTGAGTTTCGGGGATCGCAGCTGCTCCACAACTTCCTGGTTCCCCCATTCCGGTGGCGAGGAGGGATCCCCGAGTCAACTCGAAATCCACTGGTAACAGAGCCTACCTCTGGTTTCCCCTTGGGGGAACAGCAGCGTGGTGTACCTGGCTGACTGCTCTACCATGTGAAACGGATTCTCATTGTCCCAGTGTTAGGGCTTGTAAATGGAAACCGGTTTGGGTTTCTTCACGGATTCCTGCTTTCGGTACCTGACATTCTGCCCTCCCTCAAAGCCCTTCTCTCTGTTCCAGCTTGGGAGTCTGCTTGTCCAATCCAGTGCATACCCGGTTTTTCATGCATGTGGCATTCAGGAGCAATGCTCGTGTTTTAAGACGGCTACATTTTAATTTTGAGCTGGTAGGAATAATATATTTTGTCTTTTTTCAAGGCAGCAGCTGCTGTAGATTTTGTTCACTTGTCACTGGAGAGTTGAAGGCAATAATTGTAAAGGTTGGGCCAGATGTCTTCATGTGCTCACAGTGGTATAGCCTGCTCCTGGGTTGCTTAGCATAAATTGGGTGGAAGACAAGAAAAAGATAATATGGTTTTCTTGTGCCATCTCTGGGGTGAATGTTACGTATTTTCCTGGCTGGGAATAAAGTCTTCCCGGTCGTCTGATTAGCAGGGTGTCTACCTTTTGGTACTTTGAGTTTGTCCAGATGAGTGGTTCTTAAAGCAGGGGGCAATTTATTTCCCCAGGGGACATTTGGCTATCTCTGGACATATTTTTGATTGTCACAATGGGGGCAGGGAGGTGCTGCCGGTACCTAGTGGGTAGAGGCCAGGGACGCCTCTAAACATCCTACGTTGCACAGGACAGCCCCCCACGCTGGAGAATTCTCTGGCCCAAAATGTCAGCAGTGTTGGGGCTGAGAAATCCTGGTCAAGATCATGTTTATAACACCAGCAGTTGAGTACAAAATGATGCAAAGTGGTGTTATCAATTTCCTAAGAAGGTGGGTGGGCTTCATGTGATTGTAATTGGAATCCTGAAGAACTGGGGTGATCTTTCCTCCAGGAATAATTAGCCTTTATAGGAAAATCTGCAGGGTGGGTCAGAATCCTGCTTTAAATATTACTTTTCTGGCATTTGATCAGTAGGTTACAGTGGTTGCTCCCTAAGTGTTAATTGATGATAAAAGATCTTAAACTCTCTCAATGAAGATCTCAAGAGGGACTGAAATTCCAGTGTGTTTAATATTGGAGCATTCACAAAAATTGTAGTGATCTTTTAAGAATTCAGAACATGTGGGCTGGAGGTTTCTGCCTTAGGTCAATATGAAAATTCTGAGTGTAAGTTTTTCAGAACTATGGGACTTACTTTTTTTTTTTTTTTGAGAGGGAGTCTCGGTCTCTTGCCCAGGCTGGAGTGCAGTGAGGCGATCTCGGATCACTGCAACCTCCGCCTCCCGGATTCAAGTGATTCTCCTGCCTCAGCCTCCCGAGCAGCTGTGACTATAGGCGTGTGACACCACACCCGACTAATTTTTGTATTCCCAGTAGAGATGGGGTTTCACCATGTTGGTCAGGATGGTCTCAAACGCCTGACCTTGTGATCCTTCAGCCTCAGCCTCCCACAGTGCTGGGATTACAGGCGTAAGCCACTGCATCTGGCCGGGACTTAGATTTATATTCCCTGAAGTAATACAGGGCCTTAGATGGAATGAACGATTTATATTGGTGCTAATTGGGCAGAAAAGAAAAAGCATTGCTGTAATATGAATGTTGATGACTTTATGTTCTGAAAAATAGTCTGGGTCAAAGTGAAACATTTAATTGTGTTCATTATTCCTGTTTCTTTGAGGAATAGACTATCCTGCGTTAAATTCTACATTGTTAATATAAACTCAAGAGCTATGTGAGCAGTTGTGAATGATCCCATTTAAACTGATTCTTGCGTAATTTATACTGATTACAGAAACCACAATGTTATTTGATGCTCACCCTCTAAAATTTAAAATAATATCTCTCACTTTAAAATGTATGTGAAAAAACAAAAACAAAATGTAGTATGCGATCATCATTTAGTAGAATCACTCAATGATTTGGATTTGGTCCAAATATAATTCTGTCCCTTGCTTTTTCTGTTATGTAAACGTGCAGACCTGTGATAACAGAGCCATTTTCTCGTCACGATTTGCTTTTCTTCCACAACAGTATCAGTTTTCTTGTATCTGAGATCAGTGATGTCCCAATAAATCAGATGGGTTAATTGAGGAGGCAAAGGAAATTCAAACTTAGGAGAGTAGGAGTAGGGGCTTTGCCCCTGTCCCCCACTGTATGTCCAAGGCATAAGGAACAAGGCCCTCTAGCAGAGTCTCACAGTGTGTACTTATGTTAATATTCAATAAAGAAAATGCCACAGGAAGTAATCACTATAATGATGAAGATTTTAAGTTATTAAACACACCTTCCAGTAAAAACCTGTTATATTATTATTATTTTTGAGACAGGATCTCTCTCTGTCACCCAGGCTGGAGAGCCGTGCTACAATCTCGGCTCACTGCAACGTCCGTCTCCAGGGCTCAAGTGAGCCTCGCGCCTCAGCCTCCTGAGTAGCTGGGACTACAGGCACTCACCCCCACACTGAGCTAATTAAAACAATTTTTTTTTTCTCGAGACAAGGTCTCACTATATTGCCCAGGCTGGTCCCAACCTCCTGGGCTCAAGCCATCCTCTTGCCTTAGCCTCCCAAAGTGCTGGGATTATAAGCGTGAGCCACCGTGCCAGGCCAAAACCTGCTACTCTAAACTTGTAGAATAGCCCAGACCTTTTTCTGTTGGTTAAAAGATCTCATTCTTCCTGGGTATTATGTTTAGGCAAGGTATACTGCAGTTTGTTTGCATTTACTTTAATTCTGTCCTTGAGCAAACTTTAAGCAGTTTCTCAGCGTCAGCACTACTGATATTTTGGGTCAGATAATTTGCTGTTATGGGGGCTGGCCTGTGCATGGCAGCATGCTTAGCGGTGTCCCTGACCTCTGCTCAGTAGATGCTAGTCGCACTCCCTACCCCCAGTTGTAACAATAGGAAATGTCTCAAGATGGGGGCAGTTGTCCCCCAAGGGGTAGAGGGAATTGCCTGTCGTTGAAAGTCCCTAATTTAGGGAATCTAGAGCTACAGTTCCGGTTTGGTCACCACTAGCCATATTTGGCAGTTTACATTGAGATTAAAATTAAACACAATTTAAAATTCGTTTCCTCAGTCATGCTAGCCACATTTCAAGTGCTCAGCAGCCACATGTGGCTGATGTCTGCTACACTGGGCAGCACAGATGTGGAACATTTCCATTGCAAAGAAGGTTCCACTGGACAGTGCTAAGAGCTGGCAATTCGTTTTTTTTTTTTTGAGATGGAGTCTCCCTCTGTCGCCCAGGCTAGAGTGCAGTGGCACAGTCTCGGCTCACTGCAACCTCTGCTTTCCGGGTTCAAGCGATTCTCCTGCCTCAGCCTTTCAAGTAGCTGGGATTACAGGCGCCCACCACCACACCTGGCTAATTTTTGTATTTTTAGTAGGGATGGGATTTCACCATATTGACCAGGCTGGTCTCAAGCTCCTGACCTCAAGTGATCCACCTGCCTCGGCCTCCCAAAGTGCTGGGGTTACAGGCGTGAGCTACTGTGCCCGGCCAATTACTTGTTATATCTAATTCTCATCTCTGAAAGAGGCAACTTTGACCCTGTTTCTGACCTAAATCAGCACAACTTAGCCCATTTTTGGTTCTTGAACTCATCCCGAGCTAAGTGTTTCTTTCCTGCTATTTGGGCCTGATTTTAGAAAATTCTTTGTCACCTTGCTGTTATGCTAGAGGTTTATAGCAGCATCAATGGAACATTCCTGATCATTACTTACTGATAAGGACTCCGAGAATTTCTATTCCTGCTCCTTCCTTAAAAAGCATGAGAAAAGAACCCCTGTTAGGCAAGGTTGAAAGAGTGAGAGGAGATGAGAGGCTGTAATTGTAGCTTTCATATAAAGCCAATTCCAATGTTATAATGTGAGGGTTTTGCATACAGATGCATGGTGGCTATGGCTGTAAATGATTATCTAATACTGGCTGTCAGGGAAAACTGATGGGACTCGGCCATAGTACAAAGTTCCTGATCCTAGATATTTATGGCTTTGTTCATTCTTGATTTATTCAAGATTGCAGGGGAAGTCAGTGGCAGAGCTATTGATGGTCCCATTTCCGTCTTTGCTCCACTATATCTAGGATTATATGAGTTATAGGTAGAAGTTGCTTGAGCTTGATTTCATCTGTTGTCACCTAAAGCAGAAACCTGTTTTGTTTTATAATTTTTTTTTGAGACGGACTCTTGCTCTGTCACCCAGGCTGGAGTGCAGTGCTGCGATCTCACCTCTGTGCGACCTCTGCCCCACTGCAACCTCTGCCCCCTGGGTTCAAGCAATTCTCCTGCCTCAGCTTCCCGAGTAGTTGGGATTATTTTTGTGCCACGCCCGGCTAATTTTTGTTTTTTTTATTTTTTATTTTTTTGAGGTGGAGTCTCGCCCTGTGGCCTAGGCTGCAGTGCAGTGGCACAGTCTCGGCTCACTGCAACCTCCACCTCCCAGGTTCATGCCATTCTTCTGCCTCAGCTGGGACTACAGGCGCCCACCACCACGCCCAGCTAATTTTTTGTATTTTTAGTAGAGATGTGGTTTCACCAAGTGTTAGCCAGGATGGTCTCGATCTCCTGACCTCCGCCTCAGCCTCCCAAAGTTCTGGGATTACAGGCGTGAGCCACCGCGCCCGGCCAATTTTTGTATTTTTAATAGAGACGGGGTTTCGCCATGTTGGCCAGGCTGGTCTCCAACTCCTGACCTCAAGTAATCTGCCCACCTTGGCCTCCCAAAGTGCTGGGATTACAGGTGTAAGCCACTGCACCCAGCCTTGATTTATAATTTTTATTAATCGAAGGTGAGCTGTGGTCAAAGCCCAGTGCTGAGTGCTGACAGAGACACAAGGTGAGTAAGATGTGGCCCCTGCAGGAGGTCGCGTTCTGGTAAGGGAGTATACTTTTTTTTGGACAAATCCTTGTATAGAAAGGGATAAAAAGCATAGGAATTAAGAAACAAATTGTGAGTGCAAGGAGCAAGAGACCAGGAAAGATTATGTGGAAGAGATTCTTTAGGCAGAATATTTAGCTCAGAATTATGCTTTTCTAGAGTTTAATTGTAAATGTAATGCAGACCTTTACGAGTGTGCCTCATATTATTGCTGGTAGATAAGAAACAGGAAAAGCATTTCATCTTTACCTTTCTGATTTGATCGCTCGCTAACAATCCCTGAACAAGGTAAATCCTGAATGGTGATAATCATTCAACCTTCATCTCTGCTAAAAGCATTTCTTTTCCTCCCAGGCAAAAACAAACAGTGCCTGCTGTCTAGCACTAGTTAAACTAGTTAAACACTGCCTATAAAGAAGCTTATCTTAAGGAAGAGTTATAACAGTATCTGCTTCTGTTTAGCAATTTTCTTTTTGTTCCGGAATAAAGGTGTGATTCCAGGTAAACAGCAAAGTTTTTAGAAATAGAGCTTCCCTATAGTATGCTATTTTTCCATCAGTTTCATTATCTGGAAGTGTTTACTCATGTTATAAGATCTGTGTGAACTGACACTGCAGTAGTGGTCTCTGGGAACACAGGTTTTTGGAACACGGAGTTGGATCTCTAGCATCTCCAACATATATCTGAGTCAAGTGATTAGAGGCTTTTTCCCTCCTTCACATACTGCTCTCTGACTGAGATGTGATCTGTGCAGTTAACTTTGCTGCCTCCTTTCCACTGTTGGGTATTTTTGTCCTTTTCTTTTGTTTCTTTTTTTTTTTTTTTTTTTGAGATGGAGTTTTGCTCTTGTTGCCCAGGCTGGAGTGCAGTGGTGCGATCTTGGTTCACTGTAACCTCTGCCTCTGGGTTCAAGCAATTCTCCTGTGTCAGCCTCCTGAGTAGCTGGGATTACAGGCGCCCACCACCACGCCCAGCTAATTTTTTGTATTTTTAGTAGAGACAGGGTTTCATCATGTTGGCCAGGCTGGTCTTGAACTCTGTACCTCAGGTGGGCCACTGCACCCGGCCTATTTTTGCCCTTTTCTTTCCGATTTTCTGCCTATCTTCTTGAGGAATTTGTAAGGTTAAATACTTATAGTTACACCTTATACAGTACTTGGCTAACCCTTTGCAACTAGGAAGGTTATGATGCTTAATCTTAATGAGCCAGTAATTACAGTATGTCTTCATATTCTCAGACACACTCAAGCGTAGAGACCATGATGGTTAAAAATAAGACTTTCAAATGACAATATCCAGTTCTTAGAAGATGAGAGGAGACGGCTGAGCATGGTGACTCATGCCTGTACTCCCAGCACTTTGGGAGGCCGAGGTGGGTGGATCACCTGAGGTCAGGAGTTCAAGACCAGCCTGGCCAACGTGGTGAAACCCCATCTCTACTAAAAATACAAAAATTAGCCAGGTGCGGTGGCTCACGCCTGTAGTCCCAGCTACTCAGGAGATTGTGCCACTGCAACAGAGTGAGACTCCATCTCAAAAAAAAAAAGAAGATGGGAGGAGACAAAAGTTCTGGTTCTTAATTAAATAACTATACTGTTGAATCAGGCAAAAATACTTACAAATGTAGAAACTGAGACTCCAATAAGATAAACCAGGTTTACAAGTCACTGTATCAGCTTGGAGGATTCCTGTCCTCTTCTTTCATCCTTGGCCCATAAGGAACATTATGTTCTTGCTGTGGCTTCTCAGTGGTATGTATTATAATAGACGTGTGTGGTGTTTGGGGAACTTGTTTAACTAGTGCTAGACAGCAGGCACTGTTTGTTTTCGCCTGGGAGGAAAAGAAATGCTTTTTGCAGAGATGAAGGTTGAATGATGATCACTATTCAGGATTTACCTTGTTCAGAAAGCTGTGGGAGGCAAGAGTAGTTAAGTTAGGAACAGCTGTCTGGAGCTTTACCTCTTGCTTTTTATCTCAGCCGAAAGTAGGTGGTGATTTTTTATATGTCTAATGCATATGGTATAAACTAGCATCTGATAACTCCAAGGTCTTCTAATATGAGCAGCTGGTTTCTCTTTAGTTAGCCCTAAGAGGCCTCCGAAATAAGTCCTAAAAGTCCCCCAAATAAGAACATTCCTCTCCTGAAAAAAAAACTTTGTTGAAACGAAAGTATTATATACTTCCAGCACTGATGAATGTTTCAATTAATATACTTTTAAAAATAAATTTTAGACTTTCTTTGTTATAGAGGCTGCTTCTCTTAAAAGCCTTCTCTTGGCCAGGTATGGTGGCTCATGCCTGTAATCTCATCACTTTGGGAGGCTGAGGCGGGCAGATCATGAGGTCAGGAGATCGGGGCCATCATGGCTAACATGGTGAAACCCCGTCTCTACTAAAAATACAAAAAACTAGCCGGGTGTCGTGGCATGTGCCTGTGGTCCCAGCTAATTGGGAGGCTGAGGCAGGAGAATCGCTTGAACCCGGGAGGCGGAGGTTGCAGTGAGCCGAGATCACGCCACTGTACTCCATCCTAGGCGACAGAGCAAGACTGCGTCTCAAAAAAAAAAAAGTCTTCTCTTTGAAGGCTTAGCTCTGTATCTCTTAAACAGCAGTTATTCATGTCAGTTATTCATGTACCATCTGTGAATTTGGCCACATCACTGTACCACCTATACTATTATTTGCTTAGTATTTTCTTTTAAATCTACTTTACATCAATTTACTTCCCCTTTATGAAAAATTGAGGGACAGTTTACGTACAACAAATATACCCATTTTAATTATATAGTTTGTGTTTTGGAAGTTGTATATAGTGATATTACCACCAGCATGATCAAGATACAAAGCATTGACCTGGTGCAGTGGCTCACACCTGTAATTTCAACACTTTGGGAGGCCAAGGAAGGAGGATCTCTTGAGCCCAGGAGTTTGAGGGCAGCCAGGGCAACACAGTGAGACCCCTATCTCTATAAAAAATAAAAACTTAGCCAGGCTTGTTGGCATGCACCTGTAGTCCCAGCTACTTGGGAGGCTGAGGTGAGAGGATCGCTTGAGCCCAGGAGGGTGAGGCTGCAGGGAGCCACGATAGTGCCGCTGCACTTGGCCTGGGTGACAGAGTGAGACCCTGTCTCAGAAAATAAGTCCCCTACCCACCCACCCCAAAAAAGGTACAGAGCATTTCTGTCTCCCTGAAAATGTCCCTATGTCCCTTTGCAGTGGATCCCTGCCCTGCTTTCTGTCACTCTAGCCCTCTTTACCCACCTATCCCATCCCTGCACCCCCGCCTTTTTTTTTTTTTTTTAACTTAGATTTGTGCTCAACTGTAATGTCTCTAAATTCTGGGATTTGAGGTGTGTGTTTGTGTGGGTTTTTTTTTTTCCCAAATCACATAAAAGTGAGAGAGAGAGAGAGAGAGAGAGAGAGTGTGTGTGTGTATGTATGTGCATATATACATATATATATATATATATATATATATATATTTTTTTTTTTTTTTTTTTTTTTCCTGAGACGGACTCTCACCCTGTCGCCCAGGCTGGAGTGCAATGGCGCCATCTCGGTTCACTGCAACCTCCGCCTCCCAGGTTCAAACGATTCTCCTGCCTCAGCCTCCTGAGTAGCTGGGGTTATAGGCACACCACCACGCCCAGGTGATTTTTTATATCTTTAGTAGAGATGGGATTTCACCATGTTGGACAGGCTGGTCTCAAACTCCTGTCATGATCCGCCCGCCTCTGCCTCCCAAAGTGCCGGAATTATAGGCATGAGCCACCGCTGCCGGCCAAATGTATAATTTTTTAAATTCACACTTTGGTGAACTGGTTTAACTGAGGAAAAGTGTTGATTAGTGTGTTTTCAAAAGATGAGATTTTTTTTTTTTCCCCTGAGACAGAGTCTTGCTCTGTCACCTAGGCTGGAGTGCAGTGGTGCATTCTTGGCTCACTGTAACCTCTACCTCCTGGGTTCAAGCGATTCTCCTGCCTCAGCTTCCTGAGTAGCTGGGATTACAGGTGCCCGCCATTGCACCCGATTAGTTTTTGTATTTTTAGTAGAGATGGGGTTTTACCATCTTGGCCAGGCTGGTCTCGAACTCCTGACCTCGTGATCTGCCCACCCCGGCCTCCCAAAGTGCTGGGATCACAGGTGTGAGCCACTGCTCCCAGCCTAAGATGAAAAAAATTTTAAAGTGACTAGTTCATTAATTCCCAAATCTTAGGCTCTAAAGACACCTTTTATTTCTATTGTAGTTACCGGTTTTGGAAGATATGATAAACAACTTTTTTTTTTTTTTTTTTTTTTTTTGAGACGGAGTCTTGGTCTGTCGCCCAGGCTGGAGTGCAGTGGCACAATCTCGGCTTACTGCAAGCTCCGCTTCCCGGGTTCATGCCATTCTCCTGCCTCAGCCTCCCTAGTAGCTGGGACTACAGGCGCCCGCCACCACACCTGGCTAATTTTTTGTATTTCTAGTAGAGATGGGGTTTCTACTGTGTTAGCCAGGATGGTCTCCATCCACCTGCCTCGGCCTCCCAAAGTGCTGGGATTACAGGTGTGAGCCACCGCACCCGGCCTTGCCAATTTATAATTTTCCATTAGCTTTTTTGAAAAATTGAGAGTTGCTCCTTGACCTCCTTTACCATCTTACTTTGCATTTGATTCTTGACTTTTCCTCCAACATTTAAATTGTCAGAACTTTTAAGCAATTTTAACATTACATATGTAATATTTCTTCTGGTAGTGAGGGAGTATTTTAATATCCCATACTGTCTGAAAGTGATAAAAATCACCTAGCATAAAAACGATTCTTGGCCAGGCACTGTGGCACACATTTCTAATCTCAGCACTTTGGGAGGCCAAGGCAGGAGAATTGCTCGTGAAGCCAGGAGTTTGAGATCAGCCTGGGTGACATAGTAGGACCATGTCTCTCCAAAAAATTTTTAAAAATTAGCTAAGTGTGGTGGCATGTGCCTGTAGCCATGTCTGCTCAGGGGGCTGAGGTTAGAGGATCACTTGAGCCCGGGAACTCAAGGCTGCAGCCAGCTATGATCACGCCACTGTGACAGCCTGGACGATAGAGCGAGGTCATGTCTCAAAAAAAAAAAAAAAGTTTGTAAAAAATGCTCATGAAGATATGAATAGTAGGGCTTGTTTTATAAAATGAGCTAACTATTAAAGTCTCAGTTCTGGCTGGGTGCAGAGGCTCACGCCTGTAATCCCAGCACTTTGGGATGCCAAGGCAGGCAGATTATCTGAGGGCGGGAGTTTGATCCGGCCAACATGGTAAGACCCCATCTCTACTAAAAATACAAAAAAATTACCTGGGTGTGATGGCGGGCGCCTGGAATCCCAGCTACTCAGGAGGCTGAGGCAGCAGAATCACTTGAACCCGGGAGGCGGAGGTTGCAGTGAGCTGAGATCAAGCCACTGCACTCCAGCCTGGGAGACAGAATGAGACTCCATCTCAAAAAAAGTCTCAGTTCTGTGACAGTGAGCATGCAATTGAATGGTTCTTCTTAGGAAAGGAGAATTAAATCATACCTATCATGCAACTGTGTTAGATAAAATTGTAGCAAAAATATTGAACCCACTTCATTTATACAACAGAATTAACTG
The DNA here is from genome assembly GCF_000001405.40 of Homo sapiens. NCBI lineage: Eukaryota > Metazoa > Chordata > Mammalia > Primates > Hominidae > Homo > Homo sapiens. Next base: position 70,054,410 of record NC_000016.10, on the reverse strand, counting down.
TACTTGAAATATAATTTATGAATTTGTAGAGAGGTAAAACTGTGTCTAAATTCTCAGCAATTAGTATCTATCAGAAAATGTGCATGTAGGTATACCCACTCTGTAAATGCTTTGTTGCACCTTTTTTGGTTTTGGGATTTTTGTTTGAGACAGAGTCTTGCTCTGCTGCCCAGGCTAGAGTGCAGTGGCGCGTTCTTGGCTAACTGCAATCTCCACCTCCCAGGTTCAAGTGATTCTTGTGCCTCAGCCTCCTGAGTAGCTGGGACTACAGGCGCACACCGCCACGCCCAGCTAATATTTGTATTTTTAGTAGAGACGGGGTTTCACCATGTTGGCCAGGCTGGTCTCAAACTCTTGACATCGGGTGATCTGCCCTGCTTTGGCCTCCCAAAGTGCTGGTTTTACAGGTGTGAGCCACCATGCCTGGCCATGCTTTCACTCTTAAAAATGCTTGGGTTTAAGAGTTGGTGGAAAAAGGGAAAAAAAAAAAAATGCCCTGATCTGGATGATGAGTTTACGGCCATCTAGTTGAGACTGTTGTAAAGTAGAAATTTTCCCTGTAAAGAGTCAGTTTCTTCCCAGGTGAAAACATTAATCAAGCAAGGATAATCTTTAAAATTAAACCTTAGTTCTAAATATGATTTTTGAGTACAAGCTTTTTTAAAGTGTTGAGTTGCTTCATTTACTTACTTGATAAAATTGAGAAGCAGTATTGCCCAGTGGTTAAGAGCACTGGTCCTAGAATTTTACTTAGTTTTAAGTTCTGGCTCTAAAATGTACTATGATTTGGGGCTTGTGAGGAAGTAATGTGTGTAGAGGCGTTAATTATTAGCACAATGCCTGGAATATAGTAAGCAACCCAGTAAGTATTAGTAATTATAAGGATCATAAATCTGATTGAATACTTACTCTGTCTGACCCTGCACTCAGTGCGAAGGGATTCAGAAATTATTTGACATTCTTCCCAGGAACTTGACATAGAATACTGTTTTTCCTTTGTTTTTTTGTTTTTGTTTTTTGAGATGGAATTTTGCTGTCGCCTAGGCTGGAGTGCAGTGGCACCGTCTCTGCTCACTGCAGCCTCCGCCTCCCAGGTTCAAGCAGTTCTCCTGCCTCAGTCTCCCGAATAGCTGGGATTACAGGCACCCCCCACCACGCCTGGCTAATTTCTGTATTTTTAGTAGAGACGGGGTTTTGCTATGTTGGCCAGGCTGGTCTCAAGCACCTGGCCTCAGGTGATCCGCCAACCTTGGCCTCCCAAAGTGCTGGGATTACAGGTGTGAGCCACTGCGCCTGGCCTGTTTTTTTTTTCTGCCAACATTATCAAACAGTTTCCTATGTACTAACTAATAGACATCTTTATACATCTTTATACAATTTAATTCTTCATTTAGGTTTGTGTCTGGCTGTTGCCCTGGTGTTGTTTATTAATGTTGATCATACAGCTATTTTTTTTTTTTTTTTAATTGATCATTCTTGGGTGTTTCTCGCAGAAGGGGATTTGGCAGGGTCATAGGACAATAGTGGAGGGAAGGTCAGCAGATAAACAAGTGAACAAAGGTCTCTGGTTTTCCTAGGCAGAGGACCCTGCGGCCTTCCGCAGTGTTTGTGTCCCTGGGTACTTGCGATTAGGGAGTGGTGATGACTCTTAACGAGCACGCTGCCTTCAAGCATCTGTTTAACAAAGCACATCTTGCACCGCCCTTAATCCATTTAACCCTGAGTGGACACAGCACATGTTTCAGAGAGCACAGGGTTGGGGATAAGGTCACAGATCAACAGGATCCCAAGGCAGAAGAATTTTTCTTAGTACAGAACAAAATGAAAAGTCTCCCATGTCTACTTCTATCCACACAGACCCGGCAACCATCCGATTTCTCAATTTTTTCCCCACCCTTCCCGCCTTTCTATTCCACAAAACCGCCATTGTCATCATGGCCCATCCCCAATGAGCCGCTGGGCACACCTCCCAGACGGGGTCGTGGCCGGGCAGAGGGGCTCCTCACTTCCCAGTAGGGGCGGCCGGGCAGAAGCGCCCCTCACCTCCCGGATGGGGCGGCTGGCCGGGCGGGGGGCTGACCCCCCCACCACCCTCCCGGACGGGGCGGCTGGCCAGGCAGAGGGGCTCACTTCCCAGTAGGGGCGGCCGGGCAGAGGCGCCCCTCACCTCCTGGATAGGGCGGCTGGCCGGGCGGGGGGCTGACCCCCCCCACCTCCCTCCCGGACGGGGTGGCTGGCCGACCCCCCCCCCCGCCTCCCTCCCGGACGGGGCGGCTGGCCGGGCAGAGGGGCTCCTCACTTCCCAGTAGGGGCGGCCGGGCAGAGGCGCCCCTCACCTCCCGGACGGGGCGGCTGGCCAGGCGGGGGGCTGATCCCCCCACCTCCCTCCCGGACGGGGCGGCTGGCTGGGCGGGGGGCTGACCCCCCCACCTCCCTCCTGGACGGGGCGACTGGCCGGGCAGAGGGGCTCCTCACCTCCCAGTAGGGGCGGCCGGGCAGAGGCGCCCCTCACCTCCCGGACGGGGCGGCTGGCCAGGCGGGGGGCTGACCCCCCCACCTCCCTCCCGGACGGGGCGGCTGGCCGGGCAGAGGGGCTCCTCACCTCCCAGTAGGGGCGGCCGGGCAGAGGCGCCCCTCACCTCCCGGACGGGGCGGCTGGCCAGGCGGGGGGCTGATCCCCCCACCTCCCTCCCGGACAGGGCAGCTGGCCGGGCGGGGGGCTGACCCCCCACCTCCCTCCCGGACTGGGCGGCTGGCCGGGCGGGGGGCTGATCCCCCCACCTCCCTCCCGGACGGGGCGGCTGGCTGGGCAGAGGGGTCCTCACTTCCCAGTAGGGGCGGCCGGGCAGAGGCGCCCCTCACCTCCCGGACGGGGCGGCCGGCCGGGCGGGGGGCTGACCCCCCCACCTCCCTCCCGGACGGGGCGGCTGGCCGGGCAGAGGGGCTCCTCACTTCCCAGTAGGGGCGGCCGGGCAGAGGCGCCCCTCACCTCCCGGACGGGGCGGCTGGCCGGGCGGGGGGCTGATCCCCCCACCTCCCTCCCGGACGGGGCGGCTGGCCCGGCAGGGGGCTGACCCCCCCTCCCCCCTCCCGGACTGGGCGGCTGGCCGGGCGGGGGGCTGACCCCCCCACCTCCCTCCTGGACGGGGCGACTGGCCGGGCAGAGGGGCTCCTCACTTCCCAGTAGGGGCGGCCGGGTAGAGGAGCCCCTCACCTCCCGGACGGGGCGGCTGGCCGGGCGGGGGGCTGACCCCCCCCACCTCCCTCCCGGACGGGGTGGCTGCTGGGCGGAGACGCTCCTCACTTCCCAGACGGGGTGGCTGCTGGACGGAGGGGCTCCTCACTTCTCAGACGGGGCGGTTGCCAGGCAGAGGGTTTCCTCACTTCTCAGACGGGGCGGCCGGGCAGAGGCGCTCCTCACATCCCAGACAGGGCGGCGGGGCAGAGGTGCTCCCCACCTCTCAGACGATGGGCGGCCGGGCAGAGACGCTCCTCACTTCCTAGATGGGATGGCGGCGGGGAAGAGGCGCTCCTCGCTTCCTAGATGGGATGGCGGCCGGGCAGAGACGCTCCTCACTTTCCAGACTGGGCAGCCAGGCAGAGGGGCTCCTCACATCCCAGACGATGGGCGGCCAGGCAGAGATGCTCCTCACTTCCCAGACGGGGTGGCGGCCGGGCAGAGGCTGCAATCTCGGCTCTTTGGGAGGCCAAGGCAGGCGGCTGGGAGGTGGTTGTAGCGAGCCGAGATCACGCCACTGCACTCCAGCCTTGGCACCATTGAGCACTGAGTGAACGAGACTCCGTCTGCAATCCCGGCACCTCGAGAGGCCGAGGCTGGCGGATCACTCGCGGTTAGGAGCTGGAGACCAGCCCGGCCAACACAGCAAAACCCCGTCTCCACCAAAAAAAAACGAAAACCAGTCAGGCGTGGCGACGCGCGCCTGCAATCGCAGGCACTCGGCAGGCTGAGGCAGGAGAATCAGGCAGGGAGGTTGCAGTGAGCCAAGATCGCAGCAGTACAGTCCAGCTTCGGCTCGGCATCAGAGGGAGACCGTGGAAGGAGACCGTGGAGAGAGGGAGGGGGAGGGGGAGGGGGAGGGGGAGGGAGAGGGAGAGGGAGAGCCATACAGCTATTTTGGCATTGCCCACAGCTATTGAGGATAAGAAATGTGATGAAGAAAGTGGTAGCTGCCATCAGTAGAAGCTTATGAAGACGCTGTTTTTAGTTTTAAGGGATCAGTTAATCTACAACTTTTCATAGAGCATTCATTGGTTTAGATCTTAATATTATCCTGAAACTGGATAATACTTTATATTTTGAATTATCCAATTAATGCAACAAACACGTGAGGGTCTATGGCATTGGAGTCATTGTTCACATTTATTCACCCAAACTTAACTATCAGTGCTGCTTTTCCTACCCACCCACTCCCCCCTGGGCTTACTCCCTGAAGAGCAAGAACGATTTATTTATTTTTATTTAATTTTTTGAGACAGTCTTGCTCTGGCGCCAAGGCTGAAGTGCAGTGTCGCAATTTCAGCTCACTGCAGCCTCTACCTCCTGGGTTCAAGCGATTCTCCTGCCTCAGCCTTCCAAGTACCTAGGACTACAGGCATACGTGACCATGGCCAGCTAATTTTTGTATTTTTAGTAGACACGGGATTTTGCCATGTTGGCCAAGCTGGTCTCGAACTCCTGGGCCTCAGGTGATCCGTCCACCTCGGCCTCCCAACGTGCTGGGATTATAGGCGTGAGCCACTGCGCCCGGCCAGCAAGAACAATTTAAACATAAGCCAGTTTACATTTACGTAAACTGCATGTGCACTCCAGAGTCAGAGATTCACCTGGGGATTGTGAATCTGCATTTCCCTCCTGCCTTTCAGTTTAAGCAGCTTGTCATTACATGGGATTTTAGTGTTTATAAATGCATGTTCACACAATGCGGCTTCTAAACTATTTTGTGTGTATATATATGTATATAGATATGTATGTGTGTGTGTGTATTGTTGTCGAGACAGGTTCTCACTCTTTTGACCAGGCTGGAGTGCAGTGGTGTGATCATGGCTCACCACCAGAGCCTCAACCTCCCAGGCTCAAGTGATCATCCCACCTAAACCTCCCAAGTAGTTGGGACTACAGGCATGCACCACCACGCCTGGCTGATTTTTGTATTTTTTGCAGATATGGGGTTTTGTCATATTGCCTAAGCTGTATTTTGTCTATTTTTTTTTTGTTTTTTTTTTTGAGACAGGTTGTTGCTCTGTCACCCAGGCAGTGGTACAATCTTGTCTCACTGTAACCTTGACCTCCTGGGCTCAAGCAATCCTCTTGCCTCAGCCTCCTGAGTAGCTGAGACCACAGGCATGCACTACCATGCCCGGCTTAATTTTTTTGTATTTTTTGTAGAGATGAGGTTTTGCCATGTTGCCCAGGCTCATCTCAAACTCCCGGACTCAACTGATCCTCCTGGCTTGACCTCTCAAAGTGCTGGGATTACAGGCATGAGCCACCACACCTGGCATATTTTATCTATTCTTAACGGAAATATTCATTATAATTCTGTTGAAAGAAATAGCTGTGTTGCACTTAGAGAACAGTATGTTGATATCCACTCTGGCATGCCTTCCTAAGGGATTTTCAGGTTAATATGACAATTGGAGAATTGAGCTAACTTTAGACCCCTGGTCTAAAGAGAAGTCAAAATTAGTAGGAGTCTGAATCCTTGCCTTCAAGAAGCTTGTAATCTAATTGGAGAGCACATTTATACTGGAAAGCACATCTATAAAACAATTCACAGTAAAGGGTGTAAGGAATCATGAGGATAAATGGCAGCTGCAACAACTGCAAGCATTCTGTCCCATTGTCCCCATAAATACAACCAACATTGTTAAGCAACAAATCTAGATTTTTGGTTTAGGAAAAAAGGCATCAGTATTGTTAGAGGGGATGGGAAAGAGCAAAAGTGGCTTTATCTGTAAAGGCTTCCTGGAATTATTGACTTGTAATTGAATAGGTGCTAGGAGAGAGATAGATAAAAGTCATGAGGATGTTTCAGACAGGATGGTCGTTGGGAGCATGAAGGTGTGAATCAAGCCAAACTGTTTATCTTATCATTTGGCTAGGTGGTAGGGGACACATGGGAGTGTCACAGCAGTGAGGATCGTCAGGAGCATCACCAGCTGACTCAGGGGTGAAGATAAATTCTCTTGACCATCATATTCCTCATTCTCCTCACTGTCAGCACTGAGGCCTTTTTCGAGTGCTTTCTGAGCCTTCTCATAGTTAAAGTGGTGAATTTTATTGAAAACACTTGTTTTAAAATTTGTCTATTTTATCTAAAAATTTGGTCGTGGCTAAATGATTACCTTGTAAGCCCTTGTGGGAGCCAGTGTGATATAATAGAGGTCAGAAACAGGAGTCAGGGACCCCAGGTTTTGGCACCTCATTGTCATTTATTAGCTCCATGACCATAGGCAAGTCGCTTAACCTCTCTGCATCTTAGTTTCCTCACCTCCAAAATGTTAGACCAGAATCAGACGTTTTTATGCTATACTTTTTTTTTTTTTTTTGAGACAGGGTTTTACTCTGTTCCAGGCTGGAGTGCAGTGACACAATCATAGCTTACTGTAGCCTCAAACTCCCAGGCTCAAGTGATCCTCCTACCTCTGCCTCCCAAGTAGCTAGGACTACAGGTGTGCACCACCACACCCAGCTAATTTATTTCTCACTATGTTGCCCAAGCTGATCTGAAACTCCTGGCCTCAAGTGATTCTTCTGCCTTGGCCTCCCAAAGAATTTTTTTCTTCTTTTCAATGACACTTTTTTTTTTTTAATTTAAAAAAAAAATTTTTTTTAATTATACTTTTTAAGTTTTAGGGTACGTGTGCACAACGTGCAGGTTTGTTACATATGTATACATGTGCCATGTTGGTGTGCCACACCCATTAACTCTTCATTTAACGTTAGGTATATCTCCTAATGCTATCCCTCCTCCCTCCCCCCACCCCACAACAAGCAACAGTGTATGATGTTCCCCTTCCTGTGTCCATGTAGTCTCATTGTTCAATTCCCACCTATGAGTGAGAACATGTGGTGTTTGTTGTTTTGTCCTTGAGACAGTTTGCTGAAAATGATGGCTTCAAGCTTCATCCATGTCCCTACAAAGGACATGAACTCACCATTTTTTGTGGCTGCATAGTATTCCATGGTGTATATGTGCCACATTTTCTTAATCCAGTCTATCATTGATGGACATTTGGGTTGGTTCCAAGTCTTTGCTATTGTGAATAGTGCCACAATAAACATACGTGTGCATGTGTCTTTATAGCGGCATGATTTATAATCCTTTGGGTATATACCCAGTAATGGGATGGCTGCATCAAATGGTATTTCTAGTTCTAGATCCCTGAGGAATCGCCACACTGACTTCCACAATGGTTGAACTAGTTTAGCGTCCCAACAGTGTAAAAGTGTTCCTATTTCTCCACATCCTCTCCAGCACCTGTTGTTTCCTGACTTTTTAATGATTGCCATTCTAACTGGCGTGAGATGGTATCTCATTGTGGTTTTGATTTGCATTCTCTGATGGCCAGTGATGATGAGCATTTTTTCATGTGTCTTTTGGCTGCATAAATGTCTTCTTTTGAGAAGTGTCTGTTCATATCCTTCGCCCACTTTTTGATGGGGTTGTTTTTTTTCTTGTAAATTTGTTTGAGTTCATTGTAGATTCTGTCTATTAGCCCTTTGTCAGGTGAGTAGACTGCAAAAATTTTCTCCCATTCTGTAGGTTGCCTGTTCACTCTGATGGTGGTTTCTTTTGCTGTGCAGAAGCTCTTTAGTTTAATGAGATCCCATTTGTCAATTTTGGCTTTTGTTGCCATTGCTTTTGGTGTTTTAGACATGAAGTCCTTGCCCATGCCTGTGTCCTGAATAGTATTGCCTAGGTTTTCTTCTAGGGTTTTTATGGTTTTAGGTCTAACGTTTAAGTCTTTAATCCATCTTGAATTAATTTTTGTATAAGATGTAAGGAAGGGATCCAGTTTCAGCTTTCTACATATGGCTAGCCAGTTTTCCCAGCACCATTTATTAAATAGGGAATCCTTTCCCCATTTCTTGTTTTTGTCAGGTTTGTCAAAGATCAGATAGTTGTAGATATGCAGCATTATTTCTGAGGGCTCTATTCTGTTCCATTGGTCTATATCTCTGTATTGGTACCAGTACCATGCTGTTTTGGTTACTGTAGCCTTGTAGTATAGTTTGAAGCCAGGTAGCGTGATGCCTCCAGCTTTGTTTTTCTGGCTTAGGAGTGACTTGGCAATGTGGGCTCTTTTTTGGTTCCATATGAACTTTAAAGTAGTTTTTTCCAATTCTGTGAAGAAAGCCATTGGTAGCTTGATGGGGATGGCATTGAATCTATAAATTACCTTGGGCAGTGTGGCCGTTTTCACGATATTGATTCTTCCTACCCATGAGCATGGAAAGTTCTTCCATTTGTTTGTATCCTCTTTTATTTCATTGAGCAGTGGTTTGTAGTTTTCCTTGTAAGTTGGATTCCTAGGTATTTTATTCTCTTTGAAGCAATTGTGAATGGGAGTTCACTCATGATTTGGCTCTCTGTTTGTCTGTTATTGGTGTATAAGAATGCTTGTGATTTTTGTACATTGATTCTGTATCCTGAGACTTTGCTGAAGTTGCCTATCAGTTTAAGGAGATTTTGGGCTGAGACGATGGGGTTTTCTAGATATACAATCATGTCATCTGCAAACAGGGACAATTTGACTTCCTCTTTTCCTAATTGAATACCCTTTATTTCCTTCTCCTGCCTCATTGCCCTGGCCAGAACTTCCAACACTGTGTTGAATAGGAGTGGTGAGAGAGGGCATTCCTGTCTTGTGCCAGTTTTCAAAGGGAATGCTTCCAGTTTTTGCCCATTCAGTATGATATTGGCTGTGGGTTTGTCATAAATAGCTCTTATTATTTTGAGATACGGTCCATCAATACCCAATTTATTGAGAGTTTTTAGCATGAAGGGTTGTTGAATTTTGTCAAAGGGCTTTCTGCATCTATTGAGATAATCGTATGGTTTTTGTTGTTGGTTCTGTTTATATGCTGGATTACATTTATTGATTTGCGTATGTTGAACCAGCCTTGCATCCCAGGGATGAAGCCCACTTGATCATGGTGGATAAGCTTTTTCATGTGCTGCTGGATTCGGTTTGCCAGTGTTTTATTGAGGATTTTTGCATCGATGTTCATCACGGATATTGGTCTAAAATTCTCTTTTTTTGTTGTGTCTCTGCCGGGCTTTGGTATCAGAATAATGCTGGCCTCATAAAATGAGTTAGGGAGGATTCCCTCTTTTTCTATTGATTGGAATAGTTTCAGAAGGAATGGTACCAGCTCCTCCTTTTACCTCTGGTAGAATTCGGCTGTGAATCCATCTGGTCCCGGATTTTTTTTGGTTGGTAAGCTCTTAATTATTGCCACAATTTCAGAGCCTGTTATTGGTCTATTCAGAGATTCAACTTCTTTCTGGTTTAGTCTTGGGAGGGTGTATGTGTCGAGGAATTTATCCATTTCTTCTAGATTTTCTAGTTTATTTGCATAGAGGTGTTTATAGTATTCTGTGACGGTAGTTTGTATTTCTGTGGGATCGGTGGTGATATCCCCTTTATCATTCAGTGAAACTTTTTACAAATAAAAACTTTACTCAAAACCCTGTTATACAAAACAGAGCTGATCTGCTAGGGAGTTAGAAGCCCCAACTGCTTACCTAACCCTTCCTTCTCAGAGTCCTCCCAGGGACCTTAAGGCTCAGGAGAACACAGCTGGAAAATCCCTGGACTAGATCCCTTAGGTCCCTTCTAGAATGTAACAATTTCTGAATCTTATGTTGATAAATGGAGTGGAATTTCTTAAAAACAATTTTGAGGAGGCAATGCAGTTTTAAATATGTACGTATTGTATGCCATGCTGTAAGATATTGCTAGATACAGTGAGCAATAGGAAAAGGTAAACACAGCTCTTCCTTTAAGCAGCACACTTAGAAGAGTAAGAGGGGAACAAAAGAGCTATAACTTATATATGATATTATATGTATTATATGTAATATATATAATTTATTGTTATAACACAACTCATACTACATAGAGATTGAAGTCAACAAGAATTTTCTCCCTAAAAATAACTACAGAGATTAAGAATAGAGAAAGGAAAATGAATGTGTATGTTTTAATTCTGCAAAAAGTTCGGGCACAGTGGCTCAGCCTGTAATCCCAGCAGAAGGATAACTTGAGCTCAGGAGTTTGAGACCAGCCTATGCGGCATAATGAGACCCTTGTATCTACAAAAAAATTGTGAAAATTAGCAAGGCATGGTGGCGAGCACTTGTATTCCCAGGTACTCAGGAGGCTGAGGTGGGAGGATCACTTGATCCCTGGAGGTCAAGGCTGCAGTGAGCCACGATCAAACCACTGTACCCCAGTCTGTGTAACAGAGCGACTGTCTCAAAAATAATATTTGTCAAAATAGCATGTCTTTGTATCACTGCCACATTGCTTGTCTGAAGCGAAGCTGACTCACTTTGTTATCATAAGTGATCTTACCAAAGACCAAGTTGTCCAGTTGCCTTGGAGTGTAGGTCATGCGTTGCCGGTACCCTGGGGCTGTGTACAATGGCCAGGCTGAGGGGACCTTGTGGTTACCCCCATGGGACTTGTAACTTGTCAAGTGGGAAGGTGGTACCAAGTGAAGAAGGGTAGGGTCCTTGGTTTTGGCCTCACGTGGTTCTTCCCAGAATGAATGGTGAAAAAATTATAATTCTGCAGAAAAATTTAAATTCTATTTTGTTTACTTTTTGGATGGGAGATAGGTGTACACATGGCACTAAAATTCAAAAGGAACTTAAGGAGGCCAGGCACGGTGGCTCACACCTGCAATCCCAGCACTTTGGGAAGCTAAGGTGGCCAGATCACTTGAGGTCAAGAGTTCGAGACTAGCATGGCCAACATGGTGAAACCCCCCGTCTCTACTAAAAATATAAAAATTAGCTGGGCATGGTGGTGTGTGCCTGTAATCCCAGCTACTTGGGAGGCTGAGGCAAGAGAATCACTTGAACCCAGGAGGCAGAGGTTGCAGTGAACAAGGTCATGCCATTGCACTCTAGTCTGGGCAACAGAGTAAGACTCCATCTCAAAAAATAAAAATAAAAACAGCAGCTTCCTCTAGGAAGTGGGGCTGGAAGACTTTTACTTTTTCTGTTATACTTTTGTACTATTGCAGGTTTTAAAATCATGTACTTCACAGTAAATCCAGAAGAAATTATGCACTTAATTTTTCTGGGTGAATTGTGTTGTAGAGGTAATAGAGGATTATTAAAATTTCTTTCTTTTTTTTTTTTTTCCCCAGATAGCAGACCCCACGTTAGCTGAAATGGGAAAAAACTTGAAGGAGGCAGTGAAGATGCTGGAGGACAGTCAGAGGTGAGTAGGACAGAGGTGACCCTGTTCAACGAGTTCAGCCTGCTGTGAAGCCAGTGGCTCTGGGTTCTTTCTGTTAAAGGTGCCTCTTGGCTTCACAGTGTCACACACAGCTTCGGCTGACTTGAAAATTGGTGTTTGTCTTGGGTAAAAGGTGCCTTGTAATTAAAGGATTTTGAAATTGAGAGGAAAGACTTATACTATTTAATTCTGTCTATTAAGAGTTTCATTTACTTAATATATTGATTTGACTCTATAAATACTTATTATATATTCAGGTCATATAGAGCACCAAGTAAACAAGAAGTGGGTGGAACTTTTTTGTTGCATATTCTTGTCTTTTCCAGAAATTCAAACGATACCTGAAACTGGAGGCAGGGAGATGTGATAAATGTGTTTGAAATCCTGCCTCAGTCACTGGGAGGTTATAGGCAACATGGTCATGTTTGCATGTTCAGGCGTTAGAAATTTGGTATGATGAAACAAATGAACAGCTTTTTCTTTTCTTTAAATTAGAAGAACAGAAGAGGAAAATGGAAAGAAGCTCATATCCAGAGATATTCCAGGCCCACTCCAGGGCAGGTAGGTGGCACTGAGGATCCATACCTTTAGTTAAGGTGTAAATTTTTGTTTGTTTGTTTCTGAGACGGAGTCGTGCTCTGTTGCCCAGGATGGAGTGCAGTGGCGCAATCTGGGCTCACTGCAACCTCCGCCTCCCGGGTTCAAGCAGTTCTTTGTTGTGCCTCAGCCTCCCGAGTAGCTGGGATTACAGGCGTGCACCACCATATCTGGCTAATTTTTGTATTTTCAGTAGAGATGGGATTTTGCCATGTTGGCCAGGCTGGTTTCTAACTCCTGACCTTGACCTCAGGTGATCTGCCCACCTCAGCCTCCCAAAATGCTGGGATTACAGGTGTGAGCCACTGTGCCCGGCCTACATTTTTCTTAAACCAGTGTCTTATCATCATTGATTTATGGTTTTAGTTTTAATGAACACATAGCAAATTTAAATAGACTTATGTGCAGTATAACATTAGAAAACTGAAGTGTCGTTGGCTGGTTGGTGATATTGCCGCACCTGCTGGCTTCTCTCCCTCTCCCATTTGGAATTTAATAGAGGCTGAGTACAGTGGGTCACACCTTTAATCCCAGCACTTTGGGAGGCCAAGGACGGAGGATCACTTGAGCCCAGGAGTTCAAGGTTACAGCGATCTGTGATTGTACCACTGCATTCCAGCCTGAGTGATAGAGACACTCTCTAATTTTGAGACAGAGTCTCGCTCTGTCGCCAGGCTGGAGTGCAGTGGTGTGATCTCGGCTCACTGCAACCTCTGCCTCCCGGGTTCAAGTGATTCTCCTGCCTCAGCCTCCCGAGTGGCTGGGATTATAGGCACCCACCACCACGCCCAGCTAATTTTTGTATTTTTAGTAGAGATGGGGTTTCAACATGTTGGCCAGGACGGTCTCCATCTCCTGACCTCAGGTGATCCGCCTGCCTTAGCCTCTCAAAGTGCTGGGACTACAGGCATAAGCCACCGCACCTGGCCAAAAATTTTTTAGAAAACCAACAATTTAATACAACCTCATGACTCAAAAGTGATACATGGAGCTAGGCACCATGGTGCACACCTGTAGTCCCAGCTGCTTGGGAGCCTGAGGCAGGAGGATGGCTTGAGTCAAGGAGTTCGAGGCCACCCTGAACAACATGGCGAGACCCTGTCAAATAAAATAAAAGTGATATACAAATTCATCATTATAACTGGTGTGTCATACTTAGTTCACTCTTGAAACCTGTCATCTATTTGGTAGACTGAGTTTTATTCTAAGAGGTATTTTAATTTGATAAGATTTATTGTTTTCATAATGTAAATGAAAGGAAAATGTCAAATTACTTATTTTTTGGCAACTGAAGCAAATCTGTCATGTTTGAGTAGCAGGAAAAATAGCAAAAAAGTAAGTAGCTGACTAAAATTTTCACAAGACATTAGCAGTTAATCTGGGATTAGTATCCCAGCCCAGCTTCCCTGAGACAAACTTATTTTTTTTTCCTGTTATAACCAGGAAACTGCACATAAGTAAACAGTACAACTCCCTTAAATATCCTTTGACCTGAATATAGATTGAACCAGGTTGCAAAAGAAAAGTATGGAGGAAGGATCACAGTGTGCCAATAACACGCCGAGATACTAATACTTTAAAACAGTCACTCCTATTCGTAGCATGAATAATGCTGATGTGAAGCTAGGTGTGAAGTGCATTCTCAGCTCAGAACAGGAGGCGGGTCCTATAAAATCTCCTCATTCCAGCCCTACTGATGGAAACCAAAGGTTTTAAGGTTTAGTCTCCTAATTCCACGGAAGTTTTCCCAGGAGAGATACTCCCAGCAGCATCTGTAATTCTCAGCCTTAAGCCACTCACTAGGAGGATTCACACTTAGGAGTGCTACCACCCAGCATTCAAGACTAGTAACATGCCAGGCACAGCTAAGTGCCATACCTTCACTGTCTGAAGCCTCCCAAATCCATAACGTCCGGCTTGGCAAGTTGGAATAGCTTGCTCGAGGTCATGTGGCAGGCAGCCAGTGTGCCTCAAGGGCCCCTGCCTGCTCCGATCTCTACAGTGTCCAAGGCCCAGAGCCCCTCTCACTTGAAGGGCAGCACCTTGGGGACAATTGGTTTGGGGACACTGTTTTGATGGCGCTTCCTTTGTTGAAAGAGGAAACCTCTTTTTAGTCTATTCTCATTAACAGACGAATAGCCCTGCGTTATTCCTGTTGCAAGTTGCCTTGCCATTGCTTGCTACTTCAGCCGTTCGAATTCTTTTCATAACTTTCCATCTCCTCATGTAATGAGCATTTCATAGCAGCGTATCTTGGATAGAAGTAAAATGTTTTTATACTCTAAGCAGATCTCAAGGTTCCCAGCTTGGGGAAGAGCTGGTAATAAATGAAGCTTGCATTGTTAGAGGCTGTTAGTCCAAACGGACAAGATCCCTATGGAGGAAAATTAGATATACCAGTGGCATTGGAGTGTTCTGTGACTGTCTAGCATTATACTATACTAAGGATGATTATATATTGTATTTTATATAATATATTTTATATAATGTATAGTATATAATACACTTATATATTATAAGTACATATTATAAGGACTTTTGGCTCTTATTACATGCTTATTAAATATTCTCTGTCTTGTACTCCAAGATTCAAATGAAATGTGTAGAAATGTTGCTAGAGCAAGACTGGTGGCTGGGCAAGGTGGCTCAGGCCTGTAATCCCAGCACTTTTGGAGGCTGAGGCAGGAGGATTGCTTGAGCTTGGTGGTTTGAGACCAGGCTGGGCAACATGGCAAAACCCTGTTTCTACCAAAAATAAAAAAATGGCTGGGCGTGGTGGCTCATGCCTGTAATCCCAGCACTTTGGGAGGCCGAGGAGGGTGGATCACTTGAAGCCAGGAGTTGAAGACCAGTCTGGCCAACATGGTGAAACCCCATCTCTACTAAAAATACAAAAATTAGCCGAGCGTGGTGGCGCACGCTTGTAATCTCAGCTACTCAGGAGGCTGAGGCAGGAGGATCGCTTACACCCGGGAGGCAGAGGTTGCAGTGAGCCCAGATTATGCCACTTCCCTCCACCTTGGGTGACAAAGTGAGACCCTGTCTCAAAAAAATAAATAAAAATAAAAAGACTGGTGACATTTATTAAAATGAAACTCATAATTAGGTAGAAGATTTATTTAACCACAAGTAAGTTTATATCAGAATTCATTTTATAATTTGAGCTTTGTTTTTTAAAAAGCATAAACTATATACCACGTTCTTTCTCTTATAGTTGCTTAAGAAAAAAAAAAACTTGAAGCAACGCCAGTTGAATGAGGGAAGTAGCGGGAGAGTGGCGGGGGATGTGTGCTGTTCCCATCAGCCCATCAACTCTTTTCATTCTGCAGTGGACAAGATATGGTGAGCATCCTCCAGTTAGTTCAGAATCTGATGCATGGAGATGAAGATGAGGAGCCCCAGAGCCCCAGGTAATGAACCTGGCAGCTTCTCTTTTCAAGTGCATGTGTTCTTGATTTCAGTAGTGATTGCGCTCTGACAAGTTGCTCAAATAAGAAGCTATATTTCATTGAGTTACATATGATATTAAAGCAATCCTTTTTATTTTCAGAAAGACATTTATATTAATATATATTTTGTGAAATGAAGGCATTTATTGAAATTAGATCCCATAGTTTTTATGGTATCATGCCTTAGAGAGGCGCTGGCAGAAGGACTGAAGAGTGAGTGTCGCATGTCTTTCTGCTGCTGTGCTTCTGCTTCCTAAGAATTGCTGTACTTGTATTCATTAGGTATTTAGTTAGTTTTCTCTTTAATTATTTTAAATTTAATGTTTTGAAATAAGTAAAATTGTTCTCTTGGTTCAAAATTCAGACAATAAAAAACGATATACAAAGGGAATTTTCCTTCCTACCTCTATCTCCCTACCGTGTTTTCTTCTCTAGAGACAGACATTACCAGTTTCTTGTGTATTCTTCCAGAGAGATTTTATATGTATTATACACCAGCAAAATGTCTATGCCCACCCTCTCTAATACATAATTACTACGCATATGCTGTGCATCTTGCATTTTTTCACTTATGTCTTGGAGTTCACTGCATATTAATGCACAGGAACTTTCTCCTTTGTCAGAGCTATGTGTTTTACTTTGAACAGATGAACCATATTTTATTTTATTGGTCCCCTGTCATGCTGCACTGTTACAAACATTGCTGCAGCAAACAACTTTCGACATGTGTCACTTCTCATAGAAGCAGGTGTCTGGAGGACAAAGTCCTGAAAGTGGAGTTGCTGTCTCAGACAGTGTGTGCTTTTGTAATTTTGATAGATCCTGCCAAATTTCCCTCCATGGAGTTGCGGCATTTAGCAGTCCCACCAGCAATGTATGAGAGTACTTTATTTCCACACTTTTCACCTGCAAAGGCGTTATCAGACTGAAGGATCATTGATAAGTGATATTCTGATGAGAAATCTGATAAGTGAGAAATGGTGTTTCAGCATAATTCGAATTTGCAGGTTTTTTAAATTATGAACCAAGTGACGTGTCTTTTTGTATGTTTTAAGACCCATTTATATTTCTAGGAACTGTCTGTTGCCCATGATCCTATTAGGTTATTTGTCTTTTTCTTATTATTCACAGTTAACAATTTTAAACTTATTCCTTCTTTTTTACAGTTATTCTTTATAAGGGAAATTAGTTTTAATTCTATATAAAACATTTTATATAATCAATTTTAATTATATATAAAATAATACCTAGTCCCCCATGAATTTGCTGTATTATTGCAATAAATAATTCTTATTTGATGCATAGACCTGAGATTTAATTCTTTTTTTTTTTTTTTTTTTTTTGAGATGGAGTCTTACTCTGTTGCCCAGGCTGGAGTGCAGTGGTGCCATTTCGGCTCACTTCAAGCTCCGCCTCCCGGGTTCACTCCATTCTCCTGCCTCAGCCTCCTGAGTAGCTGGGATTACAGGTGCCCACCACCAGGCCCAGCTAATTTTTTGTATTTTTAGTAGAGATGGGGTTTCACCATGTTAGCCAGGATGGTCTCAATCTCCTGACCTCGTGATCCGCCCGCCTCGGCCTCCCAAAGTGCTGGGATTACAGGCATGAGCCACTGCGCCTGGCCAGGATTTCTTTAAAAAATGCTTTCAGCTCATTTTACCTTAGCTCTACCCTCCACAATTCTTAAGGCTGGTATTTAATTTTTAAAATACTTTAATAGGAAATTATTTTAAAACTGTAGGTACTCAATTTAAAAAGGGCTATTTATCTCCTGGAACTCAAATTATAAAAATATTTTTCTGGCCAGGAGTGGTGGCTCATGCCTGTAATCCCAGCACTTTGGGAGGCCGAGGCAGGTGAATCACCTGAAGTCAGGAGTTCAAGAGCAGCCTGGCCAACATGGTGAAACCCCGTCTCAACTAAAAATACAAAAAATTAGCCAGGCTTGGTGGTGGGCGCCTGTAATTCCAGCTACTCGGGAGGCTGAGACAGGAGAATCACGTGAACCCAGGAGGTGGAGGTTGTAGTGAGCTGAGATCACACCACTGCACCCCAGCCTGGGCATCAAGAGGGAGACTCCATCTCAGAAAAAATATATATATTTTTTCTCCGTCTCAAAAAATAGAAAAACTTCTCACCAAACTATCACTACTGTTTATGCATTGATTTGCCTTCTGGGCCATTAAGTAGATTTCGAGTCTGACAGATATTTCTGTGGAATTCTGTGTCTCTAAGTTCTATGTCCTTTTTTATGGTTTGACTCTAATACTTTAATTTTGCTTAACAGAATCCAAAATATTGGAGAACAAGGTCATGTGGCTGTGTTGGGACATAGTCTGGGAGCTTATATTTTGACTCTGGACGAAGAGAAGCTGAGAAAACTTACAACTAGGATACTTTCAGATACCACCTTATGGCTATGCAGAATTTTCAGGTAAAGACATGATGAGTTTCCAGTGAAGACTTTTATGAGTCGGGTATAGACTGAAAGATCTTTTTTCTGGAGCTGTACTACTTGGGTTCAGATTTCCTTCTCCTTGAAAGGGGTGTTTAACCTCTCAATGTCTGTTTCATCATCTGTTAGATGGGGATAGTATTAATACCTATTTCATAGAAGCGTTGTGAGGATTAAATGAGCTAATGGACTAACGCATGTGAAGGGTGGAGAATAGAAGCACATATGTGTTTGATAGGGTCAGCAGTTATTTATTTGTGGGGTATCTAATTGGCACATGTCAGTAGAAGATAGAGCAATGATCTAGATTCAAATACAGTTGTCCCTTATCCTTGGGTGTCCTTGGGGGATTGGTTCTTGACCTCCCATCCTCACCCTATGGATAAAAAAATTCATGGATGCTCAAATCCCTTATATAAAATAGCACAGTATTTTCATGTAACTGAGGCACATCTTCCCATATACTTTAATCTCTTGATTACATATAATACCTAATACGATGTAAATGCTGTGTAAATAGTTGTTACACTGTATTGTTTAGGGAATAATGACAAGCAAAAAAGTCTGTAGATATTCAGTACAGAGGCACCCATCTTTTTAAATTTCTGAAGATTTTTTACTCATGCTTGGTTTAATCCACAGATGCAGAACCCACAGGTTCAGAGGGCCAGCTGTGCTTTGAAAATATTAGCTTGCGTTTTATTAGAAAGAAAACTCTGAGGCCAGGCGCGGTGGCTCACGCCTGTAATCCCAGCACTTTGGGAGGCTGAGGTGGGCGGATCACAAGGTGAGGAGATCAAGACCATTCTGGCTAACATGGTGAAACCCTGTCTCTACTAAAAATACAAAAAGATTAGCCGGGCGTGGTAGTGAGCACCTGTAGTCCCAGCTCCTCTGGAGGCTGAGGCACTGCACTCTAGCCTGGGCAACAGAGCGAGACTCTGTCTCAAAAAAAAAAAAAGAAAGAAAAGAAAAGAAAACTCTGTCATAAGGAAGATGAATATGTGCTATGAAACTGAAATTTGTTTTATTCTGTGATAATCCTGGCAGTACTAAGGAATTACAACAGATGAAGGATTCAGTAGGAGACATAGGACTAGTGGCATTGGGTTTATGCTGTTACTTTTATGGAGAAGGAATGTTTGCCTAACTTGAGACATTTATCTTGAGAGACCCTCACTTTCAGTGTTGGGAAAGAACTTGGCCAAGCAGGAGTATAAGTTTGCCCAACTTTATTAAAGGAGCAGTGTTCTGTTGTTCTAGTAAAAATCTATTGCCTGTAATTGAAATTGTCCCTCCTCCTCTAGGAGATGGAGCCTCAGCAGATTATAGTAAAACCAAAAGCTAGCCTGACTAGCTTTTTTATTTTTTTGAGATGGAGTCTTACTCTGTCGCCCAGGCTGGAGTGCAGTGGCACAATCTCGGCTCACTGCACCCTCCACCTCCTGGGTTCAAGTGCTTCTCCTGCCTCAGTCTCCCGAGTAGCTGGGACTACAGGCACTCACCACCACACCTGGCAATTAGTAGAGACAGTTGTTTCACCATGTTAGCTAGGCTAGGCTCAAAACTCCTGACGTCAGGTGATCCACCCGCCTTGGCCTCCCAAAGTGCTGAGATTACAGGCGTGAGCCACCACACCCAGCCTCTGACTAGCATTTTTGACAGTTTTATTTACTTTGGATGTTTTAGGGCTGAAACTCTGCTATGAACTATGCCTGTGTTATCCAGTGCTGGCCTTAGTTCATAATAAGCTAGAACCATGATCTTCAGGCTTTTTATATCTGAGAATTCCTGGTCTCTACTTGTTTTCATAGTTTCTGCTCTTTATGGAATTGGGTATGGATGGAGGGTTATTGTCTCGCTGCTTGGTAACCTCAGCTGTAATGAGGTGTCAGCCATCTATGATGAGGATGTTTCACATTCCTGTCCTCTCTGCCTGATAAAAGTGACAATTCCTAGCTTGAGAAAAGAATTGTCTCCATGATTGTAAGGTTGACTTATACAATCCTTAACTAGAAATAAGAGCATATTAATATGTATCTCTTAACAGATATGAAAATGGGTGTGCTTATTTCCACGAAGAGGAAAGAGAAGGACTTGCAAAGATATGTAGGCTTGCCATTCATTCTCAATATGAAGACTTCGTAGTGGATGGCTTCAGTGGGTTATATAACAAGAAGCCTGTCATATATCTTAGTGCTGCTGCTAGACCTGGCCTGGGCCAATACCTTTGTAATCAGGTAATGTGGTATCAGGTGGCTATTTTAAAGAAATAATGTTTTATTTTGTTCTGAAAGTTTTAAAGTTGACCCGTTTGTCTAGTTGCTGTTCTTGTTGAGTGAAAAGAAAGATGGTCTTATATGCTTTTGTCATATTTGTAAAAATTACTGAATTTAGAAATAAGGAATATGTGATAGATTACCCAAGGGCATCCACAGTCAACATTTTCTCTTTTTTCCCAGACTTTAATCGAAGGGGGTGTGTTTGTGTTTATATGGTTGTATCTGGCTCTTTTCACTTACTGTTAAAACAGGAATATATCATTTTAATAATAATTTTTCAACGTATAGTTTATTTTTAATGCCTTCATGGTATTTCTTCAAGTGAATATATAGTAATTAACTGTTGCCTTTTTGGACAACTAAGAGTGTTTGCATTCTCTTGCTTTCTGTGACCATTTTCACGTAATGTTCTTTGTGTAGTGCTGTTAAGGACTTCTCTGTGCATAAAGCTCTTCCTGTATTTTATTTAGGGTTATGGTCCTCAGATGGATTTTCAGAGTCAGTCTAGAATTGCTGGATCAAAGAGCATGACTATTTTTTTTTTGTTTTTTGTTTGTTTTTTGTTTTTTTTGAGACAGAGTCTTGCTCTGTCGCCCAGGCTGGAGTGCAGTGGCGTGATCTCGGCTCACTGCAAGCCCTACCTCCCGGATTCATGCCATTCTCCTGCCTCAGCCTCCCAAGTAGCTAGGACTACAGGTGCCCGCCACCACGCGCAGCTAATTTTTTTGTATTTTTTTTAGTAGAGATGGGTTTCACCGTGTTAGCCAGGATGGTGTCGATCTCCTGACCTCGTGATCTGCCCACCTCAGCCTCCCAAAGTGCTGGGATTACAGGCGTGAGCCACCGCGCCCAGCCGAGCATGACTATTTTTAAAGTTCATGGTGCTTCTAGCCCAACTGGGAGGACTACATCGAGATAAGACACTGTTAACCGTCTTTGCCAAGAACGTTTAAAAGCAAAACCGTAGGGTTGGAGGATTCCTCTTTTGTAAGCTGTAGGAGTCCCAGGGGGATGTATGGGAGACACTTAGTGACTTTTAAATTGATTCTGAGCTGTGATCACTGGTGTTAAGAAATTATGTCCTCTTCTTGAGGGGTGTACAAAATGGGGAGTTTAATAATAATCCTCTGAAACGTGAAATGAATTACTTAGTGTCTACTGCATGCCAGGCTCTTGCGGACACAAGGCTGTTTGGGGACAACAGTCTAACCTTCAAAAGATGTGTAAGAGTGTTCTGTTGGGAATGGCAGCAGGCAGAGCAGCATATATAAGATGGTTATGTTCACATTTTTTAAAGTGTGTGTATCCTTTATACCTATGTTTTTGTACCTAGAAAAATACGTAAATTTATACCTAGAAAATATCTGAAAGGTTATGTATTAAACTGTTAACGGGGTGGATTGGTGGCTTATAGGGTAGGGGGCTAGGCATTTTCACTTCTAATACCTGTGTTTTTTTTTGAGGATTTGTTTTACTTGGGTGTCACGTTCATAATTTTTAATCCTTTAAGGAGAAAATGTGCTTATTAAATTTTTGGTCTCTGAATGCTACCGAGTCTTAGTCATACAGAACAATATGCTGCAACTGTTTACAATTCCTAAAACTGTAAACTCCTCAAGGACTTGGAGGCTAAACATGAAGAATATAAAATTAAGTTGACAATCACTGTCTCTGTGCATAACACTGACTTCACTTCTCTTGAGAAATGTGCATCTGCTAATCCATATTTATTACTTTTTAGGGGTGGGTGAACCCATAAATAAGATACTGTTCTTTGAATGCCTTTAGCTGGTGTTATTTACCAGTAATGCTTGGAGAAAGAATCCAAAATTACCCCCACTAAAATGCTCACGACCCAATTGTTTCTGTGTTTGTCAAAGTGTTTCTGGTATATTCTAGAATATACCAAAGATAATTACTTGAATCATTTAGAAAATTTTACATTATATCCTCTTATAAGGCACTTGGAAATTCACCCTTTTTTTTTTTCGGCTTGGCTTTCTAAATGTACTTTAACATCAATTTATAATATTAAGAGTTCCTAAGGAGAGAGATTTCTTAGAAGAATAATCGTGGCTTGTCTTAGAGCCACAGCCTTTCACAATCTGAAGTGAATGGTGCAGAGAGCTTTCTTGTCAAGTCGTATGTTTCTTCCTGCAGCTCGGCTTGCCCTTCCCCTGCTTGTGCCGTGTACCCTGTAACACTATGTTTGGATCCCAGCATCAGATGGTGAGTTCTACTTTTGGTTTGTAAAATCATGTGGGATTGTGTTTGGAAACTGCCTTTCAAGTGAAGTTCTTTTTGCTGGCCTCCAGATAATTAGTAACTTACTGATGTATTGCTTGGACCCTTGCATTGTGTAATATATGCTTCTGTTAATATGTGAATGTCCATGAAGGTTGGTTGGTATATAGGTCAGGAGCACCTGGCTTTTAAGGAGTCTTGTAATTACTGTATCGCCTGCTTTAAGTAGAAACATGGCAGCTCAATTAAGCACCAGAAATTTCTTCTGAAGCTCCTACTTTTAATGAGTTAGCACTGTTGCCTGGATTTATGAATGGGCAGATTTTGAAAATGAGGTTCTTCATTGTCATCGTGGAATTGAGTTCTGCTTAATTTCAGACATGCAGGTGATAAATCTCTCCTTAATGATTCCAGAAGGAAAAGGAAGGGATGGATTTTAGAGTTTTTTATTTCTTTTGTCAAGGTAGTTTTATTTTCTAGTTCAGGTACATCAGTGAGTAATAGTAGAGATACATTCATGGCTGTTTTAGGAGAGTTAAGAGAACATTTCATTTAAATGTAAATGTTTAAAATCAAAGAAATGTTCCTGCATATGTACAGTTTTTACCTTTAATCTTGTTTAACTGATTTTTCTAGTCTTCAAGGAAAACTATTTGATTTTCACATCTATGATGAGAGAAAACAGAAAAATTGTCAAGAGTAAGAATTGATTTGACATTACTTTTGAGAGTTATCTGCTTCTTTTGCAAGTCATAATTTTTCATTTTATAGCTTTTATACTAGGCACCTCATTTTTTAATGATTTGTTTTGGTTCCAGGATGTTGCCTTCCTGGAGAAACTGATTAAAGATGATATAGAGCGAGGAAGACTGCCCCTGTTGCTTGTCGCAAATGCAGGTAGGTAGCATGATGCTGAATCTACCATTTTGAATATATAGGAGCGAGGCTACATCCTCAGCCTATAAAAGATAAAGTCTTAAGAAATGTGTGTGTACCACATGTTTAATTAAGATAGTCCATGTCCACATTGTAGCAAAAACTGTAATAGTAAGGTTGGCTCGTTAGATTTTTCTTTAATCGTTGGTTTGTTTTGGAAGTTATTTTATGTGTGTGTATACTTTTTCATTTAGATTGTAAATGCTTCTCTATCTTCTCCTTCATGTACTTCTTTTCCCTGTTCTAAACTGAATTTTATTTTATTTTTTTGAGACAGAGTCTCACTCTGTTGCCCAGGCTGGAGTGCAGTAGCACAATCTCACCTCACTGCAATCTCTGCCTCCCGGGTTCAAGTGTTTCTCCTGCCTCAACCTCCTGAATTGCTGGGATTACAGCTGCGTGCCACCACATCTGGCTAATTTCTTGTATTTTTAGTAGAGACAGGGTTTCACTATGTTGGCCAGGCTGGTCTCGAACTCCTGACCTCAGGTGGTCCGCCTGCCTCAGCCTCCCAAATCGCTGGGATTACAGGCATGAGCCACTGTGCCTGGCCTGAATTTTTAAATGACACATTTAAGCCAGGTGTGGTGGCACATGCCTATAGTCGCCCTACTCAGGAGACAAGCAAGATGCTGGCTTAAGCCCAGAAGTTCAATACCAGCCTGGGTAACATAGCAAGACCCCATCTCAATAAATAAAAATAATTGTACTGACATTGTAAGATTGTTGTAAAAATTAAACAAGAAAATTCATAAAATGTCACACTTAAATATCTACCTTATAGGCGGCAGAGCAACTACCACTTGCTGCTCCACTTATCTCATTCAGCATCATACTTGAAATCTAAGACAGTGCAATAAGGTAAAAAAAAAACTGACAGATTAGAAAGGAAGAAATAAAACTTTGTTTGTAGGCATGATTGTATAGATAGAAAACTAAAGAAAAGCTACTGGAACTAATGATCAAATCTAAACCATTTTCTGGATTTTTATATACCAGCAAAGAAGAATTGGAAATTGAATTTTAAATGTCATTTATAATAGGATCAAAAAAGATGAAAAATTTATGGATAAATTTAACAAAATATATGCAAGATCTGTACATTGAAAACTAAGAATGATACTGAGAGAAATTCAAGAAGACCCAAGAACGATATGCCATACACATGGGTTGGAAGACTAAGTATTAAGTCAGTTCTTCCCAAACTAATCTGTAGATTCAACTCGATACCTCTTAAAATCTCAACAGGCTACAATTTCTTATAGAACTTGATGAGCTAATTCTAAAGTTTATATAGAAATACAAGGGACCTAGGAACAGCCCAAAGAATTTTGAAAAAGAACAAAATTGGAAGACTTACCTTGTCATACTTCAAGACTTCTGTAAAGCAGCAAGTAAGATTGTGTGAGATTAACCAAATAAAAAAGAGAATTCAGAAATAGACTCATGTGAAGTATATGGACATTTCAGGTTTTTACAGATGCCTGAGTAATTCGAGGGAGAAAGGACAATCTTTTTACATCAGTGGTCTTAGAGCTTGGATATCCATATGGAAAAAAAACTGAATCTTAACCCTTATCTTATTCTCTGTATATATAAATATTAACTATAAATGGTTCATCAACCTAAGCATAGATCTAAGACAATAAAATGTCTCGAAGAAAATACAGTAGATCTTTGTGACCTTAGGTTACGTTTCTTAGGATACAAAATATGTGAACCATAAATTGTACTTTATCAAAAATTAAAAGCATTAGCTGTTTGAAAGCCCCTATTAAGAAGGTGAAAGGCAAGTTGCAGACTGGGAGAAATATTTGCAAAACATTTTTTTCTTATTTCTTTTTTTTTTGTCTTTTTCTATTTTTATTTTTTATGTTTTTGAGATGGAGTTTTGCTGTGCTGCCCAGGCTGGAGTGCAGTGGTGCGACCTTGGCTCACTGCAACCTATGCCTCCCAGGTTCAAGCGATCCGCCTGCCTCAGCCTCCTGAGTAGCTGGGATTACAGGCGCATGCCACCATGCCAGGCTAATTTTTATATTTTTAGTAGAGACGAGATTTCGCCATGTTGGCCAGGCTGGTCTCAAACTCCTGACCTCAGGTGGTCCACCTGCCTTGGCCTCCCAAAGTGATGGGATTACAGGCGTGAGCCACCACACCCAGCCAGCCACTGTCCCAGGCCTGTCTTCTTTTAAAATTTCTTTTTCATTCTTTTCCCCAGAAGCTACAAAACATTTGACAAAGAACTTGTATCTAAAATATATAAAGAACTGTTACAACTCAATAAGGACACGAGCAATACAATTTTTTTTTTTTTTTTTGAGATGGAGTCTTATTCTGTTGCCCAGACTAGAGTGCAGTGGTGCGATCTTGGCTCACTGCAACCTCTGCCTCCCGGGTTCCAGTGATTCTTCTGCCTTAGCCTCCCGAGTATCTGGGATTACAGGCATGCGCCACCACACCTAGCTAGTTTTTTTGTATTTTTAGTAGAGATGGAGTTTCACCGTGTTGGCCAGGCTGGTCTTGAACTCCTGACCTTAGGTGATCTGCCTGCCTTGGCCTCCCAAAGTGCCGGGATTACAGGTGTGAGCCACTGTGCCCGGCCCACAATACAGTTTTTTAAATGAACAACAGATGTGAGCAGATACTTCATCAAAGAAAATGAAAATGTATAGCACTTGAAAAGATGTTTAACATCATTAGTCATTAGTGAAATGCAAATTAAGATCACCGTGAGACATTACTACCTGTCTGTTAGACTAGAGAAATTACAGGTGGCTCACACTTGTAATCCCAACACTTGAGAAGGCTGAGACGGCGAGATCAATTGCCCTCAGGTGTTCGAGACCAGCCTGGGCAACATGGCGAAAGCCCTAGGAAATCTCTACAAAAAATACTAAACATTAGCCAGGTGTGGTGATGTGTACCTGTAGTCCCAGCTACTCCAGAGGCTTTGGTGGGAGGTTGGCTTGAACCCAGGAGAGAGAGGTTGCAGTGAGCCAAGATTGTGCTACCATACCCCAGCCTGGGTGACAGAGCGAGGTCCTTTCTTAAAAAAAAAAAAAAAAAAAAAAAAAAATTCTTTAAAATATTATGTCAGGCCAGGCACTTTGGGAGGCCGAGGCGGGCAGATTCTGAGGTCAGGAGATCAAGACATCCTGGCTAACATGGTGAAATCCCATTTCCACTAAAAATACAAAAAAAATAGCTGGGTGTGGTGGTGGGCACCTGTAGTCCCAGCTACTTGGGAGGCTGAGGCAGGAGAATGGCGTGAACTCGGGAGGCAGAGGTTGCAGTGAGGTGAGATCGCACCACTGCACTCCAGCCTTGGTGACAGTGAGACTCTGTCTCTATAAAAAATAAATAAGTAAATAAATAAAATTTGCCAGGCGTGGTGGTGGGCACCTGTAGTCCCAGCTACTCGGGAGGCTGAGGCAGGAGAATGGCGTGAACCTGGGAGGCGGAGCTTGCAATGAGCCGAGATTGTGCCACTGCACTTCAGCCTGGGCGACAGAGTGAGACCCTATCTCAAAAAAAAAAAAAAAAAAAAAAAAAGGCAAAAAACTACAGTGACAGAAGCAGATCAGGATTTTCCAGGGCCAGTGAGGAGTCAGGGAAAGGGTAATTATATTGGGGTTGATGGGATTTGGGGGTTGATGGAAGTATTCTGAATCTTGATTGTG
The DNA here is from genome assembly GCF_000001405.40 of Homo sapiens. Classification (NCBI taxonomy): domain Eukaryota; kingdom Metazoa; phylum Chordata; class Mammalia; order Primates; family Hominidae; genus Homo; species Homo sapiens. The sequence goes on along the minus strand of NC_000016.10, from coordinate 70,027,268 downwards.
TTGATGGTTACATGCTCTATATATTTGTCAAAACTCATTGGACCGTATACTTACATGAGTGAGTTTTGTTGCATGTAAATCATACTACAATAGGCCGAGCATGGCAGCTCATGCCTGTAGTCCCAGCACTTTGGGAGGCTGAGGCAGGCAGATCACAAGGTCAGGAGTTCAAGACCAGCCTGACCAACGTGGTAAAACCCCATCTCTACTAAAAATGCAAAAATTAGCCAGGTGTGGTGGTGTGCACCTGTAGTCCTAGCTACTTGGGAGGCTGAGGCAGGAGAATTGCTTGAACCTGGGAGGTGGAGGTTGCAGTGAGCCAAGATCGCACTACTGCACTGTAGCCTGGGTGACAGAAAGGGACTCTGTCTCAAAAAAAAAAAAAAAAAAAAAAAATCATACTACAATAAAACTGCTTATTTAGGCTGGGTGTGGTGGCTCATGCCTGTAATTCCAGCACTTTGAGAGGCCAAGGCGGGAAGATCACCTGAGGTCAGGAGTTCAAGACCAGCCTGGCCAAAATGGCGAAACCCTGTCTGTACTAAAAATATAAAAATTAGCTGGTTGTGGTGGCAGGCACCTGTAATCCCAGCTACTTAGGAGGCCGAGGCGGGAGAATAGCTTGAATCCAGGAGGCTGAGATTGCAGTGAGCCTGGGCAACAGGGTGAGACTCTGTCTCAAAAAAAAAAAAGACAAAATAGAAAAACCACATAAATATTCACTTTATTGCCAACAGGAAAACCATCACTTCCTGCCTTATTGTTTAAAAACACAAATTCACCCATATTCAATCACATGATAAACTGGAGGGGCTGCAGTTTGCATGTGACTGAGTGACTTGCCAGTGTGATTATGTTGCAGATGTCAGAAGACACATGTCAAGGGTTAGTCACCAGACGTTGCCAAGAAATATGAAAAGAGAATCTGAATGCGGTCCGGGCACTAACACAGCAGTACGCTTTTATTTTGCTGGAAGAGCCTGTGGCACAGCCCATGCATTGACATTTGATCTTGTTTCAGCTAAACTAAATGTGTCTGTTAAGATTTTTTTTTTTTTTAATTTGAGGTAGATTTAGGTATGAGGGGAAAAGTTTTCAGCCCTTTTCCTGGCATAGACCTTACAAAAGAACTACTTTCTTTAGCTGTGTTTGTTGAGGCCGTTGGTGAGGGTTTGAAATCTTTTTAGTTGGCTTGCTGCTAACTGGAAATTGAGGACGGTTGGGGGATGCCTGACTCCACGTTTTAACTAAGCTCTCTCTGAAAAGGGATCTCCCCAGCAAAATCTGTAGTGCAATCAATTACCAAGGGAGCGGCTGAAAGTGCTTAATATGCTTAAGCTGGCTTCAGAATGCATGTTCTGTATTACAAAGAACCTGGGTGGAAACAAAACAAATTCATCTATATGTTTTGTTTGTTTTTTGAGCTGGAGTCTCGCTTTGTTGCCCAGGCTGGAGTGCAGTGGCACGATCTCAGCTCACTGCAAGCTCTGCCTCCCGGGTTCACGCCATTCTCCCGCCTCAGCCCCCCGAGTACCTGGGACTATAGGCACCCACCACTACACCCTGCTAATTTTGTTTTTGTATTTTTAGTAGAGACAGGATTTCACCGTGTTAGCCAGGATGGTCTCGATCTCCTGACCTTGTGATCCACCCGCCTGGGCCTCCCAGAGTGCTGGGATTACAGGTGTGAGCCACTGTGCCCAGCCCACCTATATGATTTTTATAAAGGGCATATCTAAATCAAAATAATCCAGGAAGTGACGATAAAATAAAAAGGTGGAAAAGTTTATCTTGGACAAATGCTGACAAAATGAAAGTACCATAGCCATATTAGTGTGGGATAAAATAGACTTCATATTGATGAAAGATGTAATCTCCTAAAAGAAATAACAGTTATACCTGCTGGGCACGGTGGCTCATGCTTATAATCCCAGCACTTTGGAAGGCCGAGGCAGGTGGATCACGAGGTCAGGAGTTCGAGACCAGCCTGGCCAACGTAGTGAAACCCCGTCTCTACTAAAAATACAAAAAAATTAGCCGGGCGTGGTGGCCGGTGCCTGTAATCCCACCTACTTGGGAGGCTGAGGCGAGGAGAATTGCTTGAACCTGGGAGGTGGAGGTTGCAGAGTTGAGATCATGCCACTGCACTCTAGCCTGGGCGACAGTGTGAGACTCCATCTCAAAAAAAAAAAAAAAAAAACAGTTATGAATGCTTGTGAACATAACTTTAAAATATATAAAGGAAAGCTAAAGGAAAAGTCTGATGTAACACAAGTATATATTGACAAACCACAATCTTGGTGGGAGATTTGAATATATTTCTCATGAGTCAGCAGATCAAGTAGATAGAAAATAAGTATATAAAAGATTTCAATGACATAATTAGATACATGTAATAGAGATTACATACTCTTCAAAGCTTGTAATAAGTCAACTCACAAACACTGATTTTAAGTCCTTCCACAAAGAAAATCTCAATAAAATAGGGATATAATAAGTCACTTCCCTCCTAGGGCGATAATGTGTATAAAAGTGTTTAAGGTATAAAGCCTTAGAAAACATTTGTTCCTTTTAATGCCCTGATTTGTTTTATCCTAGGAACGGCAGCAGTAGGACACACAGACAAGATTGGGAGATTGAAAGAACTCTGTGAGCAGTATGGCATATGGCTTCATGTGGAGGGGTAAGCCGGCGGTGAGGCTGGTGGCTCCATTCGGGCCTGCACAGAGTCCTCATGAGGACTGGACATCCAGGCTCTCACTTTGGTGACATTTATCACGAAGGGCTCTTCGGGTCACAGATCACAAAATAACCCAAATTGGCTTAAGCCCAAAGAGATCTTACTGGCTCACATAACTACAAAGAGCAGTGTTATGACTGCCTCAGGCACAACATCAACCAGGATCCAGTGTGTTACTCCCACCTCTGCTCCCCCAGTCACAGGCACTGGGCTTGGTTTCCTCTACCTGTGGACAGATCTTCCTGTTACAGTGCAAAGTAGCTGCAGAAACTCCATCCTTCTTTCCAGCTTCGTGGTCAGCTGGAAGTCCTAACAGAAGTCTCATATTGAACCAGCCACTGTGGCCAGGGAGAAGTAATCCTCTGATAGTTCAGGTTCTTTGCCCTCCTCTGGAGCAGATAGTGGTGTCTCCTCCCCACAAAGCTCATGTTCTGCTGGAAGAAATGGAGGTGGCGCCCCGGAAGGCTATTGTAGGGCCATTAAGAGAAGCAGGGGGAACGGACGTGGGCAGCCAGAGTAGCCCATATCCACCACATCATACAGGGAGGTTTCTTTTTGATCCCCAAGTAAAGAATGATAAAACTGGAAAATAAGATCCATGAAAGAGAATAATACTCCCATTATATTAAATGAGCGGGGATAGTTCCTGAGACACACTTTTATTAAAGTGCATTTTCAGGATTTTCCTTCATATGTATAAAGCACACCTTCTGTTGCTGTTATGAAAGCTAATAACATTAAAAATATACTTAAGTGTCAACTTGCAACAGCACAGCCTTTATTTTTTTAAGTACATGGTGAGTAAGCAACATTAAATAATTAGTTCTTAGACTGGTGTTTTTTCTTCCAGTGTGAATCTGGCAACATTGGCTCTGGGTTATGTCTCCTCATCAGTGCTGGTATGTTGTTGATTTACTGAATATTGGTGTTTTTAAGAATGAATTTAAAATCACTCAATCCCTCCTGGCTCTTCACAGTTTTTATGAATGGAGGAGGGTGTTAGGTTTGTGTATTCTGATAATCTAACAAAGAGTTGTTCTTGTTTTGGTAGGCTGCAGCCAAATGTGATAGCATGACGATGACTCCTGGCCCGTGGCTGGGTTTGCCAGCTGTTCCTGCGGTGACACTGTATAAACACGACCCTGCCTTGGTAAGTTTCCCCTCACTGCGGAGGGAGTGGGTGTGGCTAATACACATTATTGGCTTTGGGGGCAAAATCCAGAAAAATACAGGAAAAAGTGAAAAATACCCATAATTTCACTTCTATTTCATTTTTTTAAAGAGAAACTTGTAAGGTGAGACTTTTTTTAATGACATTTTATGATTGTATAATATTCTGTCACAATTTAATTATTCTCCATTTATGAACTTATAGGATGTTTTCAGTGTTTTGTTACTGAAATAATGAAGCAGTGAACGTCTTTCTGTGTTTCTAATTATTTCCTTAGAATAGGTTCCCAGATGTGGAATGACTGAGTGGGGGAGTTTTAAGCCTCCTGATCCACATTGTCCAATAGGTTGTAACTTTTTTTTTTTTTTTTTTTTTGATATGGAGTCTCGCTCTGTCACCCAGGCTGGAGTGCAATGGTGAGATGATCTTGGCTCACTGCAACCTCCACCTCCTGGGTTCAAGTGATTCTCTTGCCTCAGCCTCCCAAGTAGCTGGGATTACAGGCATGCGCCACCACGCCCGGCTTATTTTGTATTTTTAGTAGAGGCAGTGTTTCACCACGTTGGTCATATTGAACTCCTGATCTCAGGTGATCTGCCTGCCTCGGCCTCCCAAAGTGCTGGGATTACAGGCATGAGCCATCGCACCTGGCCACATTTTTTTTTTTTTTTTTAATCGTAGTTGTGGGCCAGGCGTGGTGGCTCATGCCTGTAATCCCAGCACTTTGGAAGGTTGAGGCAGGCAGATCGCTTGAGCCTAGGAGTTTGAGACCAGCCTGGGCAACATGGTGAAACCTCGTCTCTATAAAAAAAAACAACAACAAAGAATTGGCTAGGCATGGTGGTGTGAGCCTGTAGTCTCAGCTACTCATGAGGCTAATGTGGGAGGGCTGATTGAGCCCTGGAGATCAAGGCTGCATTGAGCTATGATCACACCACTGCACTGCAGCCTGGGTGACAGAATGAAAACGAAACCTGTCACACACAAAAAATAATAATAATGTGGTTCTTGATAATATAGGTCAGCGTGCAAAATAAGGTTTAAGTGATTTCTGCTAAAACAATGCTGTCTTGCTCAGTTAATAATGGCCAGGTGTTTGAGGATGCTCAGAGCTACCTTCGAAGTGGGGAGTCTCCTAGGTTCTGGGATGTGACCCATCTGGGTTTTCCACTGGCTTTTCCTGGCTTTGCCACTCCTGAGCTGTGAACCCTTGGACAAACCGAGGTCTCTGAGTGAAGTTACCTAGAATACTTAGCTCACAGAGTTGTTGGAAGATCACATGGATAATGCAAGCCTAGTGACTAGTATGGCATCTAGCCCACACTAAGTGGGTAGCAAATGGTAGCTGGTTAGTTCTATTATGAGATTGCAATGGCTTTGATTAATAAACCTCTTTTGGCTTTTTTAGACTTTAGTTGCTGGTCTTATATCAAATAAGCCCACAGACAAACTCCGTGCCCTGCCTCTGTGGTTATCTTTACAATACTTGGGACTTGATGGGTTTGTGGAGAGGATCAAGCATGCCTGTCAACTGGTGAGTAGAAGCCTGACATTTAAATGAAAGACTCCTTGGCCACAGCAGAGACAGAAAAACATCTCATTTCTGTACCTTCCATCAAGAGTGTTGTTGTCTGGATTGACTGTCTCATGAGCCAGAGACTAATCGCCCTGCATGTAAATATTTCTTGTTCAAAGTTCTGGGAGAAAGTGCTGGGTTGTCTGTCCCAGCATTTGTGTGCAGATGAAATCAGATGAAAAGGAACACCACTGTCAGCATGGGATCAGAAAAGAAGTCACAGATGACTTCCAAGGAGTGGAGAAGTGTGCAAAAGATGGAGGGGTGGGGAGCGAGTGTTCCCCTTGATTGACTGACTACGGTGAGGGAACAGGAAGGTCACAGGGTGGTTATGGAGGGCATGGATATTTTAAAAACCAGCTGGCTTGGGTTTCCAAATTGCAGGGCTCTTGGGGACAATTCTAATTCTCTCTCCATTTTAGGTGTGTTCTAATTGTGAAAAATATATAATTATGCTATATTTCAGTGTTTTAGAGCATTCAGCCTTCTATAACAAAATACCTTAGAGTGGGTAATTTATAAACAACAGACATTTATTGCTTACAGTTCTGGACGTGAGAAGTCTCAGATCAAGGTGCCAGGAGATTCCATGTCTGGTGAGGGCCCGTCCTCATAGATAGTACCTTGCATGTGGCCTCACATGGCAGAAGGGGTGAGCACAGTCCCTTGAGCCTCTTTCAGAAGGTCACTAATCCTGTTTGTGAGGGTTCCATCCTCATGCCCTAATCACCTCCCAAAGGCCTCAACTCATTTGGGATTAGGTTTCCACATAGGAGTTTTGCGGGGACATAAATATTCAGATCATAGCATTTAGAAAGCAAAAAAACAGGCTGGGCACGGTGGCTCACACTTGTAATTCCAGCACTTTGGGAGGCTGAAGCGGGCGGATGACGAGGTCGTGAGATCAAGACCATCCTGGCTAACACGGTGAAACCCCGTCTCTACTAAAAATACAAAAAATTAGCTGGGCGTGGTGGCGGGCGCCTGTAGTCCCAGCTGCTCAGGAGGCTGAGGCCGGAGAATGGTGCGAACCCGGGAGGCAGAGCTTGCAGTGAGCCGAGATCGCGCCACTGCACTCCAGCCTGGGTGACAGAGCGAGGCTCCGTCTCAAAAAAAAAAAAAAAAAAAAGCCAAAAAACAGGGTCATGTTTACTCAGGGTTAGAGCTGAGCCCTACCTAAGCTCAGAAGCACGTCACCTCCATTTTCTTACCTGTGAAATATAAATTATATGACAAGGATTGCCAGGATGGCTCGAGGAACGAATACAGGTAGAGCTCTTGCAGTAGTGTCTGTTCATATAGTAAGTTATGCACATGGGTTGAAATCTTTGTTTTAAATATATTCTTGGGGAGTTAGCACTTCCTCAAGTATCATTTCTATATTTAAGAAACATAGGTAGCCGGGTGCAATGGCTCACGCCTGTGATCCCAGCACTTTGGGAAGCCGAGGTGGGCAGATCATGAGGTCAGGAGATCAAGACCATCCTGGCTAACACGGTGAAACCCTGTCTCTAATAAAAATACAAAAATTAGCCGGGCATGGTGGCGGGTGCCTATAGTCCCAGCTACTTGGGAGGCTGAGGCAGGAGAATGGCGTGAACCCAGAAGGCGGAGCTTGCAGTGAGCCGAGATTGCGCCACTGCACTCCAGCCAGAGCGAAACTCAGTCTTTTAAAAAAAGAAAGAAAAATAGGCCGGGCGTGGTGTCTCATGCCTGTAATCCCAGCACTTTGGGAGGCTGAGGCGCGCGGATCACCTGAGGTCAGGAGTTTGAGACCTGCCTGGCCAACATGGTGAGACTCCGTCTCTACTAAATATACAAAAATTAGCCAGGTATGGTGGCAGGCGCCTGTAGTCCCAGCTACTCAGGAGGCTGAGGCAGGGAGAATTGCTTGAACTTGGGAGGCGGAGGTTGCAGTAAGCCAAGATCGTGCCACTGCACTCCAGCCTGGGTGACACCATCTAAAACACACACACACACACACAAGAAAAGTATTTGCATAGTGCTCTAGCAGTAGTCCCTTCGTTCATCATATGTTAGGATAGTTCAACAGTTTTAAGTATGCTCTGGGCTGGGTGCAGTGGCTCATGCCTATAATCCCAGCACTTTGGGAGGCCAAGGCAGGTGGATCACTTAAACCCCAGAGTTCAACACCAGCCTGGGCAATGTGGTGAAACCCTGTCTCTACAAAAAATACAAAAATTAGCCAGGTGTAGTGGCACACACCTGTGATCCCAGCTACTCAGGAGGCTGAGGTGGGAAGATCACTTGAGCCCAGGAGGTCAAGGTTGCCGTGAGCCCAAATAGCACTACTGCACTACTCCACTCCAGCCTGGGCGACAGAGTAGGACCCTGTCTCAAAAAAAAAAAAAAAAGTTTGATGCTCATTATGTTTACAAAAGCACTGCATTTTTTGAAAAGTGTCTCACTGTGCTATTAGCTCATTTCTTGAGATGTGGTTCTTAGGAAAGAGAAGCCTTAGTAACTTAGTTTAGAGATGGCTTGGGCACTCGGGAGATTTTTTCAATTTCCTGTGGCTATGGAGTGCAGGAGAATGATGCCATTAACTACCAGACCCTTGAGGTCAGCACAGCTCTGGCATCTTCCTGCAGGCAGAACCGTATACTCCTGAGGATTTGAATGCTGTCCTACTGCTGACTCAAAGGCTAATCAATGCATGTGTTAAACTGCATGGACATTTAGCAGACATGGTGATCTGTATATAGCCATGCCTTATAGTCCACAGTGGAGCATACATTTCCTGAGAGCGTAAATCAGCATTCGCCTCCTCCTCCTCCTCTTCCTTCTCTTCTCCCTCTCTCCTTTCTCGTCTTCAGTAGTTATTGAGCATTCACCTCAGTGTCAGGCACCATGAGTACTTTCATGCATCATCTCATTTGATCCCTGCAACTTCACTAGAATGTCAGTTCCACTGATGACAGTGTATTCAGAATTAATTTTCTTTAAGGAAAAAAAAAAGGAATTTCTTGAGGGGCTTTCTACTGTCCAGTACTCAGTGAATATCTGTTGAATTAATATACTCCAATCCCATGAGTTAGATATGATTAGTGATGAGGGACCTGGGATTGAGACATTAGTCTAATGACACTACATTCTAGACCCTGTTGCTAAGCACTTCTTGTATTGCATATCAACTCATTTACTCCTCACAGCAATGTGAGATACATACTGTCCTCCCTGTTTTATAATTGAGGGAACTGAAGCATAGACAGGTTACATAGCTGGTGACTGGCAGATGAAGTGACTTATCCGTGGTCCTGCAGGTGATGAGTGGCAGTACTGTGCTCTTATCACCAGCTCTTGAGCGTGCTGCATCCTCTCATTTGTCGTTGGTCTCCCCTAGTGTTCGGTACTGTGCCTTGCACGTGTTTATACTCAGTAGCTTTTGAATGAAAGACAGACTTACATTGCAAATACAACAGATTTCCGTGTCTTATTAGAAACTGCTTTTCTTGAATTACTACATGTAACTTTTAAATGAAAGATTGGTGAATATTTCCAGATGTTGAAATACAAAAACAGGTGGCTGAACTTAGAAACCACCAAGTGGCAGGTGACTTTGCCTGACATCCGTGTTCACAGACCTCCACAGCCCCTGGTGAAAACCACTTCTTCATATCCCATGTCCGTCTAATTACATGTGTTATTTTTTGTCATTTGCAGAGTCAATGGTTGCAGGAAAGTTTGAAGAAAGTGAATTACATCAAAATCTTGGTATGGTATATAATTTCATCTGTTTTCAAAATACAACTTTTTTTGAACTTCAGCAACTTAGAATGATTTTAGAACTTTAGAATGATTTTCTCCACATTTCAGTGGAATTGTGGCAGCTCCAGTAAAAAACAAAACAAAAAACAAAAACAAAAAAAAACTGCCTGTATTTATACAGTGAGCCTGAAGCGAAGAAATTTGAACCATACAATGTTTAATTCCTATGGTGCTTTTCATGTACTTCATTTATTGGGTTTAAGTTCAGAATTGCACAAAGATAAACACCATTGACTTCAGCTGCCCAAGGCCTTGGGCACACTCCTCTTCCCAAAATGAAAACTCACTTTGTGCCTCAGAATGCTTTGGGCTTCTCTTTCTGCAACCTTCTGCCATCAGTTTTCATTTGCGTGAAGTGGGAGAAAGAGAAAAGCAAATGGCTCTGCTCTTGTCTTCTCCTGATATCTTCCTGAAGTGAATCCAACAGATTGTTCCCTAGGCATAACTAGACAAGGAAATAAGGACTTAGGAGAGAATGAGGATCAGTTCAGGTTTGAAAGTTTTTGTGTTTTGCTTCATTGTATTTTAGAACCTCAGGAAATATACGTCAAATTCTGATTTAAATAGGTTCACTGAGTGTTTCTTTGACAATTCTGCAAGGTATGCTTAAGTTTAAAACTAACATTTGAGTGTATTTGGGGTTCAAGTCAGTAGGTTTATTTTTCTTTTAGAACATGGTTTGGTTTAAATACAAAAAGTAGCCGCGCGTGGTGGCACATGCCTGTAGTCCCAGCTACTGGGGCGGCTGAGGTGAAAGAATTGCTTGAACCCGGGAGGCGGAGGTTGCAGTGAGCCGAGATTGCGCCACTGCACTCCAGCCTGGGTGACAGAGACCCTGTCTCAAGGAAGAAAAAAAAATACATGGTTTGGTTGAAGGGGGTGTGGCTACTCTGCCTTCTAAGTGGGAGTCTGGAGCCAGTTGACCCGAGTTCTAGCTCAGTGGGGGT